>NC_000016.10:56986742-57289772 GCF_000001405.40 Homo sapiens
TGGCCAAGAGCAGGGGCTGCAGAGCTGGCCTGCCTGGGTCCACCCTTCTGCTCCTCTGCTTCTGTGTGATCTTGGCCAAATTATTTAGCCTCTCTGTGCCTCCCTTTTCTCATCTGTAAAAAGAAAGATAACAGTTGCCATGAAGAGTAAAGGAGAGGCCGGGCATGGTGGCTCAGACCTGTAATTCCAGCACTTTGGGAGGCTGAGGCAGGGGTATCTCAGGAGTTCAAGACCAGCCTGGCCAACATGGTGACCCCCCCCATCTCTACTAAAAATACAAAAAAATTAGCTGAATATGGTGGTGTACACCTGTAGTCCCAGCTACTCTGGAGGCTGTGGCAGGAGAACTGCTTGAACCTGGGAAGTGGAGGTTGCAGTGAGCTGATATTGTGCCACTGCACTGCAGCCTGGGCGACAGAGTGAGACTGTCTTAAAAACAAACAAACAAAAAGATTAAAGGAGAGAGCGGCTGCATTTTGGGAGGCCAAGGCGGGCTGATTGCCTGAGCTCAGGAGTTGGAGACCAGCCTGGGCAACATGGTGAAACCCGGTCTCTACTAAAATATGTTTTTAAAAAAAATTAGCTGGGCATGCACCTGTAGTCCCAGCTACTCGGGAGGCTGAGGCAGGAGAATTGCTTGAACCGGAGAGGTGGAGGTTGCAGTGAGCTGAGATCATGCCAATGCACTCCAGCGTGGGTGACAGAGCAAGACTCCATCTCAAAAAAAAGGAGAGAGCACAGTGTCTGGTATATCCTAAGTGCTCCACGAGTGCCAGACATTGGTTATACTTCATGGAGGTGAGGTACACAGAGGTGTCTAGGTCATGCGGACTCACTCCATCCTCCAGTTAACCATGACTCCCTCCCCACCCACCTCCTGAGTTCTCTCTGCTGTCAAACTTTCCTCTCATATCTCCAGTTTCCCACCCAAAAGTCCAAACACTCAAGATTCCTTCTCATCTCCAACCCATAAAATCTGATCGGCTTCTCCACACTCAAGTGTAAATGACTGATGGCCATTTGATTGACACTGGAGGGGCTGGCACATTTTTAGCACATTTTTAGCCAAAGGTATGATGTGCTGATAGCGGACTCTCAGGCCACAAGCCAGTCTGAGGACAGGGAAAGTTTGAGGAGGTCACTCTTCCAGAACCCTTTGGTGATAACCTTTCTGGCAGGCCTGGTACCCCCAGAGTGAAAAGGGCTCCAGGGTCAAGACCCAGCTCTGCCCCTCATTGCTGTGTGACCTTCAGCAACTCACTTGATTTATCTGGACCTCAGCTTCTTCATCTGTCTAATGGGATAATAATCTTTGTCCTGCCCTCCTCACAGGGCTGTTCAGAATTAAATGCATCTGAAAATGATCTGCATTTGTGTCTTGGACTGTGGTTATTTGTTCAAGTGTCTGTCTACCCTGCCTGCACAGGGAGCGGGTCAGGGTCTTCCCTGGGACTTCATGCACAGGTCTTTCCTGGGACTTCATGTAGGACCAGCCATCCCGTCAGTGCTCAGTGAACATGAGCTGCTTCCCTGTGGGATGTCTGGGAGGTGAGTGGAAGGCCTTCCTAGCAGGCACATACTGGAACATAATCAATCCCTCCCATGCATACAGCTCACACCCACATTCTTATCCATTCCCACCATGCCCCTCAGTGGCCTGGGGAGACTAGGAATACCCCACTTGACAGATAAGGAAGCTGAGGCCAGGGGAGGTCAAGGCATTTGTCTGAGGTTGCACAACCAGGAGTGGTGAAGCTGGGAGTCACACACAAGGAATCACTGCAAAGTCTGTGTCCTTCCCACTCTGAGTAGGACTTGAACCAGGGATGTCCGATGCTGATGCTTGTGTCCTGACCACTACCTTGCAGCGTCCTCACCCACACCCACCCCAGGCCTGGGAGGCAGGGGAGCACCAGCGGTCTGGGAGTGAAAGTTGCTTCCCTGTGGGATGTCTGGGAGGTGGGTAGAAGGCCTTCCTAGCAGGCACAGCTGCCCACCGGATGAGTATGTCCAGGGGGAGAGGAGCCCCCTGTCCCAGGATGTGGGCAAAAACCTGGAGAAGCTGAAGCTGGACTTTGAGGATGGCCCCTGACTCCATCCTGGGACAGCCACCTCCCCTTCCTTCTGCCCCCTCCAGTCCCTCCTCTCCTTCCCTGCTCTCCCTCCTACCTCTTTCCATCTCCCCCTTTCTGCCTGTGATTCCTCCTGTGACTGGGGCAAGATCCTTCACCTCTGTCCTCCCTGAGCCTCAGTGGCTCACCTGGAACATAGGGTGATGCCTGCAGAAGTATTTTAGGGTTACTTTATGAGATAAATTGGTAGACTGTTTTTCCCGGGTCAGCCAGCCAGGGGTTCGGTGAATAGGAGCGAACGCTGCTGCCATTCCCTTCTCCCCTAGTTCATCCTGGAGGCTCTCCGCTCTCCCCCTGGTTCTAAGTCCCCTCCTCCTGCACCGTATCCCCCCTCCCATCCAACCCAGTCCCCACTGAGGCACTGAGACAGGGTCTTGGCCCAGGGTCCCCACCCACCTGAGCTCCGCATGTGAGCCGACCTTCACCCGCCTGCCTCAGTTTCCCGTCCACGAAAGGGGTGAGCGCCCCCACGTCTCCTGGGACTGTCCTTGGGTCCGATGCGGGGCTGTGGGGAGGTGCCAGGGTGTGGGCGCAGCAGGGAGCGGGTGTGTTAGGCCCCCGCCCATCCCGCGCCCGAGCCCCATCTGGCTCGGGCTGGCACCTCGAATCCACGTGATTTCTCGGCAGCAGCCGCCAGTTCCATGCACTGGCGGAGCAGCTCTAGGCGGCGGCTTCTACTTTCAGTTTCGTGCAGAGCGCGGAGGAGCCGCGAGCGCTGAGGGTGAGTGCCGGGAGCTCTGAGGGTGAGTGCCGGGCGTGCCGCGGGGCTGCGGGACCCGGGCTGGGGCGAGCGGAAGGGAGAGGATCGGGGTTCGAATTCTGCACGGAGAGGGGTGGAGGGGATGTCAGAGGCCCTGGAGCGGGAGGTGCGGGTGGCCGGGTGGCTGGCCGATGGATAGCTGGGTAAGCGGACAGGGCGCCAGTGGCCCGGCAGCGCGCACAGCATGCGCCCCGGCAGTTTGGAGGAAGAGTTGCCGGCCCGCAGAGGATGGCAGATGAGGGTCGCCTGGATGGGGGGACACAGTAAGCGGCTGTGCTCCCCTCCCTGCGCAGCTCCTGTCACCTACCGGATCCACCCACTCTCTCTGTCTTTTACTTTGCAACTTTTCATTGATTTTAAAACAATTACGGAAGTTACACTGTTCATTGTACGCAATTTAGACTTTTTGGCCTAAACAACTTTTTATTGTGGAAAATTCCAAACATATACAATAGTAGAAGGAATAGAATTAGGTTGAGCCTTCTGCACCTGCGGGTTTTCATATAATGAAGCCCCACCTATCCACGTTCAGCTTGGACAGTCACGACCCCAAGGCCACCTACTCACGACCCCAAGGCCACCTAGGTAGCCCAATCTCCACCGCTGGTTATTTTGAAACAAATGGCAGACAGCATAGCATCTCAACTGAGGTATTTCAGAATGTACTAAAAGATAAGGCATCTTTTAAAAACAAAACCACAGTACCACCAGCATACTACAAACATTTTAATAGTTATTCCTTAATGTCAAATCTCCAGATTATTTCTAAGGAACATTTAACCTCATAAGTGATAGGTGAATACGTGGGTGTTGTTTTGTTACTTGCTTTCTGCATTCCCATGTGGTTTTCGGTCACTATTCTCACCCAGAAAGCCAGGACCTGAAACTGGCTGGGGTGATCATTCGAGGAGGTCGGAAGAGGCTCCTACCTTCAGTGCCGTTTGCGTCCATTTTATAAGTTGGAGTTCTTATGTTTCCTTTTTTAAAAGGTTGAAGTTTCTGCAGACCTAAAAAGCAGTTTGAAAACTGGCAGTTCCCAGCCTCTAAAACCCGGGGGTAGCAGGAGGCAGAGAGTACCCCGGGGCCAGATCCTGGAGCCTCATTGTCCCTTCAAATCACCTTCCGTTTCTCTAAGGGAGAAATAAACCTTGAAAAGCCATGGGCTTTTCAGATGTATCTAGATGTATCTGATGCTTTTCAGGTGTATCTAGACTCCCATCCAGCGTGCTTTCTGCAAAACTTACTGAACCATAGCCCAGAATGGCCATCCATGATGCCCACCCGCCTTGTCTCCTGAAGCACATTGCCAGGTGGACCTGCACATGGTGTGGACGGCAGACAGACTGGGGCTCTCAACAACTGGTATTTGCTGGATGACCATGAACTAACCATTCAATTTCTCGAAACTTTGGTTTCTCGTCTGTAAAATGAACATATGCAAATCTATCCTACAAAGTGTGTTTTGTGGATTGAATGAGATGATACACGCCCACCCAGTGCCTTGATCAACCTTAAAATGCTGCACAAGTGTGAGGGGAGATGGATCCTTGAAGAAGACAGACAAGCAGAGGGGAAAGATCTTGGAAGAGTTTCACAATATGCTGAACTTTATTCCTGGATCAGATACAGAGCTGTCCGGGTGTCCACAGGGCCGGGTCAGCCTCCTCAGACCCCAACACACATACCCTCTTCCCCTCTGAGGAAAATTCAGCAAAACTTCTTTTGCTGTTGTTGTTCTTTATTCCTTTTTTTTTTTTTTTTTTTTTTGACGAAGTCTCACTCTGTTGCTCAGGCTGGAGTGTAGTGGCACGATCTTGGCTCACTGCAACCTCCATCTCCTGGGTTCAAGCGATTCTCCTGCCTCAGCCTCCCGAGTAGCTGGGATTATAGGCGCCCGCCGCTACACCCAGCTAATTTTTGTATTTTTAGTAGAGATGGGGTTTCACTATGTTCGCCAGGCTGGTGTCAAACTCCCAACCTCAGATGATCCACCCGCCTCGGCCTCCTGTGGGATTATAGGCGTGAGCCATCTTGCCCGGACTCCTTTTTTTTTTTTTTTTTTTTTTTAATAGACATGAGGTCTCAAACTCCTGGCCTCAAGTGATCAGTCTGCCTCTGCCTCCCAAAGTGTTGAGATTATGGGCGTGAGCCACCACACCCAGCCATAACTTCTTAGCATGACTTTTCCCATTTGTTATGAGTTCAATTGTGCCTCCCCACAAAAGATATGCTGAAGGCCTAACCCTCGGCGCCTCCTAACGTGACCTTATTTGGAAATAGGGCTGTTGCAGATATAACTGGTGAAGATGAGGTCATACTGGAGTAGGATGGGCCTTGAATCCAATAGGACCGGTGTCCTTATAAGAGAGGAGATGGACACATGAAGACAGAGACATACGGGGATCAGACAATCATGGACGGAGGAGGAAGAGAGTGCGGCGATGCATCTAGGAGCCACAGGACACCTAGAATGGCCAGCAGCCGGTGGGAACCAGGAGAGGCAAGGACGGATCCTCTCCTCCAGCCTTCAGAGGGAGCCCGGCCCTGACCACACCTCGATCTCAGACTCTGACCTCCAGAACTGCGAGAGAAGAAATCTCAGTTGTTTTAATGTACGCAGCTTGTGGCACTTTGTGACAGCAGATACAGCAGTACTGTGACAACACTAGGAAACGAATACACCATCCCAGCATCTCTGCTCTGTTTTCCATACAGAATTGAACTAAGGACCAGGCAAGCTAATGCAAGTCCAAACACTGTAAAAACTTTGGAGGCAATCTAAGGATGTGAGCCAGATTTGTTTGCCAGATCTTTTTTATTTTATTTATTTATTTATTTTATTTTATTTTTTTTTTTTAGTGAGAGGGAGTCTCACTCTGTTGCCTAGGCTGGAGTGCAGTGATATGATCTCGGCTCACAGCAACCTCCACCTCCCAGGTTTAAGTGATTCTCCTGCCTCAGCTTCCTGAGTAGCTGGGATTATAGGCACCTGCCCCCATGCCCAGCTAGTTTTTGTATTTTTAGTACAGACAGGATTTCACCATGTTGGCCAGGCTGGTCTTGAACTCCTGACCTCAGGTGATCCACCTGCCTTGGCCTCCCAAAATGCTAGGATTACAGGCATGAGCCACCAACACCCAGCCCATATATTCATATTTTTAATGGACTTATACATGAAAATGGTATCTCACTTTTAAAAATAAATGATATGGAATTATGCGTTAAAGGGAAATTAAATCTTATTATATCATGTTTTAAAATTTTTAATTTTTCATAGCTAATACATTTATGTAGTTTTAAAAATGTAAAACATTTGGAAAGATATAATGAAAAATAAGTCTCCTTCCATCTCCTGTCTCCCAGCCACCCAATTGCCCTCCCCGAAGACAACCAATGTTATCAGGTTCTTGTGTCTCCTTCCAAAGACAGTCTAAGTGTGTTTTTACAAACATGGATATATACATATATATATACACGTATATATGTGTATATATATATACACACACACACACACACACATATACACATATATAGACACACACACACATGTGTACTTTTCCCTTCTCACAAATGGCAGTGTACTATATGTAGTGTTCTCTAACTTGGGTTTTTTTTTTTTAAACTTAGTGCAATTTGGAAATCTTTCTACATCAAAATTTTAAAATCTGCCCTTTCCCTCTTTCTTTTTAACAGCTGCCTAGTATTTCACCGTATGACTGCTCTGTAATTGATCTAACAGTTGTAGAACACTTAGGTTATTTCCTGTCTTTTGCTATTTCAACAGTGCTGTAATGAATATCCTTGGTCAGGCATCATTTTTCATACGTGGGAGTGAATCTTTAAGAAAACCAGGAGTGGATTTGCAAGGTCAAGGGGAATATGCAGTTTGAACTTGGATAAATAAGGCAAATTATCCCCCCTTAAATGTTGTACTAATTTTTGCTCCCACCAGCTGGAGGGGGAGGGGCCAAATTTCCATATTTGCAAATCTGGGAGACGAACAATGGTGTGTTTTTTATGCCTCTTATTACGAATGAGTTTGAACATCTTTTCAAATATTTAAGAGTCACCTGTAGCTCATTTTCCATAAACTGTCAGTTCATATCCTTTGCCCACTTTTTTATTGGCTTTTGGTCTTTTTCCTGTTGAGTTGTAAAAGCACTTTTCATGTTAAGGGAATTTGCTCTTTGTCTATTATATGGTTATACTGTCATTTAAAATGGTGGCATAGTTGCTTATAGAATGTCTGAACCATATGCGTCATTGTTAGATATTTATATTGGGTCTCATTTTCTTGTATTATATATGGGATGTTTTCCCTGTTTTTTGTAAAAAAAAAAAAAAAAGCAAGATATGACATTTTAATTCTTCCAATAGTTCTCACCATAATGGTGAAGGAAAGGAAATACGTTTGGGAAAATACTTCGATAGGATTTGGGGTGGCTGGAACCTGTGTGCAAAATGGCCAACAGGGACCAGGACCATTTTGGGTGGGAAGAGAGTGCTTTGCATGGTGTATGTGTATGGGGCGGAGGGGCTGTATTTGCTCCTGAAAGAAAAGGGGGTGGAGGGAGGGGAGAAGAAAGGAAGGAGAGAAGGTGGAGGGAGGTTAGCCACAGAGGGAGATGACTCCCAGAAACTTCTTAGGGGAAGGATGGCAAAAGGGCATTTTCGGTGAGTCCAGGAATGCCCTCTGCTCCGTGTGAGGCAGGTACCAGCACTGCAGACACCGGCTCTGGCTCACCACCTGCCATCATGAGTGCATTCAGCTTCTCCACTGAGCTTCCACACACCAGGCCCTGCTCTAGGCACTGGGCTACAGCCGGGAACACAACCAACTCCCTGCCTTGTGGAGCTGATGAGGCAGTAGAAACAGACAAACAAGTAAACAAAGATGTGCATGTCATATGAGGTCAGGTGGAAGTGACTGCAGTGAAGAAGGCAAGGCAGGCGAGGGTGGAGCATGCTGGATAGAGAGGCAGATGTAGCCTTCTTGTAGGGATGTTGGGACATTTGAGAGAGAACTTGAAGGGAGCGTGGCAGGGAACCATGGGCCATGGCATCTGGAGGAAGAGGGAACCAGTCAGAGGGGATGGCAAGAAACAAAAAAGTGGGGAGAAGAAGAAAGCAGAGAAGAGGAGAGGAGGGAGAAGAGGAGAAAATGCTGCTTAAAGTCTGCTTTTGTGCTCCCAGATGCTCATTGTGAATGACATTTTTGCAATTTTTGCAATTTTGTTTTGTAATTTAATAATGGGCTGGGCTGGGCGCAGTGGCTCACGCCTGTAATTCCAGCACTTTGGGAGGCTGAGATGGGCAGATCACTTGAGGTCTGCAGTTTGAGACCAGCCTGGCCAACATGGAGAAGCCCCGTCTCTCCTAAAAATACAAAAATAGCCAGGTGTGGTGGCACGTGACTGTAATCTCAGCTACTCTGGAGGCTGAGGCAGGAGAATCGCTTGAACCTGAGAGGTGGAGGTTGTAGTGAGTTGAGATCGTGCCATGCTCTCCAGCCTGAGTTACAGAGGGAGACTCGGTCTCAAAAAAAGCAACAAACTGCTTGAATTAAAGCAGGAGCCCTCAGCTAGAGGAGTGCCCACCCACCTCCTCCCCAGGAATCGCAGAGCTCCCAGGAGAGGCCATAGCCTCCTATAGGTCATGGCATTGCAGGTGGGTTGGTGTCCCAGCTGGCTGTTTCTGTCTCAAGAAAGGAAGGGCTGCTCCCGCTGACATCCAGGCGTAAGCAACGCCCTGGTGAACATCCTCGTAGCTAGAGCTTTGCTCACATTCTGGATGGCTTCCTTAGGCTCAATCCTCAAAGTGGACTCCTAAAGGGATATATGAACTTTTATTTTTTAAATGTTTGAAACCGTGTTGTCAAATTTCTCTCCTAAAAGATTGTGCCAATGTAGAGAGGCTGCCGACCGCTGGAAGCTTCCCAATCCCCCAGCACCTATCCCTTGTGGGTGGGATGGATCCTGTACCATCGCCAGACCCTCAAGAACCCCTTGTCCTGCACGGTCCCTTCTGTCCCTCCTGGTGAAATGGAAGGAGCATGCATGCCTTGGGAAGCTGGTGCTTTGAGGCATTCAGATCTTACCGTGGCATCATGTTTGAAGAGAGAAATAGCTTGCTGTTTTGTGTGTCTCTCAATAGTCTTATTCACTGAGTTCTTGAAGGTGTCCTGTGTGTTTCTGGACTGCAGAATCCTTTTATTGAAATGGACAGGTCAGTGTTTTCCCAGAGAAAGACCTATCCAGTAGGAGTTCACAAGAGGATTTTAGGAGGTATGTGGAGAGGGCATCCGATTCCATTGAATCGTAAAGTGACAAATTTGTTCCCTTTTCAGTTCTTTTTCATTCTTCCAGACTAGTGAAAGAGAAAGCCTCAGTCAGGTGCTAACGCATCTGTAAACCTCTCACACTCTTGATATTTTCAGCAAGGGGAGGCCAGGCCTCCGGTCAGAGCCCTGGGTCTGCAGCAATACCCAGCTACAGTTCAACAGCATCATAGTGTTTTTTGTTTTCCTTGGCTTTCTTTCTTTCTTTTTTTTTCTAGACAAGGTCTCACTCTGTCACCCAGGCTGGAGTGCACTGGTTGCACAGCTCCGTGCATAGTTTCCTGCAGCCTCTATTTCCCAGGCTCAATCGATCCTCCTGCCTCAGCCTCCCAAGTAGATGGGACTACAGGTGCGCACCACCACACCTGGCTAATTGTTTTTTGTTTTTATTTTTGATAGAGACGAGGTCTCATTACGTTGCCCAGGCTGATCTCAAACTCCTGAGCTCAAGCAGTTTTCCTGCCTTAGCCTCCCAAAGTGCTGGGATTACAGGTGTGAGCCTCCATGCCCCACCCTTGAGTTTCTTTTCGATGATACCTTCAGTTCGTGGCAAGTGGTACTTCAAAAAATAAAGTTAAAAGTGACATGGTTTCTAGAAAAGCTTTAAGGAAATGGTGTTCTGGCTTTCAGATAAGTCAAAAAAAATCTCAAACATGAGTAAAGAGTTTTGGAAATTATACACTTACCCCTAGAGGGTGAGTTTGTGGGGGAAATTTCATAATGTATACTTCCAGAATATTTAGAACTTTCCAAATGAGTACAGGTTATGTTCGTAAACAGGAAAAATAATAAAGACATAATAAAATGATAATTTAGTTTTAAAAGACGACCATTTGTTGAAAGCAGTATTATATTTCAGTTAGGAAATGGCCTCTGGAATCAGCATAGATTTTATTGTTTTATTTATTTTGTTTTTGAGACAGTGTCTCACTCTGTTGCCCACACTGGAGTGCAGTAGTGTGATCACAGCCCACTGCAGCCTCAACTTCCTGGGCTCAGGTGATCCTTCTGCCTCAGCCTCCCAAATAGCTGGGACTATAGGTGCACACCACTATGCCAGGCTAATTTTTTTGCATTTTTTGTAAAGACAGATTTTCACCATGTTGCCCTGGCTGGTCTCGAACTTCCAGGTTCAAGCAATCTGCCTGTCTCGGCCTCCCAAAGTGTTGGAATTACAGGTGTGAGCCACTGTGCCCGGCCAGCATAGATTTTAAATCCACCTTTTGTTGCTTGACTTCTTGGAGCCTGTTTCTTCATCTATGAAATGCAGGAAACGTGCCTGGAAATATTGCTTGAGATTCTAATGGGGAGGTGCAGGTGGAATACTGTAGCCTGATGCCCAGCCTATGCCGGGAACTCAGTACATAACAGCCAATGAGCATTGGCTGCGGACTGGACATGTCCCCTCCTTGTGCTGTAGTATTAATGTCTCCAACCCTCACAGTGATCCTGTGAAGTAAATGTAAAATCACCACCCAGATGAGGAAAACAGTGGCACAGAGAGGTTAAGAAAACTGTCCAAGGTTGCACAGCACTAAAATGTTGAAATCAGGATTTAAACCCAGCCCTCCTGACCCCAGAGGATCTTTTTTCAAAAATTATGTTCTTTTATTTTATTTCGAGATGGGGGTCTTTCACAGTCACCCAGGCTGGAGTGCAGTCACAATATCACGGCTTACTGCGCCTCAACCTCCCAGGCTCAAGTGATCCTCCCACCTCTGTCCCCCAACCCCCAGTTGCTTAGGAGCACAGGCACACGACACCATGCCTGGCTAATTTTTGTACTTTTTGTAGAGATGGGGTTTCTCCATGTTGCCCAGGCTGGTCTCAAACTACTGGGCTCAAGCGATCCTCCTGCTTCAGCCTCCCAAAGTACTGGGATCACAGGTGTGAGCCACTATGCCCAGCATTAGAGGCTCTTTTAACAGCTCCACAATTCCCTGTGAGATGGGCTGCATACAAAGCATTACTCCTGCTTGACATATACACAAACCATGGCCCAAAGGGAGCTGGGACTTGTCCGGATGTCAGCCTCTAAGTCAGTTTTGGGTCAGTGAGACCCAAAACCAAGGCTCTAGCCGTCTAGCCCCTCCAACCTTTCTTCTGCCCCAGTTTTATGGGTTTGGCAATGTCTGCCAGGATGGGAGGGAGCAGTTCAGATGATCCAGTCTGGAGGCAAAATTCTGCTAAATTCAAAGGGCCCAGCCTCAAGTCACTGATGTCTTTTTTTTTTTTTTTTTACTTTAAAAAAATGTATTAATTCTAAACCACACAAGTAAGACACGAATCAGTCTTCCTTGCAGAAAGTTAAACTTTTTATACATAAAGCTGATATCTATTTTACTCACTGCTTCCAGCCCCATGCCTGTCCCCTCTCCTGCAGTAACCCCTATTTGATATGTTTCCAGAACTTTATCTAAACCTTCACATAATAAAAATAATTCTTATATAGGGCTTACTAACTTCCAAGCACTGCTTTAAGAGCTTTACATATTTAAGCCCCACAATAACTCTGTGAGGTAGGTGCTGCTCTTATCCCCATTTTACAGATGAGAACATTGAGGCCCAGAGAGGCTATGTAACTGGCCTGGCGTCACCCAGCCTGCAGTTGGTGGAAAGGTCAGTCCCAAATCTAGGCAGCCTTGCTCCGAAATTCATGCTCTTAGCCTCTAAGTTATAAAACATGCTATTATCGACCTGTGGGAAGAAACAGTATTGCTGTTTGTTGATGTGTATTTTGAGACAAGTGATATCATGTTGTGCATATCATTATACAATGTGTCTTGTTTATTCCATGATACATCTTGAAGATACAGCCACGTCAACAAAAAATAAGTCCCTTTCCTGTACATAATCCCACAGCGTGGTTACACCAAACTTTATTATGGCTGTCTAGGGTGTTTAAAGACCGCTGCTGGAATTTCTTTATCCAAGACTCTGTGTGTCTTAGCCCATTGGGGCTGCTGTAACAAAGTGCCAGAGACTGGCTGGATTCTAAACAATAGAAATTTATTTCTCACAGTTCTGGAGACTAAAGTCTGAGATCAGAGTGCCAGCATGGTCGGGTTCTGGCAAGAGCCCTTTTCCGGGTTGCCGATGGCGGACTTTTCATTGTATCCTCACATGGTGCAAAGCAGGCTAGAGCATTCTCTTGGGTCTCTTTTATAAGGGCATCAATCCCATTCACTACGGCTCCTCCCTCCTGACCTAATTACCTCCCCCAGACCCCAGCTCCTAATACCCTCCTATTAGGGGTTAGAGTTTCAACATGTGAATTTCAGGGGAGCACAAATATTCAGTCGATCACATTGTGTATTCTGGGCCCCAAGGCTGTCCATTTTGCTTTCTGCTGAGAAGTTTAGTGGTAAGGTCAAAGGGTAGAAGCGCAGTAAGATCTAGAAGTCACTGCTGATTTGCCCTACAAGATGGGCAAACCACTTCCCAGCCTGCAGCTCTGAGCCCTGGATCCAGGCCTTCTCTCCTTTATGTCTCGAGCTTACTCTGTCCCCTGCCTTACTTACCAAACCAAAGCAAGACTCCTCTGGGACATTCCTGCCAGGCCCCATGGCAAGGTTGGAGCTGAGGAGGGGACTTCCAAACCTTGGTTTTATTTTCACTTTGGCTTGGGTGTGCCAAGCCCTGGCAGAGCCACAGAGTTGGGGCACGAGGTGCCAAGAAACAGCTCCCAGTCTGAGGAAGGTGCTCTGCCCTGGGAAGGGGATAAAGCTGAGTGTTGGTTATGGGGAGACATCCTCAAGGTCTCCATCTAAATATGGTCAACTTGGTGGCCTTCCTGTCCCCAGGGCCTTTGGGGCTCTCAGAGGACAAGAATCACTCAGCTCTGATTTGCTGGAGAAGCAGAGCCCCAGGTGGGAGGTAGCGAGGAGCCTGTCTCTCCCCACTGGGAGTGGAGAGCTGGGTGCCACAGCCTCAAACAGTTGTTCCCAGACATCGGCACATGGGGAACCCCCCGGGAGCTTCCAAAAGTGCCAGTGCCTGCGTTCTACCTCCTGGGATGGTGCTGTGATGGGTCTGGAGTGTGGCCCATTGGGATTTTTTAAAGACCCTCTTCCCAGGTGATGCCGTCGTGCAGACAAGCATGGGAACCACTGGCCTGGAAGCCCCAGGGAGAGGCCTCTGGGGCCCGGGACACGCAAGCGGGAGCCTTCTCCTAGCAGCCTTGCTAGCCACCCACCCCTTCCTGTGGGTGCTAGACCCAAACTGCCAGGGCTGAGCAGGAGAAGCAAGGCCACCAGCTGGCCACCTGCTGTCCCAGCCAGGCTCAGGCTGGCAGTAGGGCACCCCAGTCCTGGAGGAGGGTGCATCTGGAAAGCTTGGGGGCTCTTGGTGGAAAGTTCAAGCCTTTAGCATAGGAAGGTGGCTGGGGTGAAGGAGGCAGTTTAAAGACTAGTGATGTGGGCTGGGACCCAGATTGCTGGGTTTCCAATGACCAGAAGAAGATGGCCTTGTTGGACTGGGGACAGGGACCACCCAGGCTCAGGCCTGAGGCTGGGAGTGCAGGCATGAATTTGAGTGCAGGCTCAGGAACATCCCCAGGGCCGCCAGGCAGGGAGACACCTCTTCAACTCCTGGCTCCTCGACTCTAGCTGGTGACCTAGGCAGGTCCCTTTCCCACTGTGAGCCTCAATTTCCTCATGTGTAAAGCATCATGACTGTGTGTTTTAAGTCCTTTAGGGCCCTATCTTTGTGAGGGACAACAGAGACGATGGTTTTCACAGGCAACAGTCACCCCTGCATCATCACTGACTCACAGAAATGGATATGCCCTATAAGGACATCTCTTGCTTGCCCTGCCAGCATTTGTGGGCGGGGGAGGAAATGGCCACTAACCATTCCTGAAGGCACCTCCCAAGGGACCCCTGAAAGGAGGGTGACGCCTCCCAGAAAGAGACCAGTGGCCCAGCCCAGCCCTGCTCTTAGTTTTGTTTCCTCTGCTTTGAATGCCAGCAAGGCCTTTCCCTCCCAGGGCCTCAGTTTCCCCATCTTTACAATGGGCACAGCATAGACCCCATCACTGGGGCTCTTTCTGCTCTGCCACCCTGTGCATCCAGGCTCAGGTGTTATCCGAAGCCCTGACATCATCAGCCATTCCCGGGGGGAAGGCAGAGGCGCTGGGTTCTCTGTGTCCCCCTGGTAGGGCTTGGTGTAGGATTCAGGGAGGATTGGAGGGCCTCTGTGGCCTCAGGTCCTCCCCCAGGGTCCCCAGGCCCTGACCTGTCCACCTGGACCTAAAGAACCAACAACAGCAGCACTTTCTGTTTCTTTGAGGTATTTCTGTCCAAATGTCTGTAGTCATGACTGGGGTGCCTGGCTATCACCCCACAAACTGCATCCTTTCTGATCTGCACAGATGAGAAAACTGAGGTCTTGTTTCCCCTCCATCCCAAGACCTAATGGGACCTCCTCCTTAATCTAATCCTCAAGAGGCAGAAACAGGATGGAAAGCAAAGGAATGGCAGCCAGAAGTCTGTGGCTCCACTCCTGTCCTCTCTGCATCCCTCACTTCCTTCCTTACACCAGGCGTCAGGGGCTGGAGAGACGGAAGAAGCGATAGCAACGACAACCACACTAGTGGTAATCATAGCTTGTGTGGATTGAACCTTTTTTTTATTTTTCATTTTTAATTTTTGTGGGTACATAGTAGGTGTATATATTTATGGGTTACATGAGATGTTTTGATATAGGCGTCCAGTGTGTAATCACATCAGGGTAAATGGGGTTTCCATCACCTCAAGCATTTATCCTTTGTGTTGCAAACAATTCAATTATACTTTTTGTTATTTTTAAATGTACAGTTAAATTATTACTGACTATAGTTACCCTCTTGTGCTATTGAATACTAGGTTTTATTCATTCTAACTATTTTTTGTACCCACTAACCATCCCCACCTCCCCCACCCTGGCCTCCTACTATACTTCCCATCCTCTGGTAACCATCCTTCTACTCTCTATCTCCATGACTTAAATTGTTTTGATTTTTAGATCCCACAAATAAGTGAGAACAAGTGATGTGTGTCTTTCTGTACCTGGCTTATTTCACTTAACATAATGGCCTCCAGTGCCATCCATGTCCTTGCAAATGATGGGATCTCATTCTTTTTGATGGCTGAATAGTACTCCATTTTGTATGTGTGCCACATTTTCTTTTACTCTTTTATTCTTTTCTTTCTTTCGAGATGGACTCTTGCTCTGTCACCCAGGCTGGAGTGCAGTGGCACGATCTTGGCTCACTGCAACCTCTGCTTCCCAGGTTCAAGCAATTCTCCTGCCTCAGCCTCCCAAGTAGCTGGGATTACAGGCATGCCCCACCATGCCCTGTTAATTTTTGTACTTTTAGTAGAGGAGGGGTTTTGCCATGTTAGCCAGGTTGGTCTCCAATGCCTGACCTCAGGTGATCCACCTGCCTCAGCCTCCCACAGTGCTGGAATTACAGGCGTGAGCTGCCGTGCCCAGCTGCCACATTTTCTCTGTTCATTCATCTGTCGATGAACACTTAGATTAATTCCAAATCTTGGCTATTGTAAACAGTGCTGTCATAAACATAGTAGTGCAGATATCTCTTTGAGACACTGATTCCTTTCTTTTGGGTATATACCTAGCAGTGGGATTGCTGGATCATATGGTAGCTCTAAATTTAGTTTAGTTTTTTTTTGTTTTTTTTTTTTTTTTGAGACAGAGTCTCACTCTGTCTCAAGGCTGGAGTGCAGTGCGTGATCTCAGTTCACTGCAACCTCTGCCTCCTGGGTTCAAGCGATTCTCCTGCCTCAGCCTCCCAAGTAGCTGGGACTACAGGCATGGGGCGCCACTACGCCCAGCTAATTTTTGTATTTTTAGTAGAGACAGGGTTTCACCATGTTGGCGAGGATGGTCTCAATCTCTTGACCTCATGATCTGCCCACCTCGGCCTCCCAAAGTGCTGGGATTATAGGTGTGAGCCTCCGTGCCCAGCCCTATTTTTAGTTTTTTGAGGTACCTCCGAACTGTCCTGTAGTGGCTGTACTAATTTACATTCCCACCAGTGTATGAGGTCTCCCTTTTCTCCACATAGATTGAGGTGTTTGTTTGTTTGTTTGTTTGTTTGTTTGGAGATGAAGTCTCGCTCTGTCGCCCAGACTGGAGTGCAGTGGCGTGATCTCAGCTCACTGCCGCCTCCGTCTCTTGGGTTCAAGCTATTCTCCCACCTCAGCCTGGGATTACAGGCGCCTGCCACCACGCCTGGCTAATTTTTTTTATTTTAAGTAGAGACGAGGTTTCCTCATGTTGCCCAGGCTGCTCTCAAACTCCGGACCTCAGGTGATCTGCCTGCCTCAGCCTTCCAAAGTGCTGGGATTACAGGCTTGAGCCACCATGCCCAGCCTGGATTGAGTTTGTATCATGTGCCAGGTTCCATGTCAGGGATTCCACATGCCCCATCCCACAACCATCTTGCCAGGTGGGCATTATGATGACCCCCCATAGCAGACACTGTCAGAGCTCCCCCAACCCCATCTCTGCCCGGATGCCCCCACTCACTGTGGGTGACACCTGCATCCTTCTTCCGGGGTCGCCTTTGCCTGGTGGGCATTGCCTTGCTCAGAGATGCCTGGGCAGTCATGCCTCCCTCCCCCGCCCACTGGGGGTGCAGTGACGTGAAGTGTGACCGACCACCCAGACCCCTTGCACATGCGCAGGATGGACCTCTTCTATCATCACGCTCCAGTTCTCCCATGTGGCAGGCTGAAGCGAGGCTTTTGAAACCATATCTTTGCTCAGCTGCCTCTGCTACCCTATCTTTCTTCCACCACCCCCTCAATAAACAACTTCCACAGGAACCCCCTTGGGCTCTGCTTCTAGGGACCTGACCTAGAAGATCCTCATTTTACAGATGAGGACGCTGAGGTACGAAGAGGCTGCGTAACCTACCAGGGTCACACAGCTTTGGTGTGGAGTAGGGACTCAAATCCAGGGCCCTGGTACGGAGGCATTTGCCCTCACCAAGATTCAGGCACTGAGAGAAGCTGACGGGCCTAGAGAATGGCAAGACTTGAGATAGCAGAAGGAAGGAGAGAGGGTGAGAAATGGATCCCCGTGCTGAGGTCTGGTCTGGAAGGAGAAGTCTGCAAGGTAGGAAAAAGAGGAAAGGGGACGTGAGGTAGGGAAGCAGGATGTGCAAGGCGGGGACTTGTGAAAGAGAATGCCGGGGGGTGGTGAGCAGCATCTCATGGGCAGGTCAGCAGGTGCAGGAGAGGCCTAGGAGGGCCGGGGACTGGATGATGAAAGGGCATTTGTTTATTTATCCTTTGTTTTTGTTTTTTGTTGTTTAAATTGAGACCAGCTCTCACAATGTTGCCCAGGCTCGTCTCGCCAACTGTCTGCCCACTCCTGGCCTCAAACGATCTTCCTGCCTCAGCCTCCAAAAGTGTTGGGATTACAGGCATAAGCCAATGTTTATTCGTCCTGAGCCTTCCCTGGACACCTGATATGTAGCTGCTTTGTGGTGGTCACAGTTCCATGGTGTGACTTTATCCTGGAGGCAGTGGGATGCTGATAGCAAGTTCAGACAGGCATGAGGCCAGACCAGAGCTGAGTTTTCAAGATAACTCCAGCCAGAGGTATGCGTGCATGTGCACATGTGGGTACATGTATGTGTGTGCACGTGCATGTGTGTATGAGTGTGGACTAGAGATGGAATGGCTTTCTGAGCAAAGGGAACAGCCAAGGCAAAGGCCTGTGGGCTGCAGGGAGAGAACAAGGTTTGATCTCTGCACTCCCTCCTCTAAGCTCTGTGTCAACAGCATTTTCAGGACAGCAGGAAGGATTCCCAAAGAGCACAGCAGCGAGGGCAGTTGGAGGGAGGCGTCTGCTGGGACACTGAAACCAGGGTGGGGTAAACTCCCCTCGCACCTCCTCAGACTCAGAGCCCCCATAAATCTTCCAGGTGCACCCCAGCCCTTTTCCCTCTCTCTGTCTGAACTGGGGTGGCATGATCCCAGGACTGCAACTCCACGTGTCTGGATTCCCCTTACTGACTGCGTGACCCTGGCCATTTTCCCTCCACCTTTCTCTCAGCGCCCCCATTTGATTACTCGGCCTCAGGGGTGCACTGGGGATTCTTAGAGGTAACACTTCGAACGGAAAGCCAGAGGTCCTGGTGCCAAAATGCAAATGTGAGGGCTTGAAAGTTCATCGGGTTTTATTTTCTCTGTTCCGTTTGCAGTAGCTCTTCTTTCTTGTTTTCTATAGAACAGTAAAAAACTTTATGCATTTGAATATCGTGAACCTTGTAATTCATATGCAATATAAAAACTACTAGCTATGCATGGAGAAATCAATTGAAGAACAGTGGCTTAGCATGTCTTTCTCATTCTTTGATGGCTACCTCAAATCAAATCAATATGAACTTGGGGTCAGGCATGGTGGCTCACACCTGTAATCCCAACACTTGGGGAGGCCAAGGCAGGAGGATCACTTGAGCGCAGGAATTTGAGACTAGCTTGGGCAACATAGCGGGACCTCATCTTAATATTAAAAAAAAAAAAAAGAGAAAGAAAAAAAGTGAACTTGGGAGGTTTGAATGACAACTCGTATAGCTGAAGTAATAGATATATTCAACTTTTAAAACTTAATTTTCATTAGATAACACATGCATATGGTATAACATTCTAGGCCAGGTGCAGTGGCTCACATCTGTAATCCCAGCACTTTGGGAGGCCAAGGTGGGCAGATTGCTTGAGCCCAGGAGTTGAAGTCTAGCTTGGGCAAGATGGCAAAACCCCATCTCTGCAAAAAACACAAAAAATTAGCTAGGTGTGGTGGTGTGCACTTGTAGTCCCAGCTACTCAGGAAGCTGAGGTCGGGGAATCATATAAGCCCAGGAGGTGGAGACTGCAGTGAGCCACGACCACACCACTGCACTCCAGCCTGGGTGACAGAGCAATACCCTGTCTCAAAAAAAAAAGGAAAAAAAATTCCTTTCACTGGGGACAATTACCTTTATGAATTTCTTCCAGAAATATTAATGTATTTGTATACACATTTTTTTTTGAGACAGGGTCTCACTCTGTCACCCAGGCTGGAGTGCAGGGATGCAATCTTGGCTCACTGCAGCCTGGATACCCCCAGGCTCAAGCAATCCTCCCACCTCAACCT
Source organism: Homo sapiens (assembly GCF_000001405.40). Lineage (NCBI taxonomy): Eukaryota > Metazoa > Chordata > Mammalia > Primates > Hominidae > Homo > Homo sapiens. Next base: position 57,006,121 of record NC_000016.10, read on the forward strand.
TGCGGGTAGCTTGGACAACATGTGTGCACCACCACTCCTGGCTAATTTTTGTATTTTTTGTCAAGATGGGGTTTTGCCATGTTACCCAGGCTCGTCTCAAACTCCTGACCTCAAGTGATCTGCCCGCCTTTGCCCCTCAAAGTGCTGGGATTACAGGCATGAGCCACCATATTTATTTTTTCTTTACACAAAGGAAGCATATTCTACACCCTGTTTTGCCCCGGCTCTCTTTTAAAAAACAGTGTATCTTGGATACCATTCCATATCATTCCATAAAGTTCATCTTCATCCTCTTTTTTTTTTTTTTTTTTTTTTTGAGACAGGGTTTCACTCTGTCGCCCAGGCTGGGGTGCAGTGGCACTATCTCAGCTTACCTCAACCTCCCGGGCTCAAGTGATCCTCCCACCTCAGCCTCCTGAGTGGCTGGATGCTGCTTCTTTCTTTTTGATGGCTGCAAAGAATTCCATTGTATAGATGTGCCATAATTTAATCATAATATGTCCTCTTTGATCATTTAGGTTTTTCCAATCTTTTGCTATTACAAGCAAGGCCACGTTAAATATCCCTGGGCATATTATTTTGCACATTATGAAGATATCTGTAGGCTAAATACCTGTGTATGGAATTGCTCAGTGTGATTACATGGCATTTACCACTTTGGTAGATAAAGGTTGTATCCTGTTACATGTCCACGGATGAATTTCTTCCAGAAATATTCATGTATTTGTATACACATTTTTTGAGACAGGGTCACAAAACCGTTAACACATTATTATTATTATTATTATTATTATTATTTCACATTATTTAGGGAAGTTTCATTTTTTTGTGAGCTATCACTGATAATTTCTTATTTACTCATCATCTTGTATTTCTCTTCCTTGCACATTGGGGAAATGTCTATTCTAGTTTTTAATGTAAATGTTCTTGTGGCTTTTTTAGAAAAAATCAAAATGTGCACATTAAAAAGTTTGAATGGTTCAAAAGGTCCTAAAAAGGGTCCACAGTGGAAAAGGCTCTCCTTTCCCAGCAGGCCCAGATCCCTCCTCAGACACAAGCCTGTCGTCAGTTTCCTGTGTAGCTTCCCAGAGTTGGTCACTATGTATGCAAATACACACACATTTAAAATATACACACTCCACGTCCACGTGGAATGATGCAAAGCATCTAAGTGCCCGTTAATTCACAACCTTGCCAACTCAGTAATATCCTTGCGAATCTAATAGCTAGAAAATGGTGTATCTTTTTAGTTCTAATGTATTATATTTATTCTATTTTCTGTGAGCTTGAACATCTTTTCATATATTTAAAAGTCATTGGGGCCAGGGGTGGTGGCTCATGCCTGTAACCCCAGCACTTTGGGAGGCCGAGGCAGGTAGATCACCTGAGGTCAGAAGTTCGAGACCAGCCTGGTCAACATGGTGAAACTCAGTCTCTATTAAAAATACAAAAAAAAAAAATTAATCAGGCATGGTGGCTCGTGCCTGTAATCCCAGCTATTGGGAGGCTGAGGCAGAAGAATTGCTTGAACTGGGGAGGTGGAAGTTGCAGTGAGTGGAGATCGTGCCACTGTACTCCAGCCTGGGCAACAGAGTGAGACTCTGTCTCAAAAAAAAATTTTTAAATGTCATTGGTGTTTCCCTTTTTTGTAAACCTTTTATGTTCTTTGCCTAGTTTTCTATGAGGTCATTGGCTTTTTCAGTGTTGGTTTTTAGTAACTCTCGATTTATTAAAACATTTATACATTTATAGCTTTGTTTATGATGTATACATTTATAACCTTGTCTGTGATGCAGATATTTTTCCAATTTGTCATCTGGCTTTTGACCTTATCTGTGGTATTCTTTGACAATACAAAAATTTTAATTTATATCTGATCAGTTTCATCCAGTTGTTTTTTTCTTTTTTCATGATTTCTGAGTTTTGTGTCATGCTTAGCAAGATGCTCTCTACTCTGAAATTATTTTCTGTAAAATATTTTTTTCAGCCAGGCATAGTGGCTCACACCTGCAATCCCAGAACTTTGGGAGGTAGAGGTGGAAGGATTATTTGAGTCCAGGAGTTCAAGGCCAGCCTGGGCAACAGAGCAAGACCCCGCCTCTATTTTTTAAAAGAGAAATTTTTTTAAAATACTTTTTCCCATGTTTTGTTTGAGCACTTACATTTTCTTAACTTTTTTGTCGTGAAACATAACACATAGAAAAATGTAATGTAAGTGTACAACTTCATGAATTGTTATAAATTGAACATATAGCTTTCTGGTACTTTCATGGTTTAACTTCTTACATTTAAATTTTGGTTTCATCTAGACTTTATTTTGATATAATTGTGAAATAGAAATCCATTTTTATTCTAAAAGAACACTTTTTAAATGTTCATGAAATGTTTTAAAATTTATTATATACCAAGCAAGAAAAAATCTCAACATAGTCCTCAAAGCAGAAATTGCACAGGACTTATTCTTTGTACAGTGTAATGCACAAAAACTAATAAGAAAGCCTTAAAAACAACCCTTTATTAAATTACTCCATTCCAAATTATAATTTCAATCTACTTAGCACATAAGTATTGATATACATTTATCGAAATTGGCCAAAAGTGTTTTATTATTTTTTAAAAGAAAAAGCCTAGCAATGGCTTAAGCAATAAAGTTTTTAATTTTAAAGAATAACAAACAGCCTCACTAAATCAGAGGAAAGAAATAAAAAGATAAAAGCAAAAATTACAGAACTAGAAAAGGGACCATTCCAGCAAAATTGATAAATGAAAACAAAAATTTGTTTTTCAAACATAAGAGTTACCAACGGCTGGTGAATCTAAAAAGAAGAAAAAACAAAGTAAACTAAATTAAATGTGAAGCCATGAAGAGATTTAAAATTATAAGAAAATAGGCCGTGCACGGTGGCTCACGCCTGTAATCCCAGCACTTTGGGAGGCCGAGGTGGGTGGATCATGAGGTCAGGAGCTTGAGACCCGCCTGGCCAACATGGTGAAACCCCGTCTCTACCAAAAATACAAAAATTAGCTGGCTGTGGTAGCATGAGCCTGTAGTCCCAGCTACTTAGGAGGCTGAGGCGGGAGAATCACTTGAACCCAAGAGGTGGAGGTTGCAGTGAGCCGAGACCTTGCCATTGCTCTCCAGCCTGGGTGGCAGAGTGAGATTCCGTCTCAAAAAATAAATAAATAAATAAAGCTGGGCGCAGTGGCTCATGCCTCTAATCACAGCACTTTGGGAGGCCGAGGTGGGCGGATCACAAGGTTAGGAGATCGAGACCATCCTGGCTGACATGGTGAAACCCCGTCTCTACTAAAAATACAAAAAATGAGCTGGGCATGGTGGCGTGTGCCTGTGGTCCCAGCTACTCGGGAGGCTGAGGAAAGAGAATGGCGTGAACCTGGGAGGTGGAGGTTGCAGTGAGCTGAGATCACGCCACTGCACTCCAGCCTGGGCGACAGAGTGAGACTCCATTTCAAAAAAAAAAATACAAGAACATATTATATACAACTGTGAGCTACACCATGTTTGAACATCTTGACAAAATGAGCAACTTTCTCAAAACTAAATTGCCAAATGTTCATTTTTAAAAAGCCAAAAATAACCAACCAACACAATGAGGATAAATTTAAAGTGATCAAGTTTGATTTTTTTAAAAAACTGTTCAAACATCTTGGTAGTGCTGGGCAGGAAGTTGGCTTTCATTCTGGGTGAGATGAGAAGGCTCTAAGGGGCATAGGACCTGATGTCATGGGACCTGATGCAGGCTCTGTCTTAATAGCTGACTCCTGCGTGGAGTAGGTTATTGGGGGATGGGTGGACAGAGACCAGGGAGGAGGCTGGTGCAGGAATCCCAGTGAGAAATGATGGTGTCCAGGCTAGGCCATAGCAGTAGAGGAAGCAAGATTCTGGAATGCACTTGGAAAATGAAGCCATCTTTGGGCTTGAGCTCAAGGAAGCATGAAGCTGCCCCTAACTGAAGTGGGGAAGGTGGTCTGGGGAGCAGTTTAGGAGGAGAGATCAGGAGCTCAGTTTCGGACTTGGAAATTTTGAAACGCACATGAGGCATCCAGGTGGAGTTGGGAGAATTAAATAATGCTGAAAGGTACTCACTTGGCAAGTAGCAAATATTCGCTATATTGTCTGTTCAACTTTGTCAACTGCTTTTCCAGTAGAAATGTAGTGTCCTTATCACACATGCATAAATGTTAAACTCAAAAGTAAAATGAAATATTTTCTCAGTAGATATGAATAACTTTTTAATTTTTTTGTTTTTTGACATGCGGTCTCACTCTGTTGCCCAGGCTGGAGTGGGGTGGCGAGATCATAGCTCACTGCAGCCTCAAACTCCTGGGCTCAAGCAATCCTCTGCCACAGCCTCCCGATTAGCTGGGACTACAGGCACACACCACCACGCCCAGCTAATCTTTTATTTTTTGTAGAGACTGAGTTGCACAATGTAGCCCAAGCTGGTCTCCAACTCCTGAGCTCAAGCTATCCTCCCACCTCGGCCTCCCAAAGTGTTGGGATTACAGGCGTGAGCCACTGCACCTGGCTGCTTTTTAATTGTAATATTCATCCTCCATCCATCATACTTAGTGCAAATATTTTTCCCCACCTATTGCCTTCCTATTTCTCTTTTATTTCACGTCATTTAGGGAAGTTTCATTTTTTTGTGAGCTATCACTGATAATTTCTTATTTACTCATCATCTTGTATTTCTCTTCCTTACACATTGGGGAAATGTCTATTCTAGTTTTTAATGTAAATGTTCTTGTGGCTTTTTTTAAAAAAAAATCAAAATGTGCACATTAAAAAGTTTGAATGGTTCAAAGGGTCCTAAAAAGGGTCCACAGTGGGAAAGGCTCTCCTGTCCCAGCAGGCCCAGACCCCTCCTCAGACACAAGCCTGTCATCAGTTTCCTGTGTAGCTTCCCAGAGTTGGTCTCTATGTATGCAAATACACACACATTTAAAATATACACATGCCACAGCTTTTTAAAATTTGAATTTATGGGCCATGTGCAGTGGCTCACGCCTGTAACCCCAACACTTTGGGAGGCCGAGGCAGGTGGATCACCTGAGGTCAGGAGTTCGAGACCAACCTGACCAATATGGTGAAACCCCGTCTCTACTAAAAATACAAAAATTAGCTGGGCATGGTGGTGGGTGCCTATAATCCCAGCTTCTCAGGAGGTTGAGACAGGAGAATCGCTTGGACCCAGGAGGCAGAGGTTGCAGTGAGCTGAGATCGTGCCACTACACTCAAGTCTAGGCGACAGAGGGAGACTCCGTCTCAAAAAAAAAAAAAAAAATTGAATTTAGACTCAGGTGCAGAGGCTCACGCCTGTAATCCCAGCACTTACGGAGGCTGATGAGGGGAGAATCACTTGAGTCCAGTAGTTCAAGACCAGCCTGGGCAACACAGGGAAACTATGTCTCTACAAAAAAATTAAAATTAGCCTGGCATGGTGGAGTGTGCCTGTTGTCTCACCTACTCAGGAGGGTGAGGCAGGGGAATCACTTGAACTCAGGAGTAGGAGGCTGCATGAGCTATGATTGCACCACTGCACTCCAGCCTGGGTGACAGAGCAAGACCCTGTGTCAAAAAAAAAAAAAAAGAAAAGAAAATTAGACTACCATCATAGATGGTACAAACACTTCCCAGTTTGTTGCTTTCGTTTTGTTTGTTGCCATTTTTACTATACAGAAAAAAAAGGCAATAAAGAATACATTATTATAATATGTTAATTTCTACTGCATTATTTTTAACAACTTCATTGAGGTGTAATTTACATACCGTAAAATCTATCCATTTTAGGTGTAGGATTCAGTGATTTCTGGTAAATTTACTGAGTTATGTGACCATCACCACAATCTGGTTTTGGGACATTTTCATTACTGCCATAATATTCCTCAAACCCATTTAGAATCATTCCTATTTCTGCTCCCAGGCCCAGGCAACCAGTAATCTACTTGCTGTTTCAATAGATTTGCCTTTTCTGGATGTTTTACATAAATAGAATCATACAATACGTGATCTTTAGTGATCTTTTTTCACATGGCATAAACTTGGTTCCTTTTTATGTTGAATAATATTCCATTGTATAGATATGTCACAGTTTGTTTCTCCATTCATGAGCTTTTGGGTATTTGGGTTGATTTCACTTTTTGACTGTTATGGATAATGCTGGTACAAACATTCATATACAAGTTTTTGTGTAGATGTATATTTTCATTTCTCTTGGAATAGACCTAGGCGTGGAATTGCTGGATTAGATGGTAATTCTATTGTTTTACATTCTAAGGCAGGGGTCCCCAACCCCCAGGCTACAGATCAGTGTCGGTTCATGGCCTGTTAGGAACTGGGCCGCACAGCAGGTGGTGAGCGGCCATCGGGCGAGTATTACTGCCTGAGCTCTGCCTCCTGTCGGATCAGCGGTGCCATTAGATTCTCATAGGAGCACAAACCCAGTTGTGAAATGCGCATGTGAGGGATCTAGGTTGCGAGTTTCTGATGAGAATCTAATGATAAATGTAATGAGCTTGAATCATCCCGAATCCATCCCCCAACCCCAACCCCCGTCCGGGGAAAAAATGATCTCTCATGAAATCAGTCCCTAGGCCAAAAAGTCTGGGGACTGCTGTTCTAAGGAACTGCCAAAACTGCCAAACTGTTTTTCAGAGTGGCTGGACCATTTTACATTCCCACCGGCAATATATACGGTGTCCTGTTTCTTTACATCCTCATCAACATGTGTCTTTTTCATTACAGCCATTCTATGTGGGTGTGAAATGCTATGTGGCTGTGTTTTTCATTTCCATGCAGAAATTTTTAATTTAATTGCTTAGTTAAAAATAATTCTTTAAATTTAAAACACTCATATTGCCATATGTATATTTTTATACTACAAAGTGATACAATTTTTGTTAATTTTCTTGCCTTGATTACTCTTTACCTGTATAGTATTTAAATCTTTACATAAGATCACAATTATAGTGAATAGTAATTTATTCAACTCAAAATCTTCATAGGATTTAGAAAATTTAAGTCCTTTACCAAAGGGATTGACTTCTAACTTCATTAAAGGTTGCGAACAGTATCAAATCCTTGGTAAAGCCACATTCAATCTTTGGCACTCCAGGATTTTGAGCTATAACTGTAGTGATCACTAATATGTCATTTCTAAGCTGACGGTCATAATGACTAAAACCTCTCATAGATTTTAAAATACTTCCTTCAAAGTCAGTAAACATTCCAAGTTACTAAGCTGTTGAACAATTTCTTATTTTGAAGATTTTTTCTGATAAGTTCCAAAGTGTTTCTGATGAAGGAAATAAAAGCTGTCCAGAGAAATCTGAGTCATTGAGGTGAGCACAGATTCCATTGGCTGCTTGTGCTTTCATCATTACAGTACAATTAACTTCAGAAGTCGAGAGATGCTGCAGAATTTTAAGTACCCAAAGTTTCTCAACAAGTTGATTTTCAAGCAAGGTCATTAACTGGGCCATTGTTTTTGCCAATCCTCCAACTTCAGCCATTTGAATCTTGTATGATGAACTCACTTGCTGGTAACCTGGAATATGCTCCTTTGGTGGTTGTGCCTGATAAAAGTCAACAATACGTTTACAATTTTTTATCCTCAATTCAGAACTTGGTATTTTCATTAAGTCACCCAGAAGCGCAACTGAACTAGCAGTATCTCCAGCATAAGTTATTTCATCCGATACTTTCTTTTTCAAAAATGGCAAGCCACACTATTTTATGATATCATATGCAGATTCTACAAAATGCGGCTGGTTTTCAATTTTTACTGCACACAGATTCAGAATTTCAAATGTCTGTACTAAATCCCTTAAGGGAAGTTCATTCTGATAACACTGTACCAGTTTCTTGACAGATTTAAGTTGCTTTTCTTCTAAGCCTTCTTTAGCAGTCTCTTCAAAAAGTTTGATGACACCATTAAGGTCCACAGGCTTCAAAACACCAGTTCCACATGGCGAGGGAGGCCTTGGGAAACATCATCATGATGGAAGGCAAAGGGGAAGTAAAGACCTTCTTCATGGTGGCAGGAAAGAGACAGCATATTGCTATGTATTTTAACACCACTTATTTCCCCCCTTTTTTCTTTCAATATCATGGATTAAATAGTGTATTTTAAATGAGTGTGAGGCTCACTTGGACTCTATTCCATCCCTTTGGCCAATTTTTTTCCATTTTTAATCCAAGAATCTTAAAGTTTGAATGATGGTCACCTTGTTATATATTTTATTATGTTTGGAAGCTTTTTTGCTATTGTCTGATCCTCCCAACAAATAGCCTTTTGATAGAATTGCCTTTATTCGTTTCTTTATATCTAATTCTAACTTAAGATTAGACTTAAAAGTAACTTCAGCGGTTTTATTATGAAATATTTAAGGCATATAAATACTGCCTCTTTTCTCTAAATGACTGCTAATATAATTTTACCAAGTTCTGTTAAAGTATCCTGTTGTACATAAAGTGCTGTTGTTTTTTATCTGCCTGTTAACTTAGAGTGGGTTTTATTTTCTTTCACTTTCTGTGGTCGAAGGCAAGTATGTCTTAGTCAGTTTGGGCTGTTATAATGAAACACTGTAGACTGGGTGGCTTAAACAACAGAAACTTGTTTCTCACGTTCTGAAAGCCGGGAAGTCCCCAATCAGGGAGCCAGCAGGCCTGGTGTCTGGAGAGGATGCGCTTCCTGGTTTGCAGACGGCACCTTCTCATTGTGTCCTCACAGGGCAGAGAGCAAAAAGAAAGGGCAAGCGCTCTCCAGCCTCTTCCTTTTTCCTTTTTTTTTTTGTTTGTTTGAGATGGAGTCTTGCTCTGTTGCCCAGACTGGAGTGCGGTGGCATGATCTTGGCTCAATGCAACCTCTGCCTCCTGGCTTCAAGTGATTCTCCTGCCTCAGCCTCCTGAGTAGCTGGGACTACAGGTGCCTGCCACCATGCCTGACTAATTTTTATGTTTTTATTAGAGATGGGGTTTCATCATGTTGGCCAGACTGGTTTTAGACTCCTGACCTCAAGTGATCTACCTACCTTGGCCTCCCAAAGTGCTGGGATTACAGGCGTGAACCACCGCACCCGGCCTCCAGCCTCTTCTTGTGAGGGCAGTAATCCCATCATAAGGGGTCCACCCTCTTGACCTAATCACTTCGCAAAGGTCCCACTTCCAAATACCATCACACTGGGTATTTAGGCTTCACCAGGTGAATTGGTGGGGGAGGTGGGACACAAACATTCAGTCCACGGCAAGTTTTTATCTCAATTTGCTAAAGCCTCTCTTTATTTCTCCTGTTACAGTGTGATAATGTTTTTTAAAATATCATTTAGCTGGCTGTGGTGACCCATGCCTGCAGTCCCAGCTACTCAGGAGGCTAAGGCAAAAGGATCACATGAACCTAGGAGTTTGAATCCAGCCTGGGCAACATAGAAAGACCCTGTCTCTTAAAAAAATAAATAAATAAATAAATAAATAAATAAATAAATAAATAAATAAAGGAAAGAGGCTGGGCACAGTGGCTCATGCCTATAATCCCAGCACTTTGGGAGGCCGAGGCGGGCAGATCACCTGAAGTCGGGAGTTCAAGACCAGCCTGACCAACATGGAGAAACCCCTTCTCTACTAAAAATACAAAATTAGCCGGGTGTAGTGGCACATGCCTGTAATCCCACTACTTGGGAGGCTGAGGCAAGAGAATTGCTTGAACCAGAAGGTGGAGGTTGTGGTGAGCCGAGATCATGCCATTGCACTCCAGCCTGGGCAACAAGAATGAAACTCCATCTCAAAAAAAAAAAAAAAAAAAAAAAGAAAGAAAAGAAAAGAAGCACTTAAAGAGGCTGAGGCAGGCAGATCACTTGAAGTCAGGAGTTCAAGACCAGCCTGGCCAACATGGTGAAACCTAGTCTCTACTAAAAATACTAGAATTAGCCAGACGTGGTGGCACATGCCTGTAATCCCAGCTACTCGGGAGGCTGAGGCATGAGACTTGCTTGAACCTAGGAGGTGGAGGTTGCAGTGAGCTGAGAACATGCCATTGCACTCCAGCCTGGGCAACAGAGCAAGACTCCATCTCAAGAAAAAAGAAAGAGAGAGAAAGAGAAATATAGACATATGTTATTAGTCCCCCAGGACCTCTTCAAAAGATCTCTCTTTTCCTTTCTTATTTCTAATTACCATACTACATACCACCTCCATTATGTCAGAATGTGCCCTATTTACGTGGATTTGTCTAAAGTCATGGAACTCTGAGTTACATTCCCCGTATTTCACAGAGACACAATCAGAGCACACGCTGATCTTCCGCCTCTCTTCATTTCCTCCATGTACTCTGTAGCTACCTGTTCTCTTCTTTGTTCGTAGGAAGATCTCTGTTGCGTGGTGTGGGAGTTTGTGCCAGCTCATCTTTTTATTGTGCTTTCTGTGAGCAGCTATCAATGCCTCCAGGTCTTCTCTTTAAGAAGAATGTTTACTCTCAATTGTTTAAAAAACTAACTAAATAGGAAGAAGATTGCAAATCCTAACCTTTTTGGGGTTTTATATTGGGGGCAAAAGTTGGCATCTGCAGTAAGGATTATTTCATTTTCATCTGAATAAATGAGCAGTAATAACTTTGCTGACTTGCAGGGCTCATTGTGATGCCAAAGGACATTGTAAGGTGCATATCTGAATTGGAGGAGGAAGAGGGGCATCCTCTGAGCCAGGTGTGGCAGGAGGTGACATCAAGGAGGGTTAGGCTGCGTAAACCCAGGGACACAAGGAGCTGCAGTCGGGGAAGAACAAGGTCTAGCGGATGGAGTTGGGGGGACTGTGTCTGGAGCCAATGTTCTCAGATGTGTCTCCGGCAGGCAGGGGCAAGGGCTGGTGCCTGGTTTACAGCATTCCTTTTGGAGTCTGGAATAGTGGGGAAAACTCCCTGTCTTCTCTCCCCTTAGGAGTCTGCACTATGGAAACAACCTGTCAATCCAGCTCAAGGCACACATAGCCCAGACACCCATGAGACCCTCTCCGTGGGGACCCTAGAGCACCTATCATGAACGAGGAGACCAAGTAGGTGATTTTTCTCTCCCCTTCACCTCCTCTTTTCCCCTCCTATCTACTTCGTCACTTTTCTCCTACTGCCAAGACTGGTCCCTACCCAAATCTGCCTTACTGGGCTGCCCCCAACACAACAAACCTGCCCTTGACCATCATTCAGCATGAGAATGTAATGATCAGACACAGAAAATCAGGAAGAGTTTTGAGACAGCATCTAATCTACCCATTTTAGAGATGGTATGACTGAGGCTTATATAGGAAAAAGGCTTGCTCAAGGTCACACTATGAGTGTATCAGCTAGGATAGGCCAGGTTACACTGTAGTACATGCACCCTCCAAAGTCCCAGTGACTCATGGCAACAAAAGTTTATTTCCTGCTCTTGCTTCCTGTCTCGTGTGGATTGACTGGGATTGCTCCTCCACATCATCCTGTCTCCCACACTCAGGCTAACAGGGTAGCCATGATTTGCAATATTTCTGGTCCCTGGAGTAGAAAAAAAGAAAAAGTACTGTCAATTACACCTTGGTTCTTAAAACAACTACAGGCATGACATGAGTCTTTTTTAGCATGTTTCATTGACCAAAGCAAGTTTCATGGCTGTGCCCAATTTCAAGGAGGCAGAGAAGTGTAATCCCACCAAAGGCCTAGAAAGAGGAGAAAGAGTATCTGTGAACAGCCCTAATGCCTACCACAGAGAATTAGTAACAGAGCTGGGCCATGGATCTTTCAACCATCGTCCTCTGTCTCCAAGATTATTCCCCATGGAAATCTCAATGACTGATAATGATGCCATGTGCTTTTTCTCCTGAGGATGGTTAGCCTTAAAGAGATTTGTGTCATATCCTAAGGGGATAGAACACTAATGATGGAAACAAAGGTATTGTGTTAGACTGGCTGGAGGAGAAATTTGAGGATGAGAAACATCACCAGAAATCACACCATCCAGGCACTACTTACTTCCATCTGGTGCCATGCTGCCCTGGACCATTTCTTCATGGGTAGCATGGATGCTGGACACCATAGCCTGGAAAAGAAGTTATGCCCTAGGCTATGGCCACATCCTTTTGCCGAGATCACACAAAATCCAGGGACTTAGCCTTGTCTGGTGCCATCTAGGCCTCCAAGGCCTTGGAAATTTACTGGCCTGGGAGGCAAGAAACCTCAGTTCTCCTCCTGCCTCTGTCATGGACTTGCTGTGTGACTGTGGGCACACCCTTTGCCCTTCCTTGGCCATGGTCTTTCCGTCTGCTTAGTGGAGGTGGTGATCCCTGCCTGAGGATCATGGTGTGAGCATGTTTCATAAATTCTAAGACTCTCTGCCTGAGTGAGGACCTATTGCTATTAGCCCAGTTGAGGAGAAATGACCAGTGGGGCTGACAGTACATCCAAGTATGTCTCTACTGCATGCCCAGGGAGCAGCTGGGCTCTAAACCCCAGGACGCATAGTACTGGCCTCAGCCTCTGGGAATTGGGAAGGCTGGCTTCTGGGTGGACCTCCTACTCTTTTCAGAGTTAGAGGTGGACTCTCTGGAGTTGTGAGGATAAAATAAGGTATATAAAGCACTTAGACAGTGCCTAATACACAGTGAGTGCTTTCCAAGTGTGTACTGCTATGAGGAAGGACATAGTACCAGAAAGTACATCCGGAAATGTGATAGCATAGTCCACTAGATGATGGACCACCATTTAGTTGGCCAATCCCCAACTGTTGGACATTTAGGTTGTTTCCAATTTTTAATAATTATAAATAATCTTGCAGTGAGCATCTTTGCAATTAAATATTGTATATACGTTCATGATCGTTTGCCAAGGTTAGAGTCCTAGAAATGGAATTACTGAATCAAAGGAACTGCACATTATTTAGGCTTTTGCTGTGTAAATGCCCCGTGCCCTCTATTGGTACTTCTAGAAGGAGGTGGTTTAAGAGTTCCAGTTCGGCCATCATGATGGCTCACACCTGTAATCCCAGCACTTTGGGAGGCCGAGGTGGGCAGATCACCCTGAGGTCAGGAGTTTGAGCCCAGCCTGGCCAACATGGTGAAACCCCATCTGTACTAAAAATTACAAAAATTAGCTGGGCATTGTGGTGTGCACCTGTAATCCCAGCTACTCGGGAGGCTGAGGCAGAAGAATCGCTTGAACCCGGGAGGCGGAGGCTGCAGTGAGCCGAGATTGCACCATTGCACTCCAGCCTGGGTGACAGAGCGAGACTCTGTCTCAAAAAAAAAAGAGTTCCAGTTCAGAAGGGAAGAATTTGCTTAGCAAAAGAGGTGATGGTCTGTGTTAGCTAGGATTAGAGTTCACTGTGAGTAGCAGAAAGCACTAAACAACAGTGGCTTAACCAGAATGGAAGTGTATTTCCCTGCCATGTAACAGAAGTCCAAAGTCAGTGAGCACAGGGCAGATGGGCAGCTTTACCTTCCACCTTCCTCAGTATGGGTTCCACCTCATGATTCAATATGGCTGCCCAAGATCCAGCCATCCCATCAACAATCCAGACAACAGGAAGGAGCAAAGAAGAATAGACAACATTTCTACTTACATTCCACTGGCCAAATTACATGGCTACATATAACTGCAAGGGAGACTGGGATATAATAATCTATTCTAGATGACCAGAGAATATTTAGTAGTTCTAATACTGAGGAAGAAGGGAAGAACAGATTTTGGGAGACAACTAGTTGTCTCTGCCATGAGGTTAGCTCAGACTGAGAGCAGCATAAATGGTTCATGGAAATAAGAATGAGTAATGCATCCTCACGGGACTGTCCACAGGGGATGAACAAGACCATTCCAGAGAGCCAGGGTGCAGGCACAAATGGAGTAGGGAGGGGGTGCAGAAGAAACAGACTGATCTCTGGAGCTGATCCCTGGGCAGAGACATCAAGACTCCATGGAGAGGCCACTTCCCTGCCTATTTTATGTCGCTCAAATGTAGGGACTGGTTCTTGACTGCTTGACTTCCCTAGAAACTCCCTTATCCCCCAACTCACCTTCCCCAGATCACCTTCCCCCTAGTTCATCTGTACCCCACTCACCTGCCCTCAGGTCACCTGCCCCACAACTCACCTGTTCTCCATCTAATCTTCCTCCCAGCTCCCCTGTCCCCCAAATCACCTGCCCCCAATTTGCTTGTCCTCCAGCTCACCGGTTCCCCAGCTCATCTTCCTTCCAGTTCCCCTGTCCCCCAGCTCACCTGCCTGCCCTCAGTTCACCTGTCCCCCAGTTCATCTTCCTCCTAGCTCCCCTGTCCCCTAGCTCACCTGTGCCCCAGCTCCCCTGTCCCCCAGTTCCCCTGTCCCCCAGCTCACCTCCCCCTCAGCTCTCCTGTCCCCCAGCTCATCTGCCCCCAGTTTACCTGTCCCCTAGCTCACCTCCCCCCCAGTTTACCTGTCCCCCAGCTCACCTCCCCCCAGTTTGCCTGTCCCCCAGCTCAACTCCCCCCAAGTTCCCCTGTCCCTCAGCTCATCTGCCCCCAGTTTACCTGTCCCCCTCAACTCACCTATCTTCCCTGTCCCTCCAGGGCTGGCTCCTCATGGACCCCGTTGGCCTCCAGCTCGGCAACAAGAACCTGTGGAGCTGTCTTGTGAGGCTGCTCACCAAAGACCCAGAATGGCTGAACGCCAAGATGAAGTTCTTCCTCCCCAACACGGACCTGGATTCCAGGAACGAGACCTTGGACCCTGAACAGAGAGTCATCCTGCAACTCAACAAGCTGCATGTCCAGGGTTCGGACACCTGGCAGTCTTTCATTCATTGTGTGTGCATGCAGCTGGAGGTGCCTCTGGACCTGGAGGTGCTGCTGCTGAGTACTTTTGGCTATGATGATGGTAAGGGCAGGTGTGAGAGACGCAAAGCAGCCGGGCCAGTACCTGCGTCATGGGGAGCCGGGAGGAGCCCAGGGACCCACCTAAGTCAGAGAGAGGGTGTAGCCCAGCCACGATCTCAACTCTATATTTCTGGACACTTCCCAGAACAAATTTCCTAATGCGCCCAAATCTGCTGGGGCCTGGAGGACCCCTCCTTCTACCTGGCTTCACTCGAATTGCTCGAATTGCTGAGTGACTGCTTCCAGCCACAAAATCCCACATAGCCCATAATGCCCGAGAGATTTATTTCTTCTTTTTTGGCGGGGGTGGGGGGGTGTTTTTTGTTTGTTGTTGCTCTTGTTGGGTTTTGTTTGTTTGTTTTTTATTTTTGAGACAAGGTCTTGCTCTGTTGCCTAGGCTGGAGTGCAGTGGCACAATCATAGCTCACTACAGCATCCAACTCCAGGACTCAGGTGATCCTTCCCACTTCAGCCTCCCAAGTAGCTGAGACTACAGTAGAACTATAGGTGCATGCCACCACATTAGGCTAATTTTTCATTCTTTTGTAGAGACAGGACATCACTGTGTTGCCCAGGCTGGTCTTGAACTCCTGGCCTTAAGTGATCCTCCTCCCTTGGCCTCCCAAAGTGCTGGGATTATAGATGTGAGCCATCACACCTGGCTAGAGGTGTTTTTGTTTGTTTGTTTGTTTTGCAACATGGTCAGAAACAGTGACGGGGAGCGCCTTCTGCCCTCTACTGATCCGTGGGGATTTCTTGGGCACCTTCTGTTTGCACAGCACTGAGGGGAAACACAGGACATTGAGGGGCAACAGCGTTTTTGGAGAGAAAATGGGAACTCACTTAAGAACCCTACTTCAAGGCAGAGTGTGGGAATTGCGGGGGGCGGGGCGGCGCATGCACATATGTGCAGACATATGCAGATACACACAGTGCATATACATGTGGGTATGTGCGTAAACCCATGTACACATGCATGCAAGTGTGCCCACATGCATAACACATGCATGCCTGTGCACACACATACATAAACTTGCATGCACTTGCATATACACACATTTCTGCCCAGCACTGCCTTCAAAGCTCACCACCACATTTTCTCCACAACAGATAACTGAGTGTTCCATTTAGTTCTCCCTTGCTGGGTATCTCCCTGTGAGATGAGCCCTGAGCCAGGCGCCAGGCCAGAGCTGGTCCCCAGCATCCCTCGACAGCCCCATACCACATTATACTCTCCCCTCTCTTGCAGGGTTCACCAGCCAGCTGGGAGCTGAGGGGAAAAGCCAACCTGAATCTCAGCTCCACCATGGTGAGGACTGGAGTTGGGGGGTGGGAAGGGGGTGGTGAGCACTGTGAAGTCCCCACTTCCAAGCTGGAGGAGGCTGTGGAGGCTGTGGTGGCTGGTCACAGCCATTTCTCATAGGCCATGCTCTTCGTCTGTCCCTGACCCATTTGCAAGTGTGTCAAGCCCCTAACTGTGTCTCCCAGCCCCACCTCCTCCTGCAGTGACTTTCAAGGCTTTAGCTTGTCCCGTTACCAATTCTAAAGGGTCTAACCTGGAACCCCTCAGGAAGCCTGTTCTCACTTTCCTGCCCGCAACCCGCAGGGCCTCATCTCCCAGCCCCAAAGTGTCAGGCTTCATGGGGAAGCCCTAACCACCCCCTCCCGACTTGTACACCTTGGACTTGACACTCACCCACAGCTGCTGTCTTCAGCGGGGGAGCCTTTGGCTGATTTTCTGAAGGAGCTCGGAAGGGCCAGTGATTAAATAATGACCACCTACTGATTCGTGGGTCACACTTTCATCTCAGCACCTTGATTTCTACAGAAGCATTGACTTTACTTATCGCTGTGCATGGCAGTAATGCCAACAGAAAACCCACCCTATAACCTCAGCTCCCCAGTGAATCAAAACTGTCCAAGTCCCTGGTCCAATAGGCCCGCATCACTGAGCTGGCATCATTATCTCATGGCTGTAACCAGATCTGATTGATATTTGGCCAGTGAGTCCCTTTTTAATATAGGATTTGTTAAGATATTGAAGTGCTCTCGAACTGGTTCCAGCCTCCTAGCTGGACAAGGAGCCCAGGGCCCTGCTCCAGGGGCTGTTCCTATTGGTCACTTAGCTTAGCTGTAGGAGGACCCTGCTTGACTTCTTAAAATTCTTTCCTGAGTCCTCTTTCCTTTCTCCCTCCCTTCCTTTCTGGGTCCCCTTCCTTCTTGTTTTCCTTCTTCCTTTCTCAAACTCTTCCAGAAAGGCATTAAAGTGATTGTTGAAAATCCATACAATGAGACAAGACTCCAGAAACTATTAAGGGAAGTGAGGAAATGTGGGTGATAAGAAATCGGGATGATAAAACCCTAACAGAGGAGGGAGGTTGCAGGCCTGGCCAAACTCACTGGGAACTTCACTTATATGACCACCGGCGGCTTCCATAGAGCTTGGTCCTTCCCTGATGGACAGATGGCCATTTAGTGCTTGGAGCTGAGTGTTTCTGGGGGCTGCTGGCTGTTGGCCCTGCTTCCTGCATCCTGGACTGCAAGACTGCCAGGCCCAGAACATCCACCTTCCAATGGGGGTGCCTAGAAGTCCACTCTGCAAATAGAAGCTGGTGTTGACCCAGCCTCTGCCTGCTGCCTGCCTTTCCAGTCCCTGCATGTGGGTGTACTTGGCTGCCTGCCACCTGTCTGTGGACTGGAGTTCCCCAAAGGTTCTGGGTAACCCCTCAGCCCAGATCCCCAGACCCCACTCCTCCACCCCTTCCTTTGCTTTTTCAGGCCTGAAGCGCCCACATCAGAGCTGTGGGTCCTCACCCCGCCGGAAGCAGTGCAAGAAGCAGCAGCTAGGTGGGTACCAGTGTGGGGAGGAACATAAACAGAGAGATGGGGTTGCCTGGGGGCCAAGACCCGGACCCTGGACCTTGTCCCCTGCCAATAAGCCTCCAGAGGCCCAGTGACTCTTGTCTCGCAAGTTTCCAGGAGAAAAGGACTGGAGGTCTTGCACAGGCAGAGGAGAGGCCTGGGCTGGCAGCGAAGGGGCTCCCCACCCATCTGGCTGCATGGGGACTTCTCTGAAGAGGGCTCCGCTGAAGGAGCTGGAAGCACCATACAGGTCTCAGCTTCGCTGTCCAGGCTTTTCCAGGGACACCCTATGTCCTCAGTGTTGAAGGAGACCCAGGGAGGAGACCAGTTTGGGGGTGAGCAGGGATGGGGAGGGGTGAGGAGGCCTGGGAGAAACCTTCAAGACAGAGGCCCTGGGGGCCCATGGGGAGACATGGAGCTGCTTAGGGCAGGCCAGGCCAGTGAGAGAAGAAAGGGGACTTCTCTCATTCTTGACCAGTTCTCAGAATGGTCCTCGTTCTCCACGAGTTGTCCCACTAACTAGAGCCTTCTCTGCCCCCACTGCTGCCAACCATGGCTATAACCAGAGGATTCACATCCGCTCAAAATAGTTCACTACCTTGGCCTTTCCCCATAGGGTTCCCCCAAAAGCAGCCCCAGCCCTTTCCCTGGGTCACCTGAGACCTCTCAATGACCCAGGAATTAAAAGGTTAACATCTGGCACTGTAGGGGCCCAGCTCCCACAGTTCCGATCGGTAATGCCTAGGCCTACAGGTTGTTAGTGCTCACCCCTGGGCATTGCAGAACTGAAATATTGGGAAGAGGCACTGGGGATCCAGATATTACAGAAAGAGGTTGTTTCAATAAGATATTGCAAAGTAGCTGGGCGCGGTGGCTCACACCTGTAATCCCAGCACTTTGGAGGGCTGAGGCAGGTGGATCAGTTGAGCCCAGGAATTCAATACTAGCCTGGCCAACGTGACAAAACCTTGTCTCTACTAAAAATACAAAAATTAGCTGGGTGTGGTGGTGTGCACCTGTAGTCCCAGCTACTCAGGAGGCTGAGGCAGGAGGATCACTTGAGACCAGGAGTTTGCGGCTACAGTAAGCTAGGATCGTGCCACTGCACTGGAGCCTGGGCAAGACTGAGACTCTGTCTCTGGGAAAAAAGAAAAAAAAGAGATGTTGCAAAGGAGGTGCCCTATTCCCCTCCCCCCATCTTACTGAACCCTTACACCACGTGTACTATTGCAGAATGGATAGAACCGTGACCCACACTTCCCCATTCCCACCTGCCTGTTTAAATAGCTACCGGAGAGCCTATGCTCCCTTAGAACTGATTCCTTCTGGAAGTTGGGGTGGCACAGATCCCCCTATGGTGCTCTTGACACCCCCACCCTCACCCCATCATACATACACATCTGGGGCTACAGGCTCCCAACAGCCCAATACTGGGGCAAGAAGACATGAGCAGAGGGCCGGGGGGTCCTCTCCTCATGCCATGTCCCTGCCCCTTGCAGAGTTGGCCAAGAAGTACCTGCAGCTCCTGCGGACCTCTGCCCAGCAGCGCTACAGGAGCCAAATCCCTGGGTCAGGGCAGCCCCACGCCTTCCACCAGGTCTATGTCCCTCCAATCCTGCGCCGGGCCACAGCATCCTTAGACACTCCGGAGGGGGCCATTATGGGGGACGTCAAGGTGGAAGATGGTGCTGACGTGAGCATCTCGGACCTCTTCAACACCAGGGTTAACAAGGGCCCGAGGGTGACCGTGCTTTTGGGGAAGGCTGGCATGGGCAAGACCACGCTGGCCCACCGGCTCTGCCAGAAGTGGGCAGAGGGCCATCTGAACTGTTTCCAGGCCCTGTTCCTTTTTGAATTCCGCCAGCTCAACTTGATCACGAGGTTCCTGACACCGTCCGAGCTCCTTTTTGATCTGTACCTGAGCCCTGAATCGGACCACGACACTGTCTTCCAGTACCTGGAGAAGAACGCTGACCAAGTCCTGCTGATCTTTGATGGGCTAGATGAGGCCCTCCAGCCTATGGGTCCTGATGGCCCAGGCCCAGTCCTCACCCTTTTCTCCCATCTCTGCAATGGGACCCTCCTGCCTGGCTGCCGGGTGATGGCTACCTCCCGTCCAGGGAAGCTGCCTGCCTGCCTGCCTGCAGAGGCAGCCATGGTCCACATGTTGGGCTTTGATGGGCCACGGGTGGAAGAATATGTGAATCACTTCTTCAGCGCCCAGCCATCGCGGGAGGGGGCCCTGGTGGAGTTACAGACAAATGGACGTCTCCGAAGCCTGTGTGCGGTGCCCGCACTGTGCCAAGTCGCCTGTCTCTGCCTCCACCATCTGCTTCCTGACCACGCCCCAGGCCAGTCTGTGGCCCTCCTGCCCAACATGACTCAGCTCTATATGCAGATGGTGCTCGCCCTCAGCCCCCCTGGGCACTTGCCCACCTCGTCCCTACTGGACCTGGGGGAGGTGGCCCTGAGGGGCCTGGAGACAGGGAAGGTTATCTTCTATGCAAAAGATATTGCTCCACCCTTGATAGCTTTTGGGGCCACTCACAGCCTGCTGACTTCCTTCTGCGTCTGCACAGGCCCTGGGCACCAGCAGACAGGCTATGCTTTCACCCACCTCAGCCTGCAGGAGTTTCTTGCTGCCCTGCACCTGATGGCCAGCCCCAAGGTGAACAAAGACACACTTACCCAGTATGTTACCCTCCATTCCCGCTGGGTACAGCGGACCAAAGCTAGACTGGGCCTCTCAGACCACCTCCCCACCTTCCTGGCGGGCCTGGCATCCTGCACCTGCCGCCCCTTCCTTAGCCACCTGGCGCAGGGCAATGAGGACTGTGTGGGTGCCAAGCAGGCTGCTGTAGTGCAGGTGTTGAAGAAGTTGGCCACCCGCAAGCTCACAGGGCCAAAGGTTGTAGAGCTGTGTCACTGTGTGGATGAGACACAGGAGCCTGAGCTGGCCAGTCTCACCGCACAAAGCCTCCCCTATCAACTGCCCTTCCACAATTTCCCACTGACCTGCACCGACCTGGCCACCCTGACCAACATCCTAGAGCACAGGGAGGCCCCCATCCACCTGGATTTTGATGGCTGTCCCCTGGAGCCCCACTGCCCTGAGGCTCTGGTAGGCTGTGGGCAGATAGAGAATCTCAGGTGAGTAAGAGTGGAGGAGGACCGGGGAGGGGATTGGGCTTTTGGGGGAGCAGAGGCCAACCAGTCTAGCAAACCTCTGCCAAGAGGACTGGATAAGAATCTTGAATATCAGAACATAATGGCCTGCAATGCAAGAGAGGAAGCTCCATACCTTGACAGGACCT
The DNA here is from genome assembly GCF_000001405.40 of Homo sapiens. NCBI lineage: Eukaryota > Metazoa > Chordata > Mammalia > Primates > Hominidae > Homo > Homo sapiens. The sequence continues at coordinate 57,027,183 of NC_000016.10, forward strand.
CTGGAGTCCAAATGGATCCTCCTCTTGTCTGTGGTTTCTGGACTCTCAGTCTCTCTGTCAATCATGGGCTGAAACCACAGATCCAGGCTGTCTATAGAGGCTGGTGGACTTTGGGCAAGTATATGGAGCACACACATGCACACTGTCTAGGCCAGAGTTTCTTCGTTCCTAAAACGAATCTGTAACAATAGCCAACTCATATGGTCATTGCAAGAATGAGATGGGATGGTGCATGAAAAACATTTTGTAGCACAGTGCCTAGCACAGAGCAAAGGCTCAGTGTGCATATTAGCTAGAGAAAAGGCTAGGCTGCAGTAACAGAGAAACCTCCTCCCCAAATACAGTAGGTTAAATAATGTAGAATTTTATTTCTCTCTCATGGAAGAGTCAGAGGTAGGTGGTCCAGGTCAGTGGAATGGCTCAGCTCCACGCAGTCATGCAGGTACCCAGGTCCCTCCCATTTTGCTCCATTATCCCCTTGGGAATCCTATCTGCACAGTCAAAGCTACGTCATGGGTATATCTGTGCTCTGGCTTGGGAACAAGGAAAGAGCATGGAGGAACATGTCAATGCATTAAAGTTCAGTCCTGAAACTAGGATACATCCCTTCCACTCACATTCCATTGGTGAGAACATAGTCACCTGGCCACACTGAGCTGCAAGGGAGGCTGGGAAATGTGATCTCTGGCTGGGAAACCATGTTCCTCATGATAGCTCTATTGCTGTAGATGAAGTGGAGAATGGGCTTTGGTGGACGATTAGAAGTCTCGGCCATAATATGTATTTGTTAGTACTACTGTATTAAGCCCCATCTCTCTGAGGGGATGGCGATGACTTCTCAGCTCTGCCCAGCACTGATCCTCTGACACTTCGCTTCTTCTTATGGCAGCTTTAAGAGCAGGAAGTGTGGGGATGCCTTTGCAGAAGCCCTCTCCAGGAGCTTGCCGACAATGGGGAGGCTGCAGATGCTGGGGTGAGCCAGGCCTTGGAGCTGAGAAGGGTCTTCAGCTGGGGATGCCTGGTACTCTCCTCCCTCTCCTTAATCCTACACAAGGCAGATTCCTGGCCCCGCCCTTTTCCCCTCCTCGTTCCTCCCCACCATCTTTGCTTACTCTGTAGGTTAGCAGGAAGTAAAATCACTGCCCGAGGCATCAGCCACCTGGTGAAAGCTTTGCCTCTCTGTCCACAGCTGAAAGAAGTCAGGTGAGTGATCTCCAGGAGGGCTCACTGACTGGGGAGATGAGCCACTGCCCAGGTCCCAGAGTCCCCCTGGGGCCTGCATGTTCCTCCAAGTCTGACCAGTAGTTTTTCAGTGAGACCCAGAGAGGGAAGGCATCAGTCCAAGTACTCAGTAGGGCTGAGTCCAAACCCAAGGCTCCCAGAGTCCCCAGAGCAAGGCTTCCTTCATCTAATATTTTAGACTGTCTTGGAGGAGCATGAGTGTTAAGGCTCCCTCCCTCTTTCTGAAATCCCAGGAGAAGGGATAGCAGTGCGTAGGCAGGAATCAGGCACTGTGGGTACACATAACTACATGAAGCACCACACACCTTCACATTTGTTCACACATGTCTACACTTGCACAGAAGTACACAGGCATATGCAAGAATATGCACCCACACATGCCCACTCATAGGTGTGCACATGTATGCAGCGCACACATGCACCTTTAACTACATGTACACATTTTGATGCCAGCACACTCTAACTAACTAAGCTTGTATGCACAAATATACTCCTGCCCTGTGTCTGGGACTCAGTACCATGGGGAGGAGTGGGACCAGTGACCCTCCTCCCTGGCAGAACGCTGCTAGTTTATATGGCACCTTTATGACATTTAGAGAAGGCACCACTTCATCCACACAGATGCAGCCTGTCACTAAGGTTCAGCACTTGTTGAGTGAAAATAATAAGTTGGACCACAGTCCCTATTGTCGTCTCGGCTGGGCATCTGTGAACCGTGATTAAGCCAAGGTTCAGAAGTACTGAACTTGTTGACATTTTTCTTCCCTGGCTATTGAAAGTGACTTTAATTTTGTCTTTCATCACCCACCATTGTTCTTAATCACCCTCACTCCCCTCAACTCATCTGTCTCCCCAGCTAGGAACCCAGGCAAGGCTGGCTTGTGAACAGGTGGGGAAAGTGAGGTCAGAGAGGAATGCGCTTGGCTCAGGGCTCTGGGTGAGTCAGGGCCACAGCCGAGGCTGGAAGCGATGTCTGCAGCGTCCCAGTCTAGACTTTACTCATTGCCTGGGGGGCCTATCCCAGGCACATCCCAGGCATAAGCCCTGGGAGCAGGGTGCTAGGTCTCCTCATTGTGCCTCATGAAGAGGCCGTCAGTCTGTCTTCTAGATCCCTTGAGCCGCCAGGCAAAAACTTCCCCATAGGAACAGAATAGACCCAGAATTGAGGCCAGCAGAGGGTCTTTCCTCCTAGCCGTGCCTGCTGGAATCCGGCGAGCAGGCCATCAGCTCTTTCTGGGCCCCTGTCTTATGTCTCCCACATGAGGGTGGCCATCCTGTCACTTGCTAACTGGGGCTTGCAAGTGCCCCAACCCCAGGGCAAAGGGACTGGGCCTTGGTCTCCTCGCAGTTTTCGGGACAACCAGCTCAGTGACCAGGTGGTGCTGAACATTGTGGAGGTTCTCCCTCACCTACCACGGCTCCGGAAGCTTGAGTAAGTGATCTTTCCACTGCCTCTGCAGCCCAGTCCCTCTCTATACCTGATTCACCCCACTCCCTTGCAAGGCAAGGAAGGTCTGGGGCCCCTGGGGTAGGGGATTCCACTCCTGACACCTTTGCCACAATCTTGCAGCCTGAGCAGCAACAGCATCTGCGTGTCAACCCTACTCTGCTTGGCAAGGGTGGCAGTCACGTGTCCTACCGTCAGGATGCTTCAGGCCAGGTGAGCAGAAGGAAAGGGATCTTGGCCTTATGGGCCTTGAGAAAAGAGGAGGGGAAAGTGGGATGGGAAATGGAGGAGGCCCCTCGTCTGCAGGATAAATCTGTGCATACCCTACTGTTTTACTCACAGCTTTACCTTCAGAACCTAGCTCAGGCTTGGCACCTGGTACTTGGTATATATTGAATTAATGGATGGATGAAAAGATGGATGTATGGATGGATGGCTGAAAAGATGGATGGGTGGATGAAAAGATGGATGGATGAATGGATGGCTGAAAAGATGGATGGGTGGATGAAAAGATGGATGGATGGATGGATGGATGGATGGCTGAAAAGATGGATGGGTGGATGAAAAGATGGATGGATGGATGGATGGATGGATGAAAAGATGGATGGGTGGATGAAAAGATGGATGGATGGATGGATGGATGGAAAGATTGATGGGTGGATGAAAAGATGAATGGATGGATGGATAGATGAATGGATGGATGGATAGATGGCTAGCTGAAAAGATGGATAGGTGTGTGAAAAGATGGATGGATGGATGGATGGATGGATGGATGGATGGATGGATGGATGGATGAAGGAATGAGTCAACAAGTCTACGAAGCACAGGCATAGCCAAAGGAATAATTAGCTGTGTGTTGCCCTCCATGGTGCTGAACCAATATAGCCAGTTTTGATCATGGGGTAGGTTAGGTGTCATTTTTCTTACTCATAAAAATTTCTATTAAAAAAAATTCAGCCGGGCTCAGTGGCTCATGCCTGTAATTCCAACACTTTGGAAGGCCAAGGCAAGAGGATTACTTGAGCTCAGGAGTTCGAGACCAACCTGGGCAACATAGTCTCTACAAAAAATGAACAAAATTAATGGGGCATGGTGGTGCATGCCTGTGGTTCCAGCTATTTGGGAGGCTGAGGTGGGAAGATTGCTTGAGCCGTGGAGGTTGAGGCTGCAGTGAGGTGTGAACACACCACTGCACTCCAGCCTGAGTAGCAGAGTGAGATCTCCATCTCAAATTTAAAAAGAAAGGAAAAAAAAAAACTCACAACATTCTTAATTTTTATTATATTTCTTGTGAAAATTGTTTTTCTGACTTTTTAAAACACTCTTGCAGGATTCATCAAGCAAAGACATAATCAGTATTTCACATGCCTGATTTAAAACACTTTTGCTAGTTCCGTTATGTTTCCCTGTCAATTGCAAAATCAGCTTTATCTGGATGTTTGAACATTTGGGGCAGAAAAGGGTGTGCCTGTGGTGGGTGATGTGCTGGTTTCCAGTCTCTGGGTTTCATGGCTTGGTATCTGATCCTGCAGGGAGGCGGACCTCATCTTCCTTCTTTCCCCGCCCACAGAGACAACTGCAGAGCTACAAAGGTAAGAAGCCAAGAGGCGGTGGGCCTGGGGCCATCCTTAGAAGCAACTTGGGCTCAGGCAGTTGAGGGGAAAGGTGACCAAGAGACTAGGAAGAGCTGGGGTATGGGAATTCTTCCTGCTACTGCTGCACTGAGGAATGAATTACTGCTTAGGTTGGCAAAGGATTTTAACTTCCTCTAGCGTGTCCAGACCACATCTGGTCCCTGTGGAAGGAAGCATCCCCAGAAGACTCAGAGGAAGGCAAACCCTTGGGGAGAACATAAAGATACTGTTAGACTGGCATTACTAGATGGTGAAAACTCTGGAAAAGCCCTTACAACTGAAAAAAGACAGGGAGGGCAATTATGGTACCTACATCTTAGGGTTGTTCTGAGAATTAAATGAGTTACTACACTTAAGGAGTTTAGAGCACTGTTGGCATGCAGTGGGCAGTCAAATGCTGGCTATTCCAGCTGTGCATGGATTCCAGCTTGGCCAGTCTTGGATGGGCTGAGAAAAGGGAGCTGCTTTTCCCTAAAAGACCATCCCAACTGTGCTCTACCACACTTTGCTCTCCTGGCTAAGACTCAGAGACAGATGTATGTATGCCCCTGAGCAATCTCTTTCCCTTCTCTGGATCTCGATTCCTTGCTTGTATAATGACCTGGTAGTGTAGGACCAATGTTGCTGGGTGCGGTGGCTCATGCCTGTAATCCTAGCACTTTGGAACGCCAAGCACGAGAATCTCTTGATTCCAGGTGTTCAAGACCAGCCTGGGCAACATAGCAAGACCCCATCTCTAAAAAAAAAAGGCAGGCGTGGTGGTGCACACCTGTAGTCCCAGCTACTCAAGATGCTGACGTTGGGAGGATCGCTTGAGCCTGGGAGCTTGAGCCATGATCACACCACTGTACTCCAGCCTGGGTGACAGAGAGGGACTCTGTCTCAAAAAATGACCCACTAGGACCAGTGTCACTTTCTTTTCCCTCTAACTGCTTAAAGCTGTGATGCTCAGTAGGATAGCCACTAGCCCCATATGGCTATTTCAATTTAAATAAATTAAAATTTTAATGCTATTTCAATTTAAATAAATTAAAATTTTAATGCTATTTTAATTTAAATAAATTAAAATTAAGTAAAATGAAATTTTCAGTTCATTAGTCACATTAGCTATATTTCAACTGCTCAGTGGCCATAGGTGGCTAGTGGCTCCCATAGCAAGTGGTACAGATGCCAGGACATTTCCATCATTGCAGAAAGTTCTATTAAACAGGCTGGCATGGTGGCTCATGTCTGTAACCCCAGCACTTTGAGAGGCTGAGGGGGCAGGATCGCTTGAAGCTAGGAGTTCAAGACCAGCCTGGGCAACAAAGTGAGACCCCCATCTCTACAAAAAAAAAAAAAAAATAGCTGGGCATGGTGATTCACTCCTATAGTACCAGTTACTCAGGAAGCCAAGGTGGGAGGATCACTTGAGCCCAGGAGTTTGAGGCTGCAGTGAACTGGGATAGAGCCACTGCACTCCAGCTTGGGGACTGAGTGGGACCCTGTCTCTAAAAAAAAAAAAATGGTTAGCACCAATCCAAAAAGTCTGTGAAACCTGGCTCATGATGTCCTAGCTTCCCTGCATCCCCTAACGCTCCCTCAGCCCAGTGGGAGAGAGTCTGTGGTTTACCATAGCCTGGACTCACTGCATACAGCTCATGCTCCTCGCCTTCTGAACCACAGACAGCACATCCACAAATGGAGACCATCACATCATCGACAATAGCAGCTTCTGTTTACTAACCTTCGATTTTACACCTATGCTGGGTACTTGGACATACATTGTCTCATTCAATCCTTCAGGTACCTATGTGCTAGATGTTGTCATCCGTTTTAGAAAAGAGAAAAGGGAGCCGACTGCAGTGATTTGCCCAAGGCCACATGGCTATACATGGCAGAGCCAAAATTTGAATAAAGGTTCCATTTGACCTCAAACCTGTTGCCCCTCCTGCTCTGCTGAATCACATCTTGAGCATCTGCAAGCAGTCTCCTTTGTTACCGACTCACTTTGGGTTGTGCTTCAGGGTCTTCAGCCTCTAGAAGCCAAGGAAAGAGGCTTGATCCACCAGGCCCTAGATGCCTGAGCCCAGGCCAATGCTTGATTTGTTCTTGCCAGAGCTCCAGACCTGCAGGAAAGTGACGGCCAGAGGAAAGGGGCTCAGAGCAGAAGCTTGACGCTCAGGTACCTTGGAGGGATCTATTGCCTTAGGAGAGGGATATGATATGGGGGAAAGTCCGAGGCAAGGGAGAGCAGGGGCAGGGAGGATAAAGGGAAAAGCAGATGAGGGACAGGGAAAGGATTAGCCGGGTGTGGTGCCCATCCTGGATAGCCCATCCTGGCTTGAATAAGGAGCATCTGTCATAATAACAATAGCTGCAACTTAATGGAACCGGCTATCTATATGCCGGGCATTGCACTAGATGTTTTACATCCATTACCTCACTGTAATTCCTTTAGAATCTCTGTGAAGTACACATTATTATTCCCCTTTGAGGGAGGAGGAAACTGAGTCTCAGACAGGTTAAGTCCCTTGCTCAAGATCACCCAGCTACTAAGAGGTGTGGCTAGGATTAGACCCAGGTCTGTGGGCCCCCTGACTCCCCCAGCATTGGAAGCTGGAGGGGCCATGGAGTAGGGGCTGTTTGCCCTGAGCCCTTCTGTCCCCCACTCCTACCCAAGGCTGCAGAAGTGTCAGCTCCAGGTCCACGATGCGGAGGCCCTCATAGCCCTGCTCCAGGAAGGCCCTCACCTGGAGGAAGTGGAGTGAGTATCACGGGAAGCCCTGGCGTAGGAGCCAGGAAAGGAGGTTGGAGAGGGTGGGCAGGGCCTCGCCTTTGGGTGGGTGGTGTGGGGGAGGGGCATGCTGCCTCATGAAGAATTTGGGGGAATCAGATCATTGTAACAGCTGCTACTATTCAGCACTTGTCCCGGGTCAGGTGCTGTGCTAGGGACTGTACATGCCTCCTCGCATTCACTCCTCACATCTCTGTGATGTAAGCACTGTTACTGTCCTCATTTTATAGAGGAGGAAGTTAAGCTGCAGAAAGATAAACTTGCTCAAGGCCACACAGGTAGGAAGAGTCTAGGCTAGGGTTCAAGCCCAGACAGTCTGGCTCGCAGCCTCATCCTCATAACCACTGCTACCTCTCTTGCTGAGATCTGCCAAGTAGAAACCCCACCACACCTGGGTCTGCCTTCCAAACCACAGTCCCTCAGGGCTCCCCCCACCCCCTTCATCCTTCTCCCAGAGTAGAGTGGGATAACCTTCTCTTTTCGGGATGGAGAAATTCCCATGGCGTCCAGCCCCTGGCTGAAGCCAATAAGAGTAGTGCTTGGGGATGGACGGAGGCTCTGTCACGACCCTAGGAGGGGCGCCCCTCCAGGAAACCTCCAAGTGAACATGAAGGCAGATGATGGAACGCCAGGATGTGTTCTGGGTCGAGTGGCCCCACCTCAGGGTAAGACGGATAGGGGTGAGGGTTGTCGTGGTGATCACCTCTTGATCCTGGACCTCGTCCCATTGGGAGAACCAGGACAGAATTAGAAGGTGGTTTTTTAACAAGCTCACACACTTCTACCTGCCTCACCAGCACTGAGCATGCCCCTCCCCGAGTGCCATCACCTGCAGAAGCAGCCCCATCACCCGCCTGGTTACGCAGCCACCTCCTAGCCCCCTTGCCCTTCTCCCACATTTAGTCCCTCCAGATGGACCTACTGGTAGCGCTCAAAACTATCCTCTTTTCCTCCACCTTTCTAGTCCAACCCACCCTCATCTCTTACCTGGATGACCCCCTCGCCTTGCCTTCCTTGCTGGCTTCCCTGCTTTCACCCTGGCCACTTCCACCTGGCAGAGAGTAGATCACTTTTCACTGATGCCTGCCCCCTTCACTCCTTCCCACTGCTCAGGATAAAACCCACATTCTAAACTCCCAGGTGGTCCAGAACCCTGCCCCCAGCCTCCTAAACCCCATCTGACCCCATCCTTCCACTCAATCTCCAATCCAGACACACTGGCTCTCTTTCAGGTCCTCATATGTGTTATGCCACAGGGCCTTTGAATGTACTGCTTCTACCACCAGGAACACCCTTCCTCCATCTCTCCCCCAACCTTTTACCTACTGAACTCCCAGTTATTTCAGCAAGTAGCTTAAGCAACAAATAAGCCATCCCCGACTCCCAGACTAGGTCAGATGCCCCCATAATCATGAAGTTTATCACAAAAAGCAATTATGTAACTTGCAGCATAAAGGAAGAGTTGAGGGTGGGGCCTTGAAGGCAGGCTGCCTGGGTTCAAATCCAGGTTCTCCCTCGAGCAAGTGCCTTAACTTTACTCTGCACTTAACCACTCTGCACTTGAGTTTACTCATCAGTAAGGTGAGGATAATTACAGTGCCCACGTCATCGGCACTATGAGGATGAAATAGGCCAATAGTCATAGAAGAACCTAGGATGTTGCCAGGCATGTGGTATGGAGTCTGTCGATTTCAGTTATTATCAAGGTTCATTCCTGAGAGTGACACTTTGACTAAAGTTAGCAAAGGAGGAGTAAGTGATGGGGATTGAGGGAGGACTCCAGCCCCACAATACAGTGCATTGGGCCCCCCGTCTCAGCCTCTCAGGGAACCAGCTGGAAGATGAAGGCTGTCGGCTGATGGCAGAGGCTGCATCCCAGCTGCACATCGCCAGGAAGCTGGAGTGAGTTGTCCACCCCACCGCTGGGTACCAGGGAAGGCCCTGTAGAGCCCCAGGAGGTCCCCGTGTTCGTAATCAGCAGTAAGGGTGCTGATCCACTGCCACCCCTGCTTCCTCCCAACTCCAGCAAAGTCAAGATGGTTTGACCATGCCTTGCCTTCACCTCCGGCATGAGCCACTGTCTTAGTCCAATCATCTAGCACCCTTACATGTGTAAAATGCGTTCATTATACATCAGTGGCTTGCATTCCAATTCATCTTTGTAGCTGCCCTGGAGCACGGTGGGGTGGGGTGTTGCACTGGGGAGGTGTCAGGGTGGGTGGGATGTTGCACTGTGGAGGTGTCATGCTGGGGTGCTAGGGTAGGGAGTGGTGTGTTCCTGTGGGGATACACTGTTGGGGTGAGGGGTGGTGAGATGGAAAGGTAGGCTATTAGGCTGCTGGGTGTGCTGTGGTGTTGCATGGGGTGAGGGTGATGTTTGGGTGGGGGTGTCTTGGGGGTCTTAGGATCAAGTGTGGGTCGGGTTTGGGGAGTGTTGAGATTGGGTAGCAGTGGTTTGGGGCCTCAGCTTTGGATTTCAATCTTCGCTCTGTCACTTAGTAGCATTGTGAACCTGGGAAAGTAATTGAATGTCTCTGGGCCTCGGTTTCCCCTCTGTAAAATGGGATCACATGAAACCATATATGTACAAAGCCTTTTGTACAGAGTCTGGTATAGTCAGGGCTCAGAAAATGGTGGTTATTTTACAGATGAGAAAACTGGGGGTCAGAGAGGTGAAAACACTGAGTTCTTGCTGTCAAGCTGGACAACTTTATTTTCCAAATGGGATGGGGGTGTCATGCATTTTTTGGCTTACTCACACGCACCAGAATCCTTTGAGATCCCCTGGCAAGGGACCTAGGACATCCAGGAGTGACAGCCAGCAAGCTGCTGAGCCACAGGGAGGGGCTAGAGCTGGCTGGGGCTGGGTACCTCAGCCACATGCCAACGGCTGCCTTCTCCTGCTCTCCACAGCCTCAGTAACAACGGGCTTTCTGTGGCCGGGGTGCATTGTGTGCTGAGGGCCGTGAGTGCGTGCTGGACCCTGGCAGAGCTGCACATCAGGTGGGAGCTCCCTCAGACCACGGTACCCATCCCCCCCCCCATCATGCTCTCTCTGAAGCCCTTGGAATTCCTTCTGGGCCCAGGCCTTGGGACGGGCAGAAGATGCTGCTGCTGTCCCACCCAGACCCCGTTACAGCCGGCACCCCTCTTCCTAGCTGCTGTGGATATAGGCTGCTCATGGTTTATACCTCTGGAGAACTACCCTTGGCTGATAAGAACCAGAGACGCCTGGCAGGGTACAACCCCCACTTTCCCCTAACCTAGAGTGGCCAATGACAGAGGCAGAGGGCACAACTCTCCAGCCCAAACTCTCCAGTGGGACAAAGCTCCCTGGGAGACTAGGCCAAGGACTTGCTCCGTTTGGCTTCCCTCAGTCCCTTACTGTTTCTCCTGAGAGCAGACCGTCAGTTCATGATGTGCGCAACTGACAAGTGACATGCGACCCCCTACCCCACTCACAGACCCAGGCTCTGCCACTAGGGAACCCAATCCTATTTCTGTAAGTCTCGCCGTTGAGTATGGGGAGGTGAGGACAGATGATGATTAATGTCAACTCAGTTCCCACTCGGAGGAAAGCCTCATTCTCAACCCAGTAGGGTGGTCCCTGCTTTAAACACCCCTCAAGGGAGGAGAGGGAAACCGATTCACCCAAAAGGTAGATTAGGGGACCTTGGTTCACTGTATATGATGATTCAATAAAGGGTCCCTAGTGCATTCCAAGCGATGCCCTGTTCACTTCCAGGAACTTATACTAAATAAATTATCACGATTGTGCAAACACATTTAGCTGTAGGGATGTTCACCTCAGTATTGGTTATAATAGGAAAAAAAAAGAAAATAGCTGGAATGTTTAACCGAGGGATATTAGTTAGACTAAGTTACTTCCAGAGAGAACTCAGTGGAACCATAGAAAAAAAAATGATAATATAGGTGCAGTTTCAATATGGAGGGGTGACGGGGAGTTATTAAGTAAACATAAAGAAATTTCTTTAGAGACAGGATCTTGCTCTGTTACCAAGGCTGGAGTACAGTGACACAATCACAGCTCACTGTAACCTCCAAATCCTGGGCTCAGCAATCCATCTCTCTTAGTCTCCCAAAGTGCTGGGATTACAGTCATGAGTCACTATGCCTGGCAATTTTTTTTATTTTTAGTAGAGAGAGGGTCTTGCTATATTGACCAGGCTGTTCTCAAACTCCCGAGCTCATGTGATCCTCCTGCCCTGGCCTCCCAAAGAGCAAGGATTATAGGTATGAACCACTGCACCAGGCCAAACATAAAAATTTTAACTCATTATCTTAAAAGATTATAAAAGATTATAATAAAGCTTTTCAAGATATGCAATGGCAGAAAGAATGGTATAATCTGGGCCAGGTGCTGTGGCTCATGCTGTAAACCCAGCACTTTGGGAGGCTGAGGCAGGGGGATCACCTGAGGTCAGGAGTTCAAGACCAGCCTGGCCAATAGGATGAAACCCCGTCTCTACTAAAAATACAAAAACTAGCTGGGCATGGTGGCGTGCACCTGTAATTCCAGCTACTCAGGAGGCTGAGGCAGGAGAATCGCTGGAACCTGGGAGGCGGAGGTTGCAGTGAGCCGAGATCATGCCACTGCACTCCAGCCTGGGAGACAGAGCAAGACTCTGTCTCAAATTAAAAAAAAAAAAAAAAAAAGAGAGAGCATGGTATATATAATCTGTTCCCATCAATAATGATCAAGTATTAATAATTATTTGTCATCCCTGCTTCTAGCCCTTAAAAAACTAATGTTTAAAAAGAGAATCTATAGTTTAATCCCATGTTTGTAAAACAAAAATTATTGCACTAGAAAATGGAAGGTTTGAAGGACTCACTCCAAAGGTTACCAGGGGTAATCCACACATACTTTGAGCACAGACAGAACACTGACTAGCAGAGAGAGGGGTTTCAGTCTGGGGCTAAAAGAGAGAACACAGAATTTGTTTTCTTTTAAGACTTGCCAGGAAATGGGGCTTACTTAGGCAATAGATACATTTGTGAAATATCTGTGGTAGAAAGATTTCAGCCCTCCAAAAGCTCAGAGGAAGTCAGAGGGGAGTCAGAGGAAGTGGCTGCAGCTGGAGGCAGGGGGATGGAACTTGAGAGGTCCTCCCGGGCCAGGGGTAAAAAGTGACAGGCCGGGCACGGTGGCTCACACCTATCATCCCAGCACTTTGGGAAGCAAAGGTGGGAGGATCACCTGAGCCCAGAAGTTCGAGACCAGAGTAGACAACATAGACTGTCTCTACATACTTTTTTTTTTAATTAGCTGGGCCTGATGGCACAAGCCTGTAATCCCAGCTACTCAGGAGGCTGAAGTGGGAGGATTGCTTGAGCCCAGGAGGTGGAGGCTTCAGTGAGCCATGATTGCACCACTGCACACCAGCTTGGGCAACAGACTGAGACCTTCTCTCAAAAAGAAATAGTAACAGGGAGCCAATAACCTCTCGCTTCCTCACCCCTCTTTTGTCTTCACAGCCTGCAGCACAAAACTGTGATCTTCATGTTTGCCCAGGAGCCAGAGGAGCAGAAGGGGCCCCAGGAGAGGTAGGGCCCGATTTCACCCCAACTCCATGCTCAGTCAGGGACATTCCCCTCTCTACCCTCCACAGCTGGGCAGTGCCAGTCAGTCAACTGCCAGGGTGACCTGGACAAATTCACGGAAGAGCGGGAAGTGAGCAGGCTTGGCAAAGGATGCAGCCCCAAAGGGGGAGGGTCCAAATCCAGACCACCTCCGCCTCTCATGGTGCCTGAAAGGAGCCCCAGTGTGTAGGATATAGACAGCAGGCCAGGGCAGGAGTTGGGTAGCCAGAGGGGGATTCCGGGAGACTAGAGCCCTCCAGCTTAAACCCAGGGGATTGCCTGGCCTGTAGCTCTGGTCCTGGTCGGAACTTCTGTATCCCTTTCACACAAGGACCCATTAGGGTCCTGGATTGCCCCAGCCTAGCGCATGGGTAGAGACTCAGCTCTTTGCTCCCGGAGCCCACCCACAATCTCTTCTGTAGAGTCTGGACTACTGAAGGCTCGATTCCAGCTGGGGCTGACATCTCTGAAGCACAGATGAGGAGGAGGATGAGATTAATGATAATAGCAGTCAAGGTCAATTGAGTACTTGCCATGTATGCACCAAGCACCAAACTAAGGCAGTTCACATACAGTCTCCCATTGAGAGGCTGTGATTTGTCCAGGGTCACACAACCAGGAAGTGGAGAAGCCAAATTGGCACCAAGGTCTGATTGACTCTAGGTGGAGGATAGGGCTCGATGGTGGAAGGCCAGGCTGAGGATGGATTCTGGAGATGGCGGACATGGCCTTTGCTCAGCCTGGCCTTGGTGATGTCCCTCCAGGGCTGCATTTCTTGACAGCCTCATGCTCCAGATGCCCTCTGAGCTGCCTCTGAGCTCCCGAAGGATGAGGTACAGTGATGGCCTCCAGCCCTGTGTGTGATTCCAGCCCCCTCCCTTCCCCTGCTCAGAGCCTGCTCCCAAACCTGTGCCCAGGCCCCACATGCTCCCTGAAGGACACCTGACCTGCTGTGTCCAGGGGTCATGGCCTGGCTTCCCTACCTCCTACCTCCCCTGCCCAGCCCACCCCAGACAGGGCTCACAAGGCAGCCCCGTCAACCACCTTCCCAAGCCCAGGAGACCCCACTCCCCTTAGCTCCCTGACCCCCAGCAGCTGAGGGGTTGTGGAGACTCTGAAAAGAGGTGAAGGGGAGCACTGGGCTCCTTCTGTCATGATCCTGGTGCCTGGGCCTGGGGGCTCCCATCAGCACTCTTCCCCCCTTCTCTCTTGGTCTTTGTCTGTCCTAATCTCCCTCTGTCCCTCTGCCTGTTTCTCTCATTTCTTCCCTCTCTCATCGTGTATTTCTGTTTTATCAGTTTATTTAACTGTTATTTCAGTCTTATCTGTCTTCCTCTGATCTGCTCTCTCTCTCTGAGGTCTCTGTGCCTTGGTTTCCTTCCATCTGTGTCTCTGCCCACCCTCTGCCTATATGTGACATCCTGTGGGTGTCGTGTGTGTTGGTCCCTCTTTGTCCGTCTGTCTAGGTGCCAGATACATCCCAGTCCCTCCTCTCCTGCAAGCCTCATTCTCTGCCTCTGTGTCTGGGGGGTGGGAAAGCGGCTCCTTCCCGCCTCTGTTCAGTGGGGCATGCAGCACTGTGTTTTTGTCCCTGGGCAGGCTGACACATTGTGGCCTCCAAGAAAAGCACCTAGAGCAGCTCTGCAAGGCTCTGGGAGGAAGCTGCCACCTCGGTCACCTCCACCTCGAGTGAGTGGTTTGTGTGTTGGAAGGTGGGTGGGTGGGGCCAATTACAGTGAGTTAGTGTTGGTGTTTGGGTTTGGTTTTTAAGATTTAGATCAACTGTTCTTTCCCTGCTGAAGTCAGAAACCCCTTGGAGAATCTGGTGAAAGTTGTGACTCTTCCTCCCAAGATACAGATCCCCCATGTCTGACACGCTCGGAGGCTCACCCCTGGTCCCTCAGAGGTCCACGAACCTCAGAATAAGAACCTGGGGGAGACCCCAGCTGCCCGTGCCAGATCTGCTGAGATCTGGCCTGGCAGCCCAGGGCTGTGTCCAGTTTCAGGAAGTTGAGTAACTGGAATGCAGGGACCATGCTGCCAGCAACCCACTCCCCACCTGCTAATGTTCTCCCCTCCCTTCTCCCCACCCCCAGCTTCTCAGGCAATGCTCTGGGGGATGAAGGTGCAGCCCGGCTGGCTCAGCTGCTCCCAGGGCTGGGAGCTCTGCAGTCCTTGAAGTGAGTAGCCCGCTAGGCAGAGCCTCTGAGGCTGGGGCAGGGGGGGAGCATTCTCTGTCCCATCCCCCTCTTTCCTGGGGTTATTGTAAAGATTAAATCGGAAAATGCATGAAAATTGCCCCTAATACAATGTAAGTTCTCGGTGAAGGCTAGCTAATAGATGATTCTTACTCAGAGAGTCTGTGACTCAATAATCCCACTTCTGATTCAAGGTTTCACTTCTGGAACCTGTCTCCGCATCTCTGAACAGGCTTCTGAGGCCACCCTGGGGAGGGCAGGTGTGGGTGCGAAGTATGACTAACGGCTGGCAGTTGTTATTCTGGCCCTGGGGTGCCGGGAGGGGCTGGGGCTGTTAGCTGGGGTATGGTCAGGGTAGACAGGGAGGGTTTGTACCAGAGAGGACACTCAAGCAGGGTGCCCAGGGCTGCCAAGGATCCCTGAGTACCTGGCAGAGAGTGTGTAGGAGGAATCCCCAAAGTTTGCCTGCAATGGACCAGAGTTCTTGATCCCTAAATGCCCTTGGTGCTTTTGGCTCACAAAGCACCCCCTCCTCCCAGGCACTTCTGGGCCAAAGCCAGAGGAGCCCAGGGGAGAGGTCACAGGTCCTATATTCCAGGCTGTCTCTGTGAACACGCTTTGCTGTGTGATTCTGGGCAAGTTACATCCCCTCTCCGAGTCCCTGGTTCCCAGTCGGTAAATACATAAATTGCAGGCGTGGCCTCTGTTGGTGGCTACGATCTCTGAAATGAGTGCTGGGGCCTAAGGACCCCCTGCTCACACCCTGTTTTTGTGCAATGCTGGGAAGGAAGGGAGTTGCCTTGGTTCCTGTTCAGGGCCTGCACCTGGGAAGGAAGGAAGGTCTAACCATTGCAGGCAAATTACATGAAGACTGGAGGTTTTAGTATGTCCTCATGTGACCTTCTTATTAGTGTGGACTCGTGACCTGGTGCTGTGAGGGTCCACACTCGCCCTACCAGTGTCCCCGTGGGAGGGGAGTGTAGCATTAAATAGTAAATAGAAAACAATAACAAGTTGACAGGAGACCCTGAAAGAAAGGAGACACTTTGTTCCTGCTTTCTGCACAAGAGACCCTGCATTTTCATTTTGTCCTGGGTACCACCCCTCCCTTATCAGGTGGAGAAAAGGAGGCCCAGCTCCAGCCAGAAAGCACTCCTCAGATCCATCACAGACCGAGGGACCCACTGGGTGCCCATCTCAGCTCTGTCACCAACATGTCTCATAACCTTGGGCTAGACCTTGATTCTCTCTAGGACTCTGTTTCCCCATCTCCACCATGAGGACTTGCAAGGGGTGCTCTCTGACCATCTTGGGTTCAGTGGGTTCCGTCATCTGGAACCAGGGATCCCTCCCCCGCCCTGTGCCCTGACCACAAAGAGGATGTGTTTGGGTCCTGAGTGACCTCCATTGTGCCACCCCTGTGATCTCCAGCCTCAGTGAGAACGGTTTGTCCCTGGATGCCGTGTTGGGTTTGGTTCGGTGCTTCTCCACTCTGCAGTGGCTCTTCCGCTTGGACATCAGGTGAGCGTGCCTCTCCGCCCCCAGCCCTGCCCCTGTCCCCCATCCCACAGGTCATCTGCTCCCACGTGGGCCCCTTGTCCACCAGTTTCATGCCAACCTGTCATCCTCAGCACCTTGGGCAGTACCAGATCTGCAGAGCATGTGATGGGCGTCCACTGAATGAATGAATGATCAAATGAATGAATAAGTATGGCCTCACGGATGCTCAAATTTCTCCAAATTCACCATTAGAGAGTTCATTGACTCTGCCTCACTCGTTCTTTGGATAGTCCTTAGAGATTTTTTTTTTTAGGATTTTTTTTTTAATTATTATACTTTAAGTTCTAGGGTACATGTGCACAACATACAGGTTTGTTACATATGTATACATGTGCCATGTTGGTATGCTGCAGAGACTTTTAAGAAAACTGGGGGCCAGGCGCGGTGGCTCACGCCTGTAATCCCAGCATTTTGGGAGGCCAAGGTGGGCGGATCACGTGAGGTCAGGAGTTTGAGAACAGCCTGGCCAACAGGGTGAAACCCTGTCTCTGCTAAAAATACCAAAAAAAAAAAAAAAAGTATCTGGGCGTGGTTGTGAGCCCTTGTAGTGCCAGCCGCTCAGGAGTCAGGAGAATCACTTGAACCCAGGAGGCGAAGGTTGCAGTGAGCTGAGATCGTGCCACTGCACTCCAGCCTGGGCGACAGAGTGAGACTCCATCTCAAAAAAAAAAAGAAAAGAAAAGAAAACTGGGAGCTTCCTAGTTGCCACTGGGGACTCAGGGACCTGTCTTAATTGTGGGAGCTGATGAGAATATAAAAGGGGAGGCACCAGCCAGCCAAGCCACCCCAGGCACTCAGGGCACCGCATCCATGATTTTCAGGGGAGGTCTGCTTCCCTTTCCCTTCCCTAAGGACCCCCAAGAATGGGAGGTGCCACAGCAGATGGACCAGGCTCAGTTACTTAACTGCTGCGAGCTCAGAGCAGGTCCCAGAGCCTCTCCAGGCCTCAGTTTCCTCATCTGTAAAATGGAGATAAGAATAATTACTGGCCTGGCACAGTGGCTCAAGCCTGTAATCCCAGCACTTTGGGAGGCCAAGACAGGAGGAGGAGGATCACCTGAGCCTAGGAGTTTGAGACCAGCCTGGACAACATGGTGAGACCCCCCCATCTCTACAGAAACTTTAAAAATTAGCCAAGCGTGATGGCATGCACCTACTTGGGAGGCTGAGGTGGGAGGATTGCTTAGACTCAGGAGATCGAGGCTACAGTGAGTTGTGATCACACCATTGCACTCCAGCCTGGGCAACAGAGCAAGACTCTGTCTCAAAGAAAAAAAAATGTCAGGCACAATGGCTCACATCTGTAATTCCAGCACTTTGGGAGGCTAAGGCAGGAGGATCGTTTGAGCCATGGAGTTTGAGACCAGCCTGCTCAACATGGCAAAACCCCATCTCTACAAAAAATACAAAAATTAGACAGTCATGGTGGGGCGTTCCTGTAGTCCCAGCTACTTGGGAGGCTGAGGCAGTAGGATCAGTTGAGCCCGGGGAAGGTTGAGGCTGCAGTGAGCCATGACTGCACCACTGCACACCAGCCTGGGCGACAGAGCAAGACCCTTTCTTCGAAACAACAACAAAGAAGAATTTCTTACCTCATTGTTTATTGTGAGAATCAAATGAGAAATGTCGATGGTGTGCTTTGCATGTGACTTGATACATGTAATTGTTGCTTAATCTATTCCTTGTTTGCTAAGAAAGCAGGCCACCCCAGGCCCTCCTTGCCCTGACCAGTCTGGGTTCTTGCCACTGCCAGGGAAGTTGGTCTTTGACCATTTTCAAACTGCTGCTTCCTCTCTGCTTCCAGCTTTGAAAGCCAACACATCCTCCTGAGAGGGGACAAGACAAGCAGGTGAGGAGGGAACGCTCGGGGTGGGGGAGTCCCCTCCCGCTCTGGTCCCCGTCTGTTGGAGGTCCCCCCACCCCCAGACCCATGCTGACCACTCAGCTCTCAGTTAAACCACCCAAGTCCGGCACACTAGGTTTAATCACCACTTCAGTAACCACCGCCCCCCCCATAAATTGTCAGTAATCAACTGCCCTGTTTTCCCCTTGGAAGGAGGCAATGCAGATGGGAGGAAGGGAGGGATATGGTTGGGAGAGGTCCCAGAGCAGGGCAGGTGCCCGCAGATTGCTGCTGTGTGGGAGGAGACAGGAGAACATTTGTGCTTCTGCGTTTCGGGGAATTTTGTAGACCCACCGCTCCATACATGTCACTGCCCTTTCACGCTCTGAAGGCAGGGGCCGTGGGTGCTCTGAAAAAACATTTTCCCCGTCTTCGCAGTAAACAACCAATACTAGTTTAGCTCTTCATGATGTTCCCGGCTGCCCTCTAGTGGGACCAGGCCTCTTGGCCTCACTTGGGAGCAGTGGCAGCGGACAGGGTGGGCCCATGTGCAGCTGGCTGGGTGGAGAGAGTCACAGCTAGTGTGTCAAGAAAAGGCACTGCCGTACAGATGGGCTGTCAGGAGTCAGGGGTGGCTCAAGCCTGGGTGGTCTTGCTTCCCAGGATAGGATCTCTGTTTCTGGGGAACCCCCGGGTTCTTGAGGCCCAAAGAACTGACGTACAGGGAGGCAGAAGTCATGTGATGCCAAGCAGTGGTCAGAGAGGCTCTGTCTTGGGTCCTCCTGCCTGCTCACCTGGACAGGAACAAGCTGCTGGCTTTTCTAACTCAGGCTTCCCTTCCCTGAGCCTCAGTTTCCCCATCTGAACAATGAGGGACTGAGCTAGGATCTAGTGACTGCATTGTCTCTGAGATGCCTTCCAGCCCTGACTTTCCAAGTCTGGGAGTCCAATGTGGGTGATCTGAACTTTCCTTTCTAAACGATCCCCCTCCTAGGGGTATATGGGCTGGGCTGGGAGTCCGAGGGGGTGATCTGAACTTTCCTTTCTAAATGATCCCCCTCCTAGGGATATGTGGGCCACTGGATCTTTGCCAGACTTCCCAGCTGCAGCCAAGTTCTTAGGGTTCCGTCAGCGCTGCATCCCCAGGAGCCTCTGGTACTGTCCCAGCCCTTCTTGTTTGGGGGTAACCATAATAGGGATGAGGCGTCAGAGGGGGCAGAGCTGGCAGGGGGCTAGGGCTGGGGATTGGGATAGAGGGAAGAGAGGGAGTTTAAGAGAAAAGGAAAAGAAAGAGGCGTGGGTGTGAGGGGTGCTGGGAGTTGGGGAGCTCTGGCCCCTGACGGGCAGCTCAGCTGGCCCATGCCCCGCATTCTCCTTGGAGAGAAGATTCCACATTTCTGTGAAGCAAACAGAGCAGCTCAGCCACTCCCTGCCTGGGGTCTCCATCTGCTCTGGGGGACACCCACTTTCCAGAAAGAAAGGGGTTGGCCTGTCTCCCCACTAATACACTCCCCATCTGCAAGCTCTGCCATGAGAGGCTGTGAGACCCTGACTTGGCCCCACCTCTCTCTAGGCCTCCAGGGAAGTGGAGGCAAGTGAGGCCCTGGGAAGGACATTTCAATTTCACTGTTAGCCCCAGGGCAATGGGGAGCCACGGGGGTAACAGGGAGAGGCCTGGTCAGATGTGCAGTGTTAAAATGTGAGACACTTGTGGGGCAGAGAGGGATTAAAGGGAGGCAAGAGTGGAAGCCCAGAGGGTGTTAAATGGTCAAGGTGAGTGAGGATGGTGGCCTGGGCTCTGGAGGGGGCGGTGGGGAGGACTTGGAGAGTCACTGACAAGGGCAGCTGGGAACTCAGGGTCCTGCACTGTCACTGTCAGGGCAGGAGGATTGGGGGCTGCAGGGGAGACTCGAGAGGGAAGCGAGTGCCCCACAGGGGAAGGGGCCTGTGGCCTCCCACTTAGAGTGAGGGATGCTGGGAGAAGGATAGAGCCCCTGGGGCTAGCCAGGGACCCTGGGCTTTCTCTGATTCCCTGCCCTGCCCATTGCCCCTTTGCAGCCTCAGTGAGTGTCCTCTGGAGCCCCCAAGCCTCACCCGCCTCTGTGCCACTCTGAAGGACTGCCCGGGACCCCTGGAACTGCAGTAAGTAACGAGGACACAGCCCCAGAGGGCACCATGTGGGGATCTGCCCAGTGACCTGGGAGGGGGCTTCTTGGTTAGAAGACAGGTGAGTCTTTCTCGATTTCTTCCCACCAGCCCTGCCCCATGAGAGTCCCCTGGCCTTTGGTAGAAACTTGGCTGTCTCTCGGCAGCCCCCAGCCTTAGGCAGCGCATGTCTCCCACTGGGAGATGCTGTGCTGGACTGGGGAAGCCTTCACCTGCACCATCCACTCAACTCAGGGCACCTGGGAGCCCTGTCCACCTCCAACCCCACCCCTGGAGCCTCACCAGGGCACCCACTTGAACCTGCCTGCATGGCTGGAGCGTAGCACTTCTGAAAGCCCTTCCTCAAGGCACCCCCACTCTCCTTGGGGTTACCACCTCACTCGCCCCAGAACATCTGGGTCTGTAACCAGAGACTGGACCTGGAATCAGGACTCTTGGCTCAAAAGGGATTTAACTCCCCGGGCCTCAGCTTCTTCATCTGCACAGTGGATGGTCAGCCTTTCCTTTTATTGTCATTGTGGTGATTCTATTATAGTAATTACCTTAAAATAAAGAAATCCAAGACAAAACCTGCCTCACCTAAACAACCTCTTCTCTCATCAAATCCATGTTGTCATGTGTCCACAGGACTGTCTACTCCTTGCCTATTTGCATATTCAGTTTCTACCTGTTTGCAGTCATAAACTAGTTTCATGCACTGTGTTTTCATAGCATCTGTGTTTTCCATTTTGCTTCAGTCTTTTTTCTTGCTTTCTAGCCCCCATCTCAAATGCCCTTCCAGCCCTTCCAACCAGATAATCCGGTTTGACCCCCTGGAGTGTGGCCTTCCCATGTCCTTCTCCAGGTTCAAACATATAACCACAAAACCATTATCAGACCTACACTATTTTTTTTTTCTGAGACAGAGTTTTGCTCTTGTTGCCCAGGCTGGAGTGCAATGGCGTGATCTCGGCTTGCTGCCACCTCTGCCTCCTGGGTTCAAGCAATTCTCCTGCCTCAGCCTCCTGAGTAGCTGGGATTACAGGCGCCCGCCATCATGCCTGGCTAATTTTTGTATTTTTAGTAGAGGCAGGGTTTCACCATGTTGGCCAGGCTGGTCTCGAACTCCTGACCTCAAGTGATCCACCTTCCTCAGCCTCCCAAAGTGTTGGGATTACAGGCTTGAGCCACTGCACCTGGCCCAGACCTACCCTATTAATGGCAATTCCTTAAAGTCAACCAATGGTCAGTGGTCCCTGATTGTCTCTTACCTGTTTTCACAGAGTATATACTGATGCCTTTTAATACTAAATTGCCACAGTACGGGACGAGCTGCAAGTTACTCCACCACACCCTTCTAGAGTCTAGATCAAGGGTGTCCAATCTTTTGGCTTCCCTGGGCCACATTGGAAGAAGAAAAAGAATTGTCTTGGGCCACACATAAAATACACTAACACTAGCGATAGCTGATGTGCTAAAAAAAAAAAACAAAACTCCAAAGAAAAATCTCATAGTGTTTTAAGAAAGTTTACGAATTTTTGTTAGGCCGTATTCAAAGCCATCCTAGGCTGCATGCAGCAGGCCATGTGGCTTGGACAACTTGGTCTAGATTGAAATCCAAACTGCTTCTAGGTGTTGTGTTTTGTTTTGTGTAGCACTGCAGTCAGTGCTACAAAAAGCACTCTTACGTGATTTGACTGTTAAGTACCTATTGTATACCATGCACTGGGCCAGATCCTGGGAACACAAGGAGACTGGGATGCGGGCTCTGCTGGCCAAGGCAAATCATCTGCAGAGGAAGCTTAATATAAAAAGCCCACTGGCGGCCCGGCACGGTGACTCACGCCTATAATCCCAGCACTTTGGGAGGCCGAGGTGGCTGGATCATGAGGTCAGGAGTTCGAGACTAGCCTGGCCAACATAGTGAAACCCCATCTCTACTAAAAATACAAAAATTAGCCAGGCATGGTGGTGCACCCCTGTAATCCCAGCTACTCTGGAGGCAGGCAGGAGACTTGCTTGAACCCGGGAGGCAGAGATTGTGGTGAGCCAAGACTGCGCCACTGTCCTCCAGCCTGGGCAACAGAGCAAGACTCTGTCTCAAATAAATAAATAAATAAATAAATAAATAAATAAATAAAGCCCACTGGCAGCACTGGGCGGTCTGAGCACAGGTGGGAGTTTCAGGTCCCCCTCCATTACCTGTGGTTGGGGAAAGTGCAATAGTGAATATGAAAGCACTTTGTCAACTGTAGAGTACTGTGATCACTTGCAGGATTATTGCTATAAATAGTCATCAAGGTACTCAATGCTGAAGTCCAGTGATTCCCCGGGGTTCCACCGGGGAAGCCAGGGAAGATAGATTGTGGGGCTCCATCCCCCCTCCCTGAATTCAAGCACTGCAGGTCTACTTTGCCTGTGTACACATGGGCATACCATGTGGGATGTGGTAAAGAGTAAAGATTCCATTGCTTTAAAAAAAAAAAAAAGGAGGGTGTAATCACCTCCTTTGCCAACCAGAGCCCATGGTGTATTTGGGGGTCTGGTGGGACACCATACGGGATGTGTTTCTGGAAAGACCACCCTCAATAAAGGCCCCAGTCCTGACTGTGCCTCAGGGGCCCATGCCCAGTCCCTGGGGCAGAAAGGGTAGAGTTGGGCCTCCAGCCTGGGCCCTGGCAGAGGCTCCAACATGAGGCTGCTCCTCCCGCCCTACCCTGCCCCCCAGCTCACTGAGCCAGTTGATGTAGGGCCCCTGTACTCCATGCCTCCCCTCCAAACAGCCAGAGGAGAAAGCAGCAGAGATGGGCCAGGCCCTTGGAGGCCCCGGAGAGGGGAGAGGGCAGCCTGCAGAGGATGAAGGAACAGAAAGAGAGGAAGGGGGAGGTGGAGAAGGCAGAAGGAGAACATAGTAGAGGTCTGCGGGGGTTGGGAAGTGGCTCCAGGCCCCCCAGGAAGGGGCTGTAGGTAAACCCCAGGGAACTCAGTGTCTTGAGTTGTCCTGGTCCTCCATCTAGAGCAGAGACAGCAAGGCAGGTATCTGGAGTTTCTCCTAAATGCACTGGGTTCTGACGAATTATCTGAACAATGATGAGCTGGTTGGTCTGGTGTTAATGGGCAACTAGAGACCCAAGCCAGTCCCTGTCTCCTTCGCTGACCTGTTGTATGCTGAATTTCCACTGTCATATCCACTCCTCTGGGTTAAGGCAGCATTGTTTTCTTTTCTTTTTTATTTTTTTGAGATAGAGACTCGCTCTGTCACCCAGGCTGGAGTGCAGTGGTACGATCTTGGCTCACTGCAACCTCTGCCTCCCAGGTTCAAGTGATTCCCATGCCTCAGCCTCCTGAGTAGCTATTACTACAGGTGTGCACCACCACGCCTGGCTAATTTTTTTTTCGTTTTTTGTAGTAGAGGTGGAATTTCACCATGTTGCCCAGGCTGGTCCCAGACTCCTGACCTCAGATGATCCACCCACCTCAGCCTCCCAAAGTGCTGCGATTACAGGCATGAGCCACCATGCCCAGCTGCATTCTTTTCTTAACAAACATGTTTTGCGGAACACTAACCTTCATGGCCCTTAAAAATTAATTCTGCTAGTCCATTTAGTTTGGGGAAAAGTCTGCTGTAGCTCCTTGGAAATTCATAATGCACAGCAGCCTATCGCAGCCTCAGAGAAGCCCTGCAGCAAACAAAACCATTTAATTTGGCTTAACCCCGTATTTCCCAAACTTAAAAGACCTTCCTCTTCTTCCAGCCTCACGGATAACCCATGGACCCAGTGCTGGGAGGGAATGTTTCAGGTGACCCTGGTTAGGTCCCATCTCCAGAAGGCTCTGGCTATGAGGCCGTGCTCCCTGCTTTCCTGGAAGGTTTCCCCCACCTCATCCACCTGCTTTGTTTCACAGATTGTCCTGTGAGTTCCTGAGTGACCAGAGCCTGGAGACTCTACTGGACTGCTTACCTCAACTCCCTCAGCTGAGCCTGCTGCAGTAAGACGAGAGTTTTTCCTATTTCCCGGTTCCTTGTGCTCGTGTTTCTAAGGCTCCTCCATGGCAAAGCTGTACCTGCCCTCTAACCCCTCAACCCCCCGCCTTTACCCCCTCCAACCCCCTCTACCCGCTCCATTCTTTCCTTAGGTTGTTTTATCATTTTACCTGGCACAACTGGGGACTCCAATCTGCTTCCAGCTCCACCCTAATACTTTGTCAACCTCAGGGGGCGTCGTTTGCCTCCTCTGCGTCTCAGTTTCCTCATCTGACAAATGGGATTAATATTCCCCGCCCATTCCCCCAGAGTTGGGACTCAAATAAGTTATTCTAAAATCACCTTAAGAAATGGAAGATCTGTGACAAATGAGCTGTCCAACTTCTCCCCACCCACGGAGGGTCACCCACTCGTAGAAAGGGGCTGTACAGATGTAGGTCCTGTACTTATCACATGCTGCTTTTTAAAGGTCACCGTCAAACTCGCAAAAAGGGAATTTAAGCAGAATTCCCCCAAAGTATTAAAACTATTTTCTAATTTCAGCTCAGACTGGTTAGAATTTTAAAAGTATTTAGGCCATGTGTGGTGGCTCATGCCTGTAATCCCGGCACTTTGGGAGGCCGAGGCGGGCAGATCACCTGAGGTCAGGAGTTTGAGACCAGCCTGGCCAATGTGGTGAAACCCCGTCTCTACTAAAAATACAAAAATTAGCCCGGTGTGGTGGTGGGTGCCTGTAATTCCAGCTACTTGGGAGGCTGAGGCAGGAGAATTGCTTGAACTTGGGAGGCGGAGGTTGCAGTGAGCCGAGATCGCGCCATTGCACTCCAGCTTGGGCGACAAGAGTGAAACTCCATCTCAGAAAAAAAAAAAGAAAAAAAGAAAAAGAAAGAATTTTAGAAGGATTTACTTTAAACAGTCTTCTAGTGGTGGGAGGCGGGGTGGGAAGCAGCTGCAGCTAAGATGAAAAAATACAGCAGGAAAGTAAATCATAATGTTAATAACATCGGTGCAAAGGCTGGGGCTCTCTGGGATGTCTAAGATGGCTCGCATCACCTCCAGGATCTCGCTTATGCTTGGGTTTTATCTGGGAGGGAGGGAGGAGACGTGACAACATTCCAGGGGCAAGTACAGCCCAGCTCACAGCACCCCATGGCACCCTGTAATAGTCCCACCCTGCCCGGAGATAATGAGTCAGAAAGGACTCCTTTGGACATAAAAGGTGGCAGGTTAAAATTGAACAGGTTGGAAACCTCAGACCGGAGAGGAACTTCTCTTTGCCTAAATCACACAGCTTCACCCCTGACTCCTCGTCCGCCTTTGGAGTGGCGTGGCCAGCCTGACCCCTTGCCAGGGTTTAAACTTTGTAGTACTCAACGTGTAGTGCTTGTGGCCCTACTGTGGGCCAGGCATTGTGTGACGACACAGCAGAAAAAGTTGACCATGTCCTTATCTTCTTGGAGCTCCTCTTACAATAGTGGGAGCTGAAAAATAAGTAAAGTAAAATCAAATAAGATGAACTTAGCCAGTGATAAGAGAATTTTCTCGGGATGTGGTGAAGAGTGGCTGGAGAGGTGATTTAGATGTGGCAGAAGCCATCAGGGAACATCTCTGAGGAGGGATGCTGAGCTGGGACCTAAAGGAAGAGAGAGAGCTCGCCTTGTGAAGAGCAGGGAACTGCATTCCAGGCAGAGGGAACGGCATGTGTGAGGCCCTGAGGCATGATTAAGCTTGGTGGGCTCCAGGAACAGCGCGGAACCGAGACAGCCAGAGCACAGTGACTGGCAGGGACAGTCCTAGGAGAGGAGGAAGAGAGAGATGGGCTCGGGTTGGGTTGCATGGGGCCTGGCACCCATGGGGAGAGTTTAGACTTTTGTTCCTGGGAACATGAAAGGGAGAGGAATAATTTGGGTTTTCTTTCTTTCTTTTTTGTGGGGGAGGGTCTCGCTCTGTCACACAGGCTGGAGTGCAATGGCGCAATCTCGGCTCACTGCAACCTCCGCCTCCCAGGTTCAGGCAATTCTTGTGCCTCAGCCTCCCAAGTAGCTGGGATTACAGGCGTGCACCATCATGCCCAGCTAATTTTTGTATTTTTAGTAGAGACAGAGTTTAACCATGTTGACCATGCTGGTCTCAAACTCCCGACCTCAAGTGATCCGCCCGCCTCGGCTTCCCAAAGTACTGAGATTACAGGCAGGAGCCACTGCACCCGTTCCTCATTTGGGTTTTCAAAAGTTCAGACTGAGTGCTGGGTAGAGAATGGATTGGGAGATACGAGTGGAAATGAGAGTGGGAAGAGATGTGTGCAGCAGGGTGAAGGGTGCTGGGGGCTGATCACTGCTGGGGTGGGATAGAAGTTGGTAGACTCAGGGTGGATCTTGAGAGTGGAATTTACAGACAAGCTGATAGGGGGATTACTGGATGAGGCAAATGGAGGTGCTGAGGCTGCCTCTGAGGGCAGAGTGGACCCATCTCACTTTCTCTAAGGCAGTGGTTTCCAACTGGGGGTGATTTTCACCCTTGGGAGTCATTTGGAAATATCTGGAGATATTTTTGGTGGTCATGACTGCGGGTGAGGGGTGCTGCTACTGGCATCGAATGAATAGAGATCTGGGATGCTGCTGAACATCCTATAGGGCACAGGAGAGCCCACAACAAAGAATTATTGGACCTCACATCTCAATAGTGCTAAGGTTTAAAAACTGTGTCTGAAGGGCCTGAAGCTTCCCACTCTCTGTGAGCAAGGACTCGCCTGTGAAATCTGTGCTTGCAGGTAAAAACAATAGTAATAATAACAGCAAGCACAGGTCCCATGCCCGGCAGTGCACCTGCATGATGTAATTAAATCCTCATATACCTCGAGAGTCATACATGACGAGTCTTGATTTCCAGATAAGGAAACTGAAGCTCAGAGAGGTGAAGTCACTTCTCCAAGGTCACACAGCCAATAAGCAGAACTGGGACTCAAATCCAAATCTGCCTGTCCCTCAGCCCTATTTGTGCCTCTTGATCCCCTGCCTGCTTCCCTATTGCCTTGCTGAGCTGCTAGCCCTCCCCACCCTCCCTTTCCTTACCCTCCAGGCTAGCCAGGTTCCTTGTCCACTCATCTTGCCGGATCTACCCCCTTTCCTTTTCAGGCTGAGCCAGACGGGACTGTCCCCGAAAAGCCCCTTCCTGCTGGCCAACACCTTAAGCCTGTGTCCACGGGTTAAAAAGGTGGATCTCAGGTGGGCATTCCCCTGGGACAGCCAGGACTCGTCCTGAAGGGTTGTGCCTGGAGTCTGGTGGGTATGAGGGGGTAGGATGAAGACAGTAGGACCCAACTAGAGGCTGGGCTTCCGGAGGAGGGGTGCTGGCCCCGTGGGGGCATCCTGAGGCTGTGGCCACAGCTGTCTGACCCAGGTCCTGTCTGATCCAGGTCCCTGCACCATGCAACTTTGCACTTCAGATCCAACGAGGAGGAGGAAGGCGTGTGCTGTGGGTAAGCCCCCTTGAACCATGCCTAGGCAGCTAGTTGATGTTGGGGACCAGTAGATCTGCCTCCTGGGTGGCCAGAGCAGTATGCAGACTGCCTACCACAAAACATTCCCCTGGAACAACCCTGCAGAGGGACTTGTTTCACCCAGCATGAAGAAACACAGGTCCGGGTGGGATCTACTGTGGGGGTGGGAGCAGTGGATTCTGGACACTTCCAGAGGGTCCAAGCTTGAGTGGAGACCCACCTGGAGCCCAGAGGCTGTGCCCTGGGCTAGCCAGGCCGGAGGGGGTCTCAGTGGCCAAACGCCCCATCCCCTGCTTGTCCCCTTTACCTCCGTCCAGCAGGTTCACAGGCTGCAGCCTCAGCCAGGAGCACGTAGAGTCACTCTGCTGGTTGCTGAGCAAGTGTAAAGACCTCAGCCAGGTGGAGTAAGTTGAGGGAGGAGGAGGAAGGAGAGGAGCATGGACGCATGCCTGAGGGGCACTGAAGGGGGTATGAGGGTCCGTGTGTGCACATACACTCATGTGTGCCTGCCTACACCTCTCAGGACCAGCTGTCAGGGATGCCTGGGTCACATACCCAAAGCTTCCCTGAATCAATTTTCTCTCTCCCGCCCCCACTCTCGCCATGGTGGAGCTAGTTCCATGGTGTGCCCTCTGACTTGGGCAGCCCTCAGCCTCAAGTATGTGCAAGCTCTGCTGGCAGATGGGGGCTAAAACGCAGGATTCATTGTTGGCCCAGCAGGTGGTTAAAAGTACCGGATGACTCTGCCTGAGGAGGGACGCAGAGCCAGCCAGGGTGGGGTCTTGCAGTCTCTTGTATTGTTGAGATGTGGTATCTGCGTGGCCTGTCTTGGATATTCAAATAGTCAGCCCCTGCATGGGTGGAATAATAATAGCTAACAGCTACTGAGCACTTTCTCCACTGTTCTAAGTGCTTGACATGTTCTTTTTATGTTTCCCATATCCCTGGATACTAGTATTGTTCTCATTTTACAGATGAGGGAACTGAGACACAGAGGGTGTAAGAACTTGCCCAAGGTCACACAGCTAGTAAAATGCAGAGTCCCTGCTCAGACGCATTGGGAATCCAGCCTAGGACCAGTGGGAAATAGAGAGAGCAGTCCGCCAAAAATGCCACACAATTTTCATTTCTGTTGTGATGTGGCAGAGAAGAAAAATGTGACTGATAAAATCATGGATTTCTTTTTTTTTTAAGACCTGGGGTCTCACTCTGTTGCCCAGGCTGGAGTGCAGTGGTGCAATGATAGGTCACTGCAGCCTCCAACTCCTGGGCTCAAGCGATCCTCCCACCTCAGCCTCTGGAGTAGCTGGGACTACAGGCACACACCAACATGCCTGGCTAATAGTTTAGTTTTGTAAGAGATGAAGTCTCACCATGTTCCCCAGGTTGGTCTCAAACTTCTGAGCTCAGGTGATCCTCAGCCTCCCAGGTTGCTGAGATTACAGGCATGAGCCGCTGTGCTTGGAATGTATTTTAAACAGATATGAATAAGAAATATGTCTTTGAGTTTTTTGTTTTTCATTATAGAGGGAAATTTTTCTTTTCTTTCTTTCTTTTTTTTTAGATGGAGTCTTTCTCTGCTGCCCAGGCTGGAATGCAGTGGCGCAATTTCGGCTCACTGCAACTTCCGCCTCCCAGGTTCAAGCAATTCTCCTGCCTCAGCCTCCCAAGGAGCTGAGATTACAGGCATGAGCCACCATGCCTGGCTAATTTTGGTATTTTTAGTAGAGACGGGGTTTCACCATGTTGGCCAGGCTGGTCTTGAACTCCTGACCTCAGGCGATCCGCCTGCCTCGCCCTCCCAAAGTGCTGGGATTACAGCCTTGAGCCACCGCACCCAGCCAATTTTTCTTATTTTAAAGACTATTTTATTAAGTGGCTTCATAAGACAGACCAATTTTTAAATGACGTTTCTCAGGAAAAGATGAAATTAACAAACATCAAAAATGTCACAGACCTAGGAGGAAAATCAGATGTTCCGGGACACACTGGTTATATTATTTCTGAAACTGTAGTTAAAACTAGCTGGGCGTGGTGGCTCACGCCTGTAATCCCAGCACTTTGGGAGGCCAAAGCGGGTGGATCACCTGAGGTCAGGAGTTTGAGACCAGCCTGATCAACATGGTGAAAACCCGTCTCTACTAAAAATACAAAAATAATTAGCCAGGCATAGTGGCACATGCCTGTAATCCCAGCTACTTGGGAGGCTGAGGCAGGAGAATCTCTTGAACCTGGGAGACAGAGGTCGCAGTGAGCCAAGATCGTGCCATTGCACTCCAGCCTGGGCAACAGAGCAAGACTCCATCTCAAAATAAATAAATAAATAAAACCACAGAATGCTGCAATGAAGGGAAGTAAGAAACTTCAGGTGAGGTTTCCAATATTGATATTGCATTCCCAGATTAAAAGAAGAAATCTATGGGTTTAATGCATCCTGCAAACATTTTTTTTTCCTGAATTTCCTCTCATTCAAAAACTGTGGATCCCAAATGATGCCGGCCAAGGGCGTGGTGAAGGCAAATTGGTTTTTCTTTAACCCTTGAAAGCCTGCTGGAGGCACCTGAGCTATGAGTGGTCACCCGATATGGAAGAGGACCAAGAGGATGGGTTTACTGTGGTGCTGGGGAGGGGATAGTAGCAGAGAACGTAGGAGTTGCTGGTCATTCTAGTGGTGATGGAAGGGATGGTGATGGTGGTACTGGGCTTGGTGGTGTAGAATTGTGGTGATAATGAAAGTGGTGGTGGTGATGGTGGTAATACTGGTGGTGGTGACATTGGTGGTGGTGGTGATGGTGGTGATACTGGTGATGGTGGTGATGGTGGTGGCGCTGGTGACCCTGACATGGGGTCCAGTAGCAGTGACAGTGGATGCAGGCTCCTGGTGACTGAGGAGCATCTCAGGCTGAGGAGGCACCTCTGATCCCCGCCACTGCTCCTTACCCCCTACAGTCTCTCAGCAAACCTGCTGGGCGACAGCGGACTCAGATGCCTTCTGGAATGTCTGCCGCAGGTGCCCATCTCCGGTTTGCTTGAGTAAGTGGAAAGCAGCATAAAGGACAGATAGCAAGGAGGAAGGCTCCCCTAGGCCAAAAGCATGATGGGGGCTCCTTCTGAGGGCATCCCCCAGAGCACCAGAGGACAAGGACTGTGGAGGGCAAGGGGCAATTCTTCCCTTGCCTTCACTCCCCTGGCCTTGGGTCCTTTCCTCTGTCCCTCACACCCACCATGGGCAGATCCTCCACCAAACACCCAAGAGAGGCTGTGATTCGTGGCAGGGTGACACACCCCTACAGCCAAACTGACCTGGGGACAGGGAAGCAACATTCCATCCCCAACCAGCTGATGCGGGATTGCAGCTGCCTGGCTCCTGGTCCATCCCGTCCCTGAAATTCTTCTGACCCAATCTGTGGAACATAAATGTGGAGATGTCCCTGTGGCAGGCAAGGGGCCTTAGGAAGTCATCCACATGGTTGCCCCATCTCTCCCGTGACCTGCTGGAGTGACAGCCAGCTCCAGGACACCACTTGTTGCTAGGCAACTGAGCTTCGTGCTCGGGAGTCCTTGACCCATGCGGGGCTAGAGCTGCCAGCCTGGCCTTGCCAGTGCCCAGACCCCAGACCACAGGGGCAGCGGGCAGGGTGAGTGCAGCGCTCAAGGACTCAGGGTCTGGTGCCAGTTCTGCCTGTGTGGGGATGGTATCCTTCTGGGCCTCAGTGTGTCCATCTGGAGAATAGATGCTTAGACATGGAGGCTTCTCTTCTTGGAAATGACAGCTGGAAGGGAGATGGAGGGGGCTGGGCAGGGCTCCAAGGAGGTCCTGCCCTCACTCCCATTCTCATCTCCATTTCCCTTCTAGTCTGAGTCACAACAGCATTTCTCAGGAAAGTGCCCTGTACCTGCTGGAGACACTGCCCTCCTGCCCACGTGTCCGGGAGGCCTCAGTGAAGTAAGGGGATGTTGGTCCCCGAAAAGCCCCTTTCTGCTGGCCAACAGGTGCCCCTGGCTGATGATGGGAGAAGCAAGGCACCCACACTTTGTGGCCTTCCATCTGGGTGGCTTGGAGCAACCTCTGCCTTTCTCTGAATCTCAGGGTTTCCTGGGCATGGGATCATAATTTCTATCCCCTGATGCCCGGGTGCCATGGGGACCATGGAGGCCATGGGGTGGGAAGGCCAGGTATTGCCATGCTCACAGAATGAGTTTGGGGGTCTCCTCTGGTTCTGAGGCCTCCATCCTCCCTTGTCCTTGTGGGTGCAGCCCCGCTTCCCTCTCTGTGCCCTGTGGGTGCCCTAGGTGCCTAGGAAGCTGGCATGTCTGGGCACCGTGCTTCCCCAGGCCCTTCTCTCTGCAGCCTGGGCTCTGAGCAGAGCTTCCGGATTCACTTCTCCAGAGAGGACCAGGCTGGGAAGACACTCAGGTAATCCCTGCAGGGTGATGGGACAGGGGACAGAGAGGGGAGAGGAGGCTGACCCTATGGCGGCCTCCATGGCCCCCTCTTCCCTGGGCCCTCTCCTCCTTTAGAGAGCAGCTTCAAGCTCACTGCCTGGGTCTGTTCCTCCAGATCTGCCCCCGATGCCCTGGTAACTCCAGTCTCAGCCAGGGCCTTGGCATTGAACTTGTGCCTCTTAGCCCACCATCCTAAGCCCAACTCAGCCCAACATTCTCTTCCTTGCCATGTCCTGACTACAGGCCTTGAGGCTTCTGAGTGTCACGGTTAAAGATTTTGAAGCCAACTGAAAATAAATCCCTGATCTGCCACTTACCAGCTATGTGGCCCTGGACAAGTAAAATGGGGATAATAACACAACCTACCCCTTAGGGTTATTGTGAGGATTAAATGAGTTAATAAGTATAAAGTGCCAGGAAAAGGTCTGGCTCATGGGAGTGCTGTCAGCAGTTATTGTAACTGTTATTATTATTATTATTATTATTATTATTATTATCATTATCATTACCCCTGGTAGCCCTGACTCACTGCCACGGCCAGTTCCTTTACATGTCTTACTTCAGCTGTGAACAGGGCCTCCAAACTGATCCCTGCATCTTATCAGGCCTCCTCCCCTCCATTCACTCCACAGCCCCCAGAGGGATCTTCACAACACACATCTGACAGTGCCCCTCTGCTACTCTGTGCCCCTCAGTGGCTCCCCATTAACCCCAGGGTGAAGTTCAAAGTCCCTAGCATCTTCTCCCTCACAGTCTGATCCAACTGTCACCTTCCACCATGTTCCTTCCCACCTCCCCCACACCACACACACGCCCTACACACCAACCCATATACCACAGATACACCAAGCACACCCAAACACACCACACAGCACGCAGCACACACAACACACGCACACCACACAGCACACACAACACACAAACGCACCACATACCATACACATACCACATACACACACATACACCACACACACCACACAATACACACACCCCACAAAAACAAACCCCCCACATACATACCTGGCACATTACAAATACAGCACACACACCACATAATACCTACAAATACCACATACACAACACACACACACACACACAGTTCAGCCATAACCTTCACTATTTGCTCCTAGATCAAGCCCTGCCTGAAGATTCTCTGCCTCTGCTCACACCGCACTCAGCTCAACATTCTCTTCCTTGCCTTTTCTGAGATAAAATTCTCCCAATCCTTTAACACCCAGCTCAAACATCAGCCCCTCCTGGAAGTATCCCAGCAGCCCTGCCTCATCAGAGTGAACTGCCCCGAGGTTCACTGGGCCCTTTCACTTGGCTGGGCCCGTCTGCTGGCCACCCAGGGCTGAGATGCCTGGACAGCAGAGCCCCACGGAGAATCCCAGGCACACCTCCCTCCCCAGGGAGCTCAGCCAGTGCTGGTCCGGGAGAGTAAGGCAGTGGTTAAGAGCTTGGGGTCTGCAGTCAGACTGACCTGGATGGAAACCAGATTCTGCCCTTCTTTCTTATCTGCTGTGTGTCCTTGGGTTAGTCAGTTTCCCCACCTCTAATTGGTGCTATGAGAATTAAAGGAGACCCTGCGGGTAAGGCAGGAAGTCCCATGCACCCAGAGGCTGGCACAGTGCCTGACCTAGAGTCAGCCTCCCTAAATAACTTACTCCTAATACTTTCTTACAGGGGGTGTGGGAGGTTCCTCCCCAAAGAGACAGGAAGCTCCCAGAGCAGGAGCTGCATATTTGGCCTCTCAGGCCCTGCTCCAGGCCTTTGCCCTCAGAGGTGGGATGCTCCCCCAATAGGCCCTCAGGGAGGCTGAGATGAAGCTGAGCAGCAGTGCCCACAGGCCTCACCCAGGCTCTGCCCTGGCTTTCTGCCCTCAGGCTAAGTGAGTGCAGCTTCCGGCCAGAGCACGTGTCCAGGCTGGCCACCGGCTTGAGCAAGTCCCTGCAGCTGACGGAGCTCACGTGAGTGACCCACCCAGCCCGTGAGGACAGCAGAGGGGTGGGGGCACCCTGCCAGAGCCACCTCAGTGACTGACCTCTGTCTCCAGGCTGACCCAGTGCTGCCTGGGCCAGAAGCAGCTGGCCATCCTCCTGAGCTTGGTGGGGCGACCCGCAGGGCTGTTCAGCCTCAGGTACCTCCTCCCCCGCTGCCTCCGGGAGGGGCCATGGCATGAATGGGAGCAGGGGTGGGCACTGGAGTAAGAGGCCCCCAGGATCATGGCCCCAGTCATTTCCTGTACCCACAACCCTGCCATCTGGACCCTGAGCAAACCCTGTCCATCTGTCCCAGAGACTCCACAAGGCACACAGAGAAACTGTCCTTCCCCACACTGGAGGCCTGTGCTTTGGGATTTAAGAAAAAAAGAAAGAAAGAAAGAAAGAAGGTTTCAGAGGATACTGAACTGAGGACAAAAATAAACTGAAACGAAGTTCTTGTCTGTCTGTTCACTATGATCATTTTAAAACACTCAGAAAAAGAAGATACCGAAGTAGAAAGAATAATTTTTTAAAACTCCTATTCCCAGAACCTAGGTTTGACAGTTGTTCATACTTTTTTTATATTTGCTTCTATTTTTATTTTTATTTCAGCTGAAGCGGTTTCAAGTAAGTTATAGACCTCATAATCCATCACTCCTAAATATTTCACCGTGAAGCTCCAAAAAATAAGGACATTTTTTTCAGTAATCACAGTTCCATCAGGACACCTAAGAAACTCAGTTAGCGATTCCTTAGTGTCGGGTACTACCTAGTCTAATCTAAAATGTCCCCATTGTCCCCCAGATAAGACAGCTGGCTTTTGGGATCCAGGATCTGTCACATCTGGTCTGCATTTGCACGGGATGGCGATGGTCTTCTGACTCTTCTAACCTGCGGCATCACTGCCCCCATCCCCTCACCACAGCTTTCTGTTTCATGTCAGTGTCTGTTGACAAAATCAGCAACTGTGTGTACTGCAGACTGTCCTGCTCCTGACTCTGGTGGCTTTCTCATGATGTCATGGCACGTGTTCCTCTAACCCCGACTTTCCTGGAAACTGGACGTTAGATCAAAAGGCTCCATGACATTCAGTTTCATGTTTGTGCCCAAAAAACTTACGTCACCGACAGAGCTGTGCACTTCTCATTGCAGCCTGTGACAAGGCACCTAAGAACTGACTGTTCCCCAAAATAACCTGTAAAAATTATTATAAAATACACATAACAAAATTTGCCATCTTAATCATTTCTAAGTGTACCATTCAGGAGTGTTAAGTACATCCACTTTTTTGTACGGCCAATCTCCGGAACTCTTTTCCTCTTGCAAAACTGAATCTCTATCCCCATTAAACAACACCCCATTTCCCCCCTACCCCAGCCCCTGGCAACCACCATTCTGCTTTCTGTCTCTATGAATTGGACTGCTCTAAATAGTTTATATGAGTGGAGTCATTTGTATTTGTCTGTATTTGTCTTTTTGTGACTGGCTCATTTCATTGGGCATAATGTCCTCTGGTTCATTCATGTTGCAGCGTGTGTCACTGTGTCAGACTTTCCTTCCTTTTTTTTTTTTTTTTTTTTTTTGAGACAGAGTCTCACTCTTGTCACCTGGGCTGGAGTGCACTGGCTCGATCTCAGCTCACTGCACCCTCCACCTCTTGGGTTCAAGCGATTCTCCTGCCTCAGCCTCCGGAGTAGCTGGGATTACAGGCGCCCGCCACCACACCCAGCTAATTTTTTTTTGTATTTTTGTAGAGACAGGGTTTCACCATGTTGGCGAGGCTGGTCTCGAACTCCTGACCTCAGATGATCTGCCCGTTTCGGCCTTCCAAAGTGCTGGGATTACAGGCATGAGCCACCACACCCAGCCCTTTCCTTTTTTAAGGCTGCATAATATTCCATTGTGTGGATGGACCACATTTTGTGTATCCACTTATCCATCAATTGACACTTGGGTTGTCCATTCAAGTGCCCAATTGACAGTCCCTGCTTTCTTTTTTTAAATATTATTTTATTTCAAAAACAATAGAGATGAGGTCTCACTGTTTTGCCCAGGATGATCTTGATCTCCTGAGCTCAAGTGATCCTCCCACCTCAGCCTCCCAAAGTGCTAGGCGTGAGCCACCATGCCCAGCCAGAAAGTCCCAGCTTTCAATTATTTTGGTTATATATCCAGAATTGCTAGAGCACCCAAAATAACTTTTTTTTTTTGAGACGGAGTCTCGCTCTGTTGCCCAGGTTGGAGTGCAGTGGTGCGATCTCGGCTCACTGCAAGCTCCGCCTCCTGGGTTCACGCCATTCTCCTGCCTCAGCCTCCAGAGTAGCTGGGACTACAGGTGCCCGCCACCACGCCTGACTAATGTTTTGTATTTTTAGTAGAGACGGGGTTTCACCATGTTAGCCAGGATGGTCTCGATCTCCTGACCTCGTGATCCCCCCACCTCAGCCTCCCAAAGTGCTGGGATTACAGGTGTGAGCCACTGCACCCAGCCAAAATAACATTTTCAAATAAAACTTTTCTTAGTCTAAAAATAATATTGGTTGGGGGAAGTGGCACACGCCTGTAATCCCAACACTTTGGGAGGCTGAGGTGGGCAGATTGTTTGAGCTCAGGCGTTCAAGACCAGCCTGGACAACATGGCAAAACCCCATATCTACAAAAAATAAAAATAAAAAAATAATATTTAATCATTGTTGAAATGTGCAGAAAATCCAGAAATACATAAAGAAAATAGTGCTTTAAAAATTCAGCATAACTTTAAAGCAGTAATATTTGACTTAATTCTCTTTTTTCCTACTTTCAAATTAATGCACATGCATTGTAGAAAGTTTAGAAAATATAGAAAATTAAAGAAGACATAAAATAAAAATCACTCATGAGAATTCTATCATCTTAAACAACCACCATGAACATTTAATATATTTTCCTATGTTTTCCACACATCTCTCTCCCTGTTTCTTTCCACACTTTTTTTCTCCAAATACTTTCCTTTTTTTGAAATGCAAAATTGGGATCATGTTTTATATACAGTTTGGTTTCCTTACCTTTGTGATGTAACATTATGTGAATCTTTTCTTAAATCTAAAAATATCAGTGGCCCAGTGCAGTGGCTCACGCCTGTAATCCCAGCACTTTGGGAGGCCGAGGCAGGTGGATCACTTGAGGTCAGGAGTTCAAGACCAGCCTGACCAACATGGTGAAACCCCATCTCTACTAAAAATACAAAAATTAGCCAGGCGTGGTGGCGCATGCCTGTAATCCCAGCTACTTGGGAGGCTGAGGCAGGAGAATCGCTTGAACCCAGGAGGCAGAGGTTGCAGTGATCTGAGATCATGCCATTGCACTCCAGTCTGGGCAACAAGAGCAAAACTCTGTCTCAAAAATAAAATAAGATAAGATAAAAAAATAAAATATAAAAATATCATTTAAAAAATAATATTTTCTGTTTGGATTGTCACAACAATAGTTGTTGGAATAAGGGTGATGTTAATTTCCTTTTTTAGATTGATGCCTACTTGTATAATTTTATAGTTTTAAAATGAGCAAAAAAAACTCAAAAAGCCTCTAGGTCCCCCCCTTGACACTCCTCCCCCGGCCCCGTCATGTGTGCTGATTGTCTGCTGCTCACCTTGGGGGGGCCTTATCTGTGTCCCCTTCTGTGACAGGGTGCAGGAGCCGTGGGCGGACAGAGCCAGGGTTCTCTCCCTGTTAGAAGTCTGCGCCCAGGCCTCAGGCAGTGTCACTGAAATCAGGTGAGTCCAGAGAAGAGGCCCCTTTGGAATTCTTCATCTTTCATAAGCATTGGGACTTTTCCTTGACCTTCCCTCATCCTGTGGGGTAATAGCTGTGTCACCAGCTAGTTTTCCATGTCCCCAGGGTAGCAGGAGCTCCTGGGGCATATGTGAGGGGCTACACATTTGTTGGGACTAGTGCAGTAGTCAAGCCACAGTGTCAGAGGAAGACATCCCCAGAATCAAAACAAAGGGCTATTGGATCCAGGCAGACATGGCTGGGAGTCCACGCTGGTTGCTTGGAAGTGGCCCCCCAGATGCAGTAACACACATTATGGCTCTTCAACCAGAAATAACACAATGACACACAGAGTAGCTTATAGCAAAGGTTTTAGCATCCCACTCAGCTATGTTCAGATCCCAACTCAGTCACTTACTGGTTGGAGCCCATTACTGTGTCTCTCTGACCTCAACCTCCTGCTCTTAAAAGAGTCTAATTACGGCCCTTTGCAGGGCTGGGAGGATTACAAGAACTGGAGCCTGTAAAGATGTCTGCTGTACTGTCACCAGCCACACAGCCTGCCCTGCTTCTTCCTTCTCTCCTCCAGGAGTGAGCAAGGGGATGCTCTGGGGACTTTATAATCTCCCATAGCCCTCTCCCCATAAGCACCCCATGAACATAACATTCAAGTGAAGGCAGTGAGCTTAGAGCGCAAATGCAGACTCCAGACACATCCCCTACCCCACCCTTCCACCACACTGTGGTCCTTGTGCCCCTCCCTCAGAAAATTCTGGAACTGCCCTTGGATCCCTCTAATGGCTTTCTGTCATGGTCTGAAAAGGCTTATCAACTTATTAACTTTAAATTGTTGAAAAGGGCCAGGCGCGGTGGCTCACGCCTGTAACCCCAGCACTTTGGGAGGCCGAGGCAGGAGGATCACTGAAGCCCAGAGTTCAAGGCTGCAGTGAGCTATGATCGTGCCCACCACTGCACTTCAGCCTGGGCTACAGAGCAAGACCCTGTCTCTTTAAAAAAAAAAAAAAAGAAAGAGAAAAATTGTTGAAAAGGCACTACTTGGGGTATTGTGTGTGACTCACGGAAGCACCTACTTTCCAGTCCTAAGCTGGTCCCTGGCAGGGGAGAAGGGGACCCAGGCAAAGTGAGAGTTCAGAGTTGGAGCCGGGCAGCCCAGGTGCCAGCTAGGCCCTCCGGGGAAGGCTGCCCGACCTCACGTTGGTTACTGCTCACTCCTCAGCATCTCCGAGACCCAGCAGCAGCTCTGTGTCCAGCTGGAATTTCCTCGCCAGGAAGAGAATCCAGAAGCTGTGGCACTCAGGTGGGACCCAGCACCAGGGACCCCAAGGCAGGGGCTGGTGTTGGGGAGGGGGCAGGGCTGCTTCTGACCAATATTCACCACCCTGCCCAGAGACCTTAGGGGTTCGAAGTCTTTACACAGGCTACAGAGGTCTGACCAACCCACTTCTGAGGCGTTTCAGCCCCACTCCAGGCCCCAGTCTCAGCTCCAGTCACCCCCATGAACTTTCAGTTCCCCGAACACCATCTTGCTTAGACCTTAGGGCATTTGCACAGGCTGTGCTCTCTGCCCAGAATGTTCTCTTCACGCCTACCTGCTTCACCTGCCTAACTCCTCCTCATCCCTCAGGTCTCAGCTTAAATGCCACCACCTCAGGGAGGCCCCCTGGACCCCAAGGCTTAGTCAAACACTTCCATTATCCACTCTTATAGATCCCTGGATTCACAGCACCTCTAAATCCATATGGCACAGTTTGGGAAATTAAAATGTCACCCTTTTGAGTGGATGCAGCCCTGCATGTGTACATTCTGGGAAATAGAGCATGGTAGGATCTCAGCCTCACCTCACCTCCTCGGCTGTGTGTCCTTGTGCGGTGAACAACCTGCACAACCATACCAGCTGCCCCATCTGGACTCCTGCTTCCTAGCACTTCTCATAAGTGAATAGCAAACTGTAGGACTTCATTTGATCAGCATTTATTTACCCCTACACCATAAGCTCCTTGCAGGCAGATACTGAATCCCACATACTGGACTAG
Organism: Homo sapiens; assembly: GCF_000001405.40. NCBI lineage: Eukaryota > Metazoa > Chordata > Mammalia > Primates > Hominidae > Homo > Homo sapiens. Next base: position 57,067,351 of record NC_000016.10, read on the forward strand.
ATGTTCCAAAACTGTCGTCTCCCTGTCTGTGTCCAGGTTGGCTCACTGTGACCTTGGAGCCCACCACAGCCTTCTTGTCGGGCAGCTGATGGAGACATGTGCCAGGCTGCAGCAGCTCAGGTCAGCGCCTGGAAACTCTGTGTGGGGCCCTGAGTTCTCTGGTTGACCCTGGTACCTACTCCAGGCCATGTGTGACCCTGGCATTCTCACTTCCTTGTGCAGGAGAAAATCACACTTGGCCAGTGGAGGGGAGGGAGAGCCCCAGGGTGGCTCAGGGGAGCTCTTGGGTGGCCCCTTCTCCTCTCTTGGCACCCCCTTCTGGATGTGATGACCTCTGAGGTGTGTCCAGCCTGAAATCCTCTAGAATATCCTTGGACCTTTTCAGCTTGTCTCAGGTTAACCTCTGTGAGGACGATGATGCCAGTTCCCTGCTGCTGCAGAGCCTCCTGCTGTCCCTCTCTGAGCTGAAGACATTTCGGTATGTAGACAAGACATTCACTCAGTCCCCTTTGCAGCTCTGCCCTGCCCTGACACCTCCCGTTATTCCCAGCCCTGGGCTCAGAGGACTCTTACTCTGTGTCTTACTCTGTGGACACAAACCACAGGTGGCCCTGGAGATGATTTTTAGGGGTACCTAGTCGTAAACATGACCTTAGGAACATTGAGCCACATGGCAAGAAAGTTGTTCCCTTTTTAACACTCTTTCATTGTTTTTCTTTTAAAATAACTGCGAACTAACACAAAGTTTCAAGAAGACTGAGAACTGCTGTGTGCCATTTACCCAAATTCACCCTTAGAGCTGGGCGTGGTGGCTCATGTCTGTAATCCTAGCACTTTGGGAGGCCGAGGCAGGTGGATTGCCTGAGCTCAGGAATTCGAGACCACCCTGGACAACACGGTGAAACCCCGTCTCTACTAAAATACAAAAAAATTAGCTGGGCATGGTGGTGCATGCCTGTAATCCCAGCTAATTGGGAGGCTGAGGCACAAGAATTGCTTGAACCCGGGAGGCTGAGGTTACAGTGAGCCAAGATTGTGCCACTGCACTCTAGCCTAGGTGACAGAGCGAGGCTCGGTTTCCGAAAAAAAAAAAAAAGAACAAATTCACCCTTTGCCAATCTTTTTCCACATTTGCTCATTTCTTCCCTCCCTCCTTCTTTCCCACCTCCCTTTTCTTTCACTCTCTCCCTCTCTCCTTTTCTGAACCATTTAGAAGTAAGTTGTAATCATGTCCCTTTACCCGTTAACATTTCAGCGAATTTGCTAGAAATAAGGACATTCTCTTCCATAATCCAGTAAAATTATAAAATCCAGGAAATGTGACATTGATACACTACTATTATCTCAACTACAGTTTATACTCCAATCTCACCAGTTCTCCCAATAATGTTGCTTATTGCATTTTTTTCCCAGTTGTGGATCCAATCCAGGATCACACGTCTCATTTAGTGTCATCTCTTTAGTGTCTCCTTCAATCTGGAACACGTCCTTGGCCCTTCTTTGTCTTTCATAGCATTGTCTCTGACATTTACAGGCCAGTTATTTTATAGAATGTCCTTCCACTTGGGTTTGTCCAATGTTTCCTCATGTTTAGAGTTAGAGTCTGCCCTTTGGGCAGGAATATCACACAGGTGATGCTGTGTTATCGTGCCTTCCATCGGGGCACATGATGTGTCAGAGTCCTCGGGCTAGTGATGTTAACTGTGATCACCTGTGACAGTGGTGTCTGCCAGGTCTCTCCACTTGCAAATTTACTAACTTTCCCTTTGTAATCAACATAGATTATGTGGGGAGATACTTTAAGATTATGTATTAAGTCTTCCTCAAACTCTCATTGGCAAATTTTAGCAGCCGTTAATAAATCTTACTTAAATCGATGAATCAGCATGACAGTTGCAAAATGTAGCTTTCCTAACTTTACATTTTATTTCCATCTAACTGATTACACCAAGAAGAAACTCTTGGGCTGGGAACAGTGGCTCAAGCTTGTAATCCCAGCACTCTGGGAGGCCGAGGAGGAAAAATCGCTTGAGCCCGGGAGTTCGACACCAGCCTGAGCAACATAGCGAGACCACCCCCATCTCTACAAAAAATAAATAAATAAAATAAATGTTTAAAAAGGAAGAAACTCTTTAGGACAGAGAGATCTTTGACACTTCTTCAGTATTTGCTTTAAAGATGCAGAGTTTGTAATAAACAACAGTAACTAGCTAAACTACAGTGATACCTAATCCTGGCTTAAGTTGTGAAGTTGCTACCTGAATGACTGCGGTTTAGGAAATACTGAACTAGTCCATGCTTCTGCTTCCAAGCTCTGTGGTGGCTTAATGAGTTCATGGTGGAAGAGATTTACGAAGGGAAGGAGGTCTCCTCACATTGCCCGCCACATCCCTACCCCACATCCTTGCCCTCTGCCACCAGCATTCAGAGCTCCCAAGACCCAGGGCGGCTCCTGCCTGACCTGTTGCCCTTTGACCCCCACCAGGCTGACCTCCAGCTGTGTGAGCACCGAGGGCCTCGCCCACCTGGCATCTGGTCTGGGCCACTGCCACCACTTGGAGGAGCTGGAGTGAGTTGCAGAGTGGAGGGATTGGGGACAAGTGGCCCAGCTGAGGGTGAGGGGTGGAGAAGAGAGCAGGGCGTTTGGGAGGGCAGGCAATGAGACTTCAACCAATGACCCTTCCCCTGATGAAGTGCAGCAGTTCTGGGTGTGGCCTGGGGAAGGAAGAGCACCACAGTTTTGGTCTGAATTTCGCCACTGACTCACAGAGGGGCTGTGGGCATGGCTGTTCCACTCTGGGCTTTGATTGCCTTATCTATGAAAATGGGGCTCATGAGCCTTGCTCTGCTGGGCTGGCTGTGGGAGTCAGGCTACGGAGAGGGCTGAAGAACAAGAGGGTGTGTGTGTGTGTGTGTGTCCCTAGTCCCCCAGCTTCCTCTCTGCAGCCTTCATCCAGGGCATAGTTTCTCAGCTGGGCCAGCTGTGACTATCATGCCTACCCAGAGCCTGAGCCCTGGAGCTAGGGATACCCATGGGGAACCTGGACAGCGAGGGTGGCCCAGGGCATGCAGATGCAGAGTTGGCCTCCCAGGGGACAGAGCAGGAGAGGGGAGCTGACAGGACAGCTCAGCTCCAGGGCTGGGCAGGCTGCGCTAACCCTTGCCTCTGCCTGGTCTTCTGCAGCTTGTCTAACAATCAATTTGATGAGGAGGGCACCAAGGCGCTGATGAGGGCCCTTGAGGGGAAATGGATGCTAAAGAGGCTGGAGTAAGTAGTGATGGTGGTTGTGGGTGAGTGAGTGGTGGGGGTGGTTAATGGATGGTGGAAGTGGGTGAGTGGTGGGGTTGGTTAATGGATGGTGGAAGTGGGTGAGTGGTGGGGTTGGTTAATGGGGAATGGGGTGAGTGAGTGGTGGGAGTGGTTAATGGGGAATGGGCTGAGTGAGTGGTGGGAGTGGTTAATGGGGAATGGGGTGAGTGAGTGGTGATGGTGGTTAATGGGGAAGGGTGTGAGAGTGGTGATGGTGGTTAATGGGGAAGGGGGTGAGTGAGTGGTGATGGTGGTTAATGGGGAAGTGTTGTGAGTGAGTTGTGTTGGTGGTTAATGGGGAAGGAGATGAGTGAGTGGTGTTGGTGGTTAATGGGGAAGGGTTGTGAGTGAGTGGTGGCGTTGGTTAATGGGGAAGGGGGTGAGTGAGTGGTGATGGTGGTTAATGGGGAAGAGTTGTGAGTGAGTGGTGTTGGTGGTTAATGGGGAAGGGGGTGAGTGAGTGGTGGGGTTGGTTAATGGGGAAGTGTTGTGAGTGAGTGGTGATGGTGATTAATGGGGAAGGGTTGTGAGTGAGTGGCGTTGGTGGTTAATGGGGAAGGGAGGGAGTGAGTGATGATGGTGGTTAATGGGGAAGGGTTGTGAGTGAGTTGTGGGGTTGGTTAATGGGGAAGCGTTGTGAGTGAGTGGTGATGGTTGGTTAATGGGGAAGGGTTGTGAGTGAGTGGTGATGGTGGTTAATGGGGAAGGGGGTGAGTGAGTGGTGTTGGTGGTTAATGGGGAAGTGTTGTGAGTGAGTGGTGATGGTGGTTAATGGGGAAGGGTTGTGAGTGAGTGGTGTTGGTGGTTAATGGGGAAGGGGGTGAGTGAGCGATGATGGTGGTTAATGGGGAAGGGTTGTGAGTGAGTGGTGGGGTTGGTTAACGGGGAAGGGGGTGAGTGAGTGGTGGTGGTGGTTAATGGGGAAGGGGGTGAGTGAGTGGTGTTGGTGGTTAATGGGGAAGGGGGTGGGTGAGTGGTGATGGTGGTTAATGGGAAGGGAGTGAGTGGTGATGGTGGTTAATGGGGAAGGGTTGTGAGTGAGTGGTGATGGTGGTTAATGGGGAAGGGGGTGAGTAAGGGGTGGGGGTGGTTAATAGGGAAGAGTTGTGAGTGAGTGGTGGGGTTGGTTAATGGGGAAGGGGGTGAGTGAGGGATGACAGTGGTTAATGGGGAAAGGAGTGAGTGAGGGGTGATGGTGCTTAGTGCTGCATGGTCAGTGAGTAGCATGCCTAGGAACCTTTGCATGTTTTGTGAACACAAACCGCCATGTTTCTGGATGGACCCAGGTGAGCTGAATGCCCTTACATGACCTTTTACTTTCTATTCTGGATCTCAGTGCCAGCAAGAACCTTGGTCATAGGAAACAGAATACACAACTCAAAGCAATCCAAGACAGAAATATATTGGCTTATGTCATGGAAAATTACGAGGCCAATGACTTCAGGCACAGCTGGATCCAGGGGTTCTATATTTGTCAGGCTTCTCTCTCACACACTTCACTCTGGCCCTTACTCTTTCTCTGTCCACCTTGGCTTCCTTCTCAGGCAGGCCATCCCTGCACCTGCAGGCTTACTTTCTCTCAGCTTAGTGGAAAGGGAGTACCATTCTCTCTGTGGTTACAACAAAAGGTCCTAGACTGAGTCTCACTGGACTAGCTTGAGTCACCTGCCCCACCCTAAAGCAATCACTGTGGCTGTGAGCACAAAATATTCTCCTCACTGGCCAGACCTGGGCGCATGCACACCCTATCTTCTGGACTTAGAGGGGTGGTATTTCAGGATGTGAGTAACAGAAGAGGAAAGAAACTCTGGGCAGAAAAAAATCTACAGATGTCCACTACATTTGTCTACAGTTGTTTCCTTGGTAACTGGCAGCTTTTACTACTCTCCCCCATAATTTGAAGTCATCAAATTCTTAGAAATGCCAGAAACAGCCTCAGTCTAAAAGACAGGTCCCCGTCCTGCACAGATTCCTGTTTAGACAGTATCTGGACAGAAAATTTAACAGAATATCTTCTGCTTTTCATCTCTTAACTTTTTCTGATGACCAAAAAAGTTCCATCTTTCTAGAAATATGTAACAAATAACATGAAATGCCCCGGGGATGACACCCCCTGAGAAAACTTCTGTTGAACGGTTTGTGAATTTTTCTCCAGATTTTTTTTTCTACATATGTTTTGAATTCAGCTTGAAAGTAGCCTTTTGACTTTTTGCCCCTTAACATTGAAATTCTTCCGCTTGTCCCTCTTTGCTTGTCCTGGGGAGAGGATCAGGTAAAAGGAGAAGAGGGATTACAGAGACCTTTGACCACAGGGCCCTCCTGTCGTCTCACTGGTCTGTTTCTTTGCCCACTGTCCATGTACCTGCATCTCGGCTCAGCCTTCTGGAAGCTTTTATTTAGGGGATTGGAGGCCCAGTGAGGTCATTCATTGGCTCATTCATGCATTCGACAAATATGTACTGAGCTGGGCACCTGGGCCGGGGACAGGACAGATTCATCCATGCCCCTGGGGGCCTTTTTCTTCCTCCTGATTTCCCAGGCACCATGTGCTGCTCCTTACCTCCTGCTGCCTTAGTTGCCCTATCTGTAAACTGGGCATAATATCTTCCCTGTCCGAAGGAAGGGGATGGATCGTCAGTGCCCGGAGGTCTCTTCCCATCTCAGATCTGTCATTTCCAAGTGTAACTCCCCACAGGCAGTTACCCTCAAATCCAGTCAGCTTCTTCCAGCTGTATACCTGTGATGGAGTGGGTAGGAGCATGGACCCTAGTTAGGAGCCTCACTGCCTGGGTTCAACTCTGGGTGGGGTAACTGACACTTCCAGTTTGCTTGGAGCTTTCCCCATTTTGGCACCCAAAGTCCCACATCCAGGAAAAACTCTTCTGTTCTGAGCCAACCAAGACAGTTGACCATCTTTTGCTTCTGCCTCTTATTTTATTATTTATTTATTTGAGACCCAGTCTCTCTCCGTTGCCCAGGCTGGAGTGCAGTGGCACAGTCTTGGCTCACTGCAACCTCCGCCTCCCGGGTTCAAGCAACCCTCCTGCCTCAGCCTCCCAAGTAGCTGGCATTACAGGCACATGCCACCAGGCCCAGCTAATTTTTCTATTTTTAGTGGAGATGGGGTTTCACTTTGTTGGCCAGGCTGGTCTCGAACTCCTGACCTCAGGTGATTCACCCGCCTTGGCCTCACAAAGTCCTGGGATTACAGGCATGAGCCATTGCGCCCAGCCAGTTCTGTTTCTTAATGTGTGAACTCGTGCCAGTCCCTCAGCCTCTCTGTTCTTTGGCCTCCTCATCTTAACTTTGAGGATAAGAGCAATCTCCCCTGCTACGGTTGTTGTGAGTATTAAATGAGATAATATGTGTTACAGTCTTAGAGTCTGGTCAGAGTTCACACTCTACAAGTGCTAGCTATTGTTATTCTCCTCTCCTGCCTAGGCTGGGGGCCTCTAGAAGTACAATCGCCTGGGTCACATATGGTTGGGGCTCAGGAATGGGAGTTCTATAGTTTTTGGTTCTGTTCCTGAAGCAGCCACTTTGTGTATGACCTTAAGCAAGTTCTCTAACTCTCTGAACCTTGGTGTTCCTCACCTGTAAAATGGGGACGATAATAAACCCACCTTTCCAGATGGCCCCAAGCCCTGAGTTTGGCCCACATTTTATGATCAATGTGTGACCGCCATTATTACGGATCATTAGTCTTGGTCCATGTGGTTCAGAACATAGAACTGCTGCCTGCCTGACCTCAGTAATTCATGCAGAGAAACAGCATTTGGACCTCCCAGTACAGTTCATTTTGTAGAATTTTTACACTGTGTGGATATAAGTGGCTGTCTTGGAGGTCCCTAGGCTTGCTAAGCACAGAGGCCTCAGACCCCCAGACTGGACAGTGCCCCACCCCCAGATGTCAAGTTCACCTGGCCTCCTCTTCTCCAGCCTCAGTCACCTTCTGCTGAACAGCTCCACCTTGGCCTTGCTTACTCACAGACTAAGCCAGATGACCTGCCTGCAGAGCCTCAGGTGAGTGACCGAGCGGCCCCATGGGAATGAGTGGGAAGAAACACTTCCCACTCAGTTGGGACCACATCCAGGGAAGCACTGAGGCCACCTCCCAGGGGATCCTTTGCGGATCCCTCCCAGGCCCATCCCTGTGCCCTCCCAGGTGGGTGCCCACTGCTCTTGCCTTCTAATGCCATCAGCTTCCTCCTGGTTACAAAAGTGGCCTAAAGGGCTTAGGCCCACGTCGTAGAACAACCCTTGAGGCACACACACAGTTCACCCTGGGCTCTTGTTAAAATGCTCATTCTGATTCCCCAGGTCTGGAATTCTGCCTAGACTGTGCTTTTTTTTTTTTTTTTTTTTTTTTTTTTTTTTTTTTTTTTTTGAGTTGGGGCCTCACTGTGTGGCCCAGGCTGGAGTGCAGTGGCAATGCACAGGTGCAATCGTGTTGCACTGCAGCCTCAAACTCCTGGGCGAACGTGATCCTCCTGCCTCACCCTCCTAAGCAGCTGGGACTACAGGCCTAAGGCGTTGCACCCAAACTTAGCATTTCTTTTTTTGTTTGTTTGTTTTTGAGACAGAGTTTCGCTCTTGTTGCCCAGGCTGGAGTGCAATGGCACAATCTCAGCTCACTGCAACCTCCGCCTCCCGGGTTCAAGCGATTCTCCTGCCTCAGCCTCCCGAGTAGCCGGGATTATAGGCATGTGCCACCACGCCCGGCTAATTTTTGTATTTTTGGTAGAGACAGTGTTTCTCCATGTTGGTCAGGCTGGTCTTGAACGTCCAACCTCAGGTGATCTGCCCACCTCGGCCTCCCAAAGTGCTGGGATTACAGGCGTGAGCCACCACGCCTGGCTTCAGACTCTGCATTTTCTAACAAGCTTCCGGGTGGTATCAATTCTGGGGGCCACGGTCAGCACTTTGAGTAGTGTGGGTCTAGACTCAGATGGGGTGGCCTTCCTACACTCCCTTTGTGATTTCACTCCCTGCTGCTAGGATAAATAAACATGACACTTACTTTCAATGTGATTTTTCAAAACATGAAATCTTGTGACTAAAAACAAATCCAAGCAGTGACACAAAGCATTGCTTTGTTTATATCCAAGTACACCTCCTACCCCCTACCTCGGGCAGAGCAGAGTAGGTAGGAAATGAGGTTAGAGAGTTCCAGGAGGTTATATCATATTGGACCATTTCACCCAAAATTAATTTACTGAAAGGTGATCCATTAAAGTGTATTTATTTATTTCTATTTTATTTTTATTTTTTGAGACACAGTCTCACTCTGTCGCCCAGGCTGGAGTGCAGTGGCATGATCTCACTTCACTGCAACCTCTGCCTCCTGGGTTCAAGCGATTCTGGTGCCTCAGCCGCCCAAGTAGCTGGGATTACAGGTATGCACCACCACGCCCAGATAATTTTTGTATATTTTTAGTACAAATGGGGTTTCACCATGTTGGCCGGGCTGGTCTCGAACCCCTGACCTCAAATGATCCACCTGCCTAGACTCCGAAAGTGCTGGGAATACAGGTGTGAACCACTGCTCCCAGCCCCATTAAAATTTAATTTGCAAAATAAAAGAAAGTAAAAACAACATGCAAACAAATACTTCCCAAGGGGCTAAGACCATTTGCCTCAGCTATTTATTGTTTTTTCCTACCCAGGCAGAGCAAGGTCAGGGCTCAGTAAAGACAATACCCTGGGTTTAAGGAAAAACCTACCATTTGCATGGATGAGAACACATATGCCCCTGAGAACTGATCTGCGTGAATCAGAGAATCCCACGTGAAAGTGGCATTCAGCCGGGCCAGCCCGGAGATCCCTGACACAGAGGCTGAGGTGAAGCTTGGCAAAGAAATGTAGAGACTCCTCCTGGGCCAGGGGCTCTGGATTTGTTTCCACCCAGCCTGCAAGTCCCTAAGTCTCTGGCCAGTCACAGCTCACTGCTGGCTCTCAAGTTTTCTCACCTGGACACTGGGGACAATAATTCCCACCTTGCTCACCACTCCCCACCTGCCATGACCCCCAGAAGTTTTGCTACCAGCATATGAATTCCTGGGCGTGTAAGGCTTTGCAAACTGTAGAGTTCTTAGCACAGCACCTGCAAAGGCCTTTAAGCTCCTGAAAGCCTCTTGGTCTATTCCCTGCTTTTCCAGACTGAACAGGAACAGTATCGGTGATGTCGGTTGCTGCCACCTTTCTGAGGCTCTCAGGGCTGCCACCAGCCTAGAGGAGCTGGAGTGAGTTGCCCATTCTGCCCCCAGACCCAGGACAATTTTGGCCGGGAAAGATGACAAGGGCAAGGGGCTACCTGAGCACGCCCTTTGCTTCTTCATCTCATCTCCTTCACCCACTTCTACACTGTGTAAACAACCTGGGGCCTAGAAGCTTGGGGGACCCAAAGACAGGATGTAAGAGTGTCAATTGTAGCAAGAGGGATTTAGGTCAGACAATGGGGAGAACATCCTAAACAGAAGCCAAGGGTTAGGAGCTGTCACTCAACATGGGGTGATGGGGCTCTCTGTGTGAGTCGAGGCCCTTCCTGGGACTTCAGCCTCCCCTTCTTTTTCTGGGAGTGGGGTGTGGACAAGATGAGACGGCAGAAGGCTGATGAAGCTGTTTTCTCCCCCAAGCTTGAGCCACAACCAGATTGGAGACGCTGGTGTCCAGCACTTAGCTACCATCCTGCCTGGGCTGCCAGAGCTCAGGAAGATAGAGTGAGTAGCCAGCCCTACAGAGGAGGGCCACAGGGGTCACACGATGGTCCTAGGAGATACTGGCCCCTAGCTGAGGCCAGCATGGTAAAATCTCCCCTGCGCCAACCTCAGTGTCCAGGCAGTGGGGCTCGGTGACCTCCTGGCCCTCACTGCGGGACCTTAAGCCACCCCAGCCCCTGCTCTTCTCTGGGCCTTTCTGCCTCATTGTCTGGGTAGGTGTGTGGTGTCGGGGGGTTGTCTCTTAGGCCCCCTGAAGCAGGGGTGGCAGACCCAGCAGATGTGCTGGGGTGTCGGGGAGAGGGGGCATCAGAGGACCTGATGGCTGCCCCCCTCCCACAGCCTCTCAGGGAATAGCATCAGCTCAGCCGGGGGAGTGCAGTTGGCAGAGTCTCTCGTTCTTTGCAGGCGCCTGGAGGAGTTGATGTGAGTGTCTGCCCAGGTGGCCTCTGCCCTCTGTGCCCCCCAGGTCCACCTGGCCTCCTCTCCCGCAGTGGGCACAGGGCAGGGCGGGGGTCCCGAGTGGGCAGGCCCAGTACTCAATGCTCATTCCTCTCCTCTTCCAGGCTTGGCTGCAATGCCCTGGGGGATCCCACAGCCCTGGGGCTGGCTCAGGAGCTGCCCCAGCACCTGAGGGTCCTACAGTGAGTGGCCCCCTGCCCATACCATGCAGGGCTGGTGGGGAGGAGGGTCCTCGGGAGCAGTGGGGGGGTCCAGGCCCCCATCAGTTGAGCTGCCCTGCCCCAAGTCAAGCTTGGCATATACCCACTCTCCTGCCTGTTCCTTCCCTGCCTCTGATGTCTGCAGCAAGAAAATCAGGAGGCCCAGCCTAGTCCTGGCTCTGCCACTGGCCCCTGCCTGACCTTGGCCAAACCCCTGCCCCTTCTCAGCCTCAGTTTCTTCACATGCAAAAGAAGTACAATGATCCCAGTTCATTGTGCCCTGTGAGCGGGTCCCTGAGGGCGAATGAGAAATCCTGGCAGAGGGCTTCGCAGGAGCACGGTGCCAATCAACGTGGCCTCAGCACTTCACAAATGACCTCATTGCAGCCCCATGGCAGCCCCCAGAGTCCCAGAGTGCTGGGACCTTGTTTTTTTTTTTTTTTTTTTTTTTTAGATGGAGTCTCTCTCTGTCACCCAGGCTGGAGTGCAGTGGTGCAACCTCGGCTCACTGCAACCTCCACCTCCCGGGTTCAAGCAATTCTTGTGCCTCAGCTACCAGAGTAGCTGGGATTACGAGCATGCCCACCATGCCCAGCTAATTTTTGTATTTTTAGTAGAGACGGCATTTCACCATATTGCCCAGGCTGGTCTTGGACTCCTGGCCTCAAGTGATCCACCCACCTCAGCCTCCAAAAGTGCTGGGATTACAGGCGTGAGCCACCATGGCTGGCTGGTGCTGGGACTTTTATGTGCTCCCTTTTCCAGGCAAGGGAATGAAGGCCAGGAGAGGTGTGGAGAATTTTCCTTACTCATACACGAAGGACCCAGGTGTTGAATTTGGGATCTCAGACCCCAAAGCCAGGGTCCTTGATACCTACCCAGGTCCTGTGTGGATGGGGAATTAGCCAGAGACTGTCTACGGGCTGGCACTGCAGCCTGAGACAAGGCTGAGGGTGGGGCTCTGGAAACGCCAGTCCCTCAGGCTCCTCTCACCCTCTCCTCTTTCCCCAGCCTACCATTCAGCCATCTGGGCCCAGGTGGGGCCCTGAGCCTGGCCCAGGCCCTGGATGGATCCCCCCATTTGGAAGAGATCAGGTAAGTAGGGGCTGCCCAGCCCAGGCACGGGGACAGTCCTGGGCGGGTCTGGGGGTTCCTCTCACAGGTATCTCCCCTACCCTGCAGCTTGGCGGAAAACAACCTGGCTGGAGGGGTCCTGCGTTTCTGTATGGAGCTCCCGCTGCTCAGACAGATAGAGTAAGTAGCCTCCCCTGCCTGCCTAGGGGACCAGTGGCAGGCTGAGGGCAGCCCTTCTCTGACTGAGCCTAACACCTGGGGAGGCCTTTGAAGTGATAGAAGCCCCAGGGATGGTGGGGGCCTGGCTCAAGAAAGGAAGTCTTTCCTAAAACGCCTAGCTTACCCCAGACCCTGGTGGCTCTGGAGGCAGGACCTGCTAGATCCCCTGACTCAAACAACCCCCATCCCATCCCATGCCCTTCTCCATCCCCAGCCTGGTTTCCTGTAAGATTGACAACCAGACTGCCAAGCTCCTCACCTCCAGCTTCACGAGCTGCCCTGCCCTGGAAGTAATCTTGTGAGTGATTGGAAGAGCCCTGAGCTGGCTGGGAAAAGGAAAAGTCGGGAGGGGTCGGGGGAGTTGGCTCCAGCCTGCTGTGTGGCCTGGAGCTGCTCCCATCCTCTCTGGCCAGTCCTCCCATTTGTAAATGGGGAAGATCATCCTTACTCAGACATCCTCTCAAAGACATTTTAACACTTGAGCTGCAGGTAATGTTGGGTAAAACAGTTTACCTTCTTCTGCCTTTTTCCCCATTTGTAGATTGGTGGGAGGGGAGGTGGACCAGATGGTCTTTAAAGGTTTTTGGTCCAACCTTCCTTTTGGGAGGCAACTGGATAGACCACCTTGCCTGCTTGATGAAACCTCCATTTATGAACCACAGTTGGTAGAAACAGTGGCTAAAGCCAGGAGAAAGCCACCCCCAGACCTGCTGGCTGGCCGTGCTTGGCTGTCTCTTAGCAATCAGAATCCCCCAGACCTTGGGGCTTTGCAGTGCTGCCTCATGAGTAAACTAGAATTCTAGGACTAGCCTGGGACCCTAACCATGGTATGGAGGACAAAGCTGTTTCCTAAAGAACAGGACACAAGTGATTACGAGAAGATTTTAGTTTGCATCCTAAAGGTCTTAACCCTTCTCATTACACCAAAGCGAAAGTCTCAGATCAGTGGTAATTCATCTTTAACACCTAACACTGGATTCTCCCTTTTTAACCAAAAGGGTTAAAAACCCAACATCTTAGGAAGGGCATATGTTCCAACTAGAAGTTAATACCATTGTTTGTACTATATTTATTTTTGTAACTACCTTCTATATGGAGTCTGTAACACAAGTTTTCCATTGATAGTAGCAATAAAAGTTTCCTTTCAAGATTTTTTTTTTTTTTTTTTTTTGAGATGGAGTCTCCCTCTGTTACCCAGGCTGGAGTGCAGTGGTGCAATCTCGGCTCACTGCAACCTCCACCTGCCGGGTTCAAGAGATTCTCCTGCCTCAGCCTCCTGAGTAGCTGGGATTACAAGTGCCCACCACCACACCCAGCTAATTTTTGTATTTTTAGTAGAGACAGGATTTCACCATGTTGGTTAGGCTCGTCTCAAACACCTGACCTTGGCCTCCCAAAGTGCTGGGATTACAGGCGTGAGCAACCACGCCCAGCCAAGATTAATTTTTTAAAGTAAGAAAAAAGAGGGGGCCAATTTAAAGAAAAATATGATGCATCTTAAATACAGGAGGTACATGTATGTGGCAAAAATGGCAACATCTTGTGAACAACGTCATGATTCAAACTTGACGGGGAGGGGAGCAGGGAGGAAGGTAACCTGCACCCTGACGTCTTCAGGGGAGGACACACAAGCACCCTATCAGGTGGCCTCTCTTGAAAACCCTTGCCCCCACGACTGGCACCCTGCTTTCCCCATTCACTGCCTTGTCTCCACCCCTCGACCTCCTTGCTCTCCTGCCGCTGACTTTGGGACCCCTACCCTGCAGGCTGTCCTGGAATCTCCTCGGGGATGAGGCAGCTGCCGAGCTGGCCCAGGTGCTGCCGCAGATGGGCCGGCTGAAGAGAGTGGAGTATGAGGGGCCGGGGGAGGAATGGGACGGGCTAAAGGGGGACCTACATCCCGGGAACACCAAGAGGCCACTGGGTCAGTCCCCTGCCTCCCAGAAAGCCCTTCCTTGAGTTGCACACTCTGGCCTGTTCCAAGCCCCTGCCAGGCTTAGTTCCCCCTGGGTTCTAGCCTTCAGCCTTCCTGCTGCACCTGCCACCAGTCCCCTGTTGTCTTTTGGGTTCCCTGAGAAGGTAGTGTGGGAGACTGTGTCCCCTGACCTTGGCCTGAGGAAGGGACCTAGGAAACTCTCACACCCATTCTCATGGCCGTGTTTCTCTTTCCCCTCCCCTCACTGTCCACTGAGAAGCCTGGAGAAGAATCAGATCACAGCTTTGGGGGCCTGGCTCCTGGCTGAAGGACTGGCCCAGGGGTCTAGCATCCAAGTCATCCGGTAACAGAGGCCTGCAGGGGCAGGGATGGTGGGTGGGAGGCTACACCAACCCCCAGATCTAATGGGACTCCCTGGAGGAGGCGGCAGGGCCTGGGCTGGGGATTATCAAAGGAGACTTGGACCACTCCACCAAGAATTTGGCAGCAAGCAGACTTGGATCAAACCCCAGCTCTGCCACTTGCCAACTGTGTAACTTTGTAGCCATAACTCAACCTCTCTGAACCCCAATTTTCTCATCTGTGAAATGGGGATACTGATAGTATCTACCTCAGAGAGTTGTGAAGACTAAATGAGCATATAAAGCACTGAACCCAATGCCTGGCACATAGTAAGCACTTAAAATGGCAGCTATAATCAGAGCCATCACATACAGTTGTATAGGTTGTGCACTGCACAAGGGCATTAAACCTAAGGGGCACCATTCACATTGTCAACCTGCTAGATTTCTAGCAGATGAGAGTAAAGTACCTTGTTCTACCAAAATCATATATTATGACAATTTCAGACAGATGGAAGTAAAACATCTTGAAGAAAGAGGGTCTTTTCCTTATTTGCACAAATGTGTCATATGAGTGTGGCCTTAGCTGGCATCACTATCTCCCAGGGAGGAAGGTTGAGTTGGAGGACTCAGGAGGCAGGTGTGGGGTACACCCTCTCCCTAGGTCAGCTATGCTGGTCTAACACCTGCCTCTGCCAGGTAACTCTAGGCACAGCTCTACCTTTTTGGGCCTCAGCCTCCCAATCTGCAGATACGACAGATGGCAAAGATGGGAGGATGAATGAGTGCCTATATCTGTGCCCCACAGCCTCTGGAATAACCCCATTCCCTGCGACATGGCCCAGCACCTGAAGAGCCAGGAGCCCAGGCTGGACTTTGCCTTCTTTGACAACCAGCCCCAGGCCCCTTGGGGTACTTGATGGCCCCCTCAAGACCTTTGGAATCCAGCCAAGTGATGCACCCAAATGATCCACCTTTCGCCCACTGGGATAATTGACTCAGGAAAGAAGAGCCTCGGCAGGGCGCTCTGCACTCCACCCAGGAGGAAGGATACGTGTGTCCTGCTGCAGTCCTCAGGGAGAACTTTTTTGGGAACCAGGAGCTGGGTCTGGACAAAGGAGTACCCTGCATTACGTGGGATATGTGTGATCAATTGGGGACATGCGACACACAATGAGGGTGTCATGACAATGCATGACACGTACGGTTATATGTGGCAGTGTGACCCCTTGACATGTGGCGTTACATGAAAGTCAGTGTGGCACGTGTTCTGTGGCATGGGTGCTGGCATCCCAAGTAGCAGGATACATGATTGTTGGTCTATATATGACACATGACAAATGTCCATGTCACAGGACTCATGGCTGGCCAGATGACCTCAGGCTGGCCCAAGATCTAATTTATTAATTTTTAAAGCAAATACATATTTATAGATTGTGTGTATGGAGCAGCTAAGTCAGGAAAAGTCTTCCGCCCGAGCTGGGAGGGGAGAGTGTCCATGCACTGACCAGTCCAGGGGCTCAAGGGCCAGGGCTCTGGAACAAGCCAGGGACTCAGCCATTAAGTCCCCTCCTGCCTCAATCCTCAGCCTACCCATCTATAAACTTGATGACTCCTCCCTTACTTACATACTAGCTTCCAAGGACAGGTGGAGGTAGGGCCAGCCTGGCGGGAGTGGAGAAGCCCAGTCTGTCCTATGTAAGGGACAAAGCCAGGTCTAATGGTACTGGGTAGGGGGCACTGCCAAGACAATAAGCTAGGCTACTGGGTCCAGCTACTACTTTGGTGGGATTCAGGTGAGTCTCCATGCACTTCACATGTTACCCAGTGTTCTTGTTACTTCCAAGGAGAACCAAGAATGGCTCTGTCACACTCGAAGCCAGGCTTGATCAATAAACACAATGGTATTCCACGTCTAGCGTGAATCCAATGTTTCCTCTTACCCCACTGAAGTCAGAGGTGGTTCACCCCCTGCCGTAAGGACTGGACAGCAGCGCAAACAACAGAGAGGTGTGCTGAGTGGAGCACTGGCCTGGGAGTCAGGAGACATGGGTTCCCAGCTCAGGACTTGTCTCTAGTCACGTGGCCATGGGCAAGTTACCTCCTCTCTCCAGACCTCGCCTGCAACGTGAGGGTGTTATAGAAGCTCAGCATGTTAGAAACATTTTTTGTTTGACTTGCATAACATTGAAACTACTTTCTGAATTCATTGTCAGTATTCAAAATTGGGAATTTTACATAAAAATTCAGATTCTGCTTGCTTTTAAGTGCTAATCCAGCACTCCCACTGAAGAGTCACATGACTGTGCCTTTTAGATGTGCACACATGCCTCAGCTTGCTGCAGTCCCCACCACTCCCCATTGTCTTGACACCCCACCTGACCCCACTTTTTGCTGCTCTTTGACCCTGGCCTAGAGAGTTTGCATGGGTATGTTGTACCAGAGGAACATGGCTTTGGAAGTCAGACAGGCATGGAATAGAATGTGACTTAACCCTTTGCTACCTGTCTTTGAGGTATGTGGGTTAGCAGCCACCCCCACAACACACAGACACACATTAAGACTGTTGGAGAGGTCAGGAAAGCAAGACGAGCAAAGTTACCGGCAAAAAAAACAAAAAACAAAAACGAGTTATCCTAGCTCTCCTCTCTTTTTATAGCCGAATATCATATGACGTGAAGAGATGCCCAAAATGACAGATCAGCATCCTGTCTCCCTCGTGTAGTTAAAACAAGTTGATCTTAGGGGGAGCCTCCCACCCCATTGTGAAAAACCAAGTCGGGAGGGTGGTGCAGTTACAGCTGAGCACCACTGGAGGGCAGGCTAGCCCACTGGCGATTCATGAGATAACTTCCTCCACTGTGGGACCCAGAAGGAAGTTAGGAGGCGATGCTGGGGCCTGTTCCCACCCGGCCTAGTAGCTTGGGATGTCCCAGCCTACCAGTGACATCACCTGGGTGGCTTGGCCTTGACCTTTGCAGCCCTCCAGGTTGTTCCTGGCCCCCTGCCAAGCATGAGGAGAAAGTCCTCCAGCCAAGTGCCAAGCACCCATACTTCACACAGGGCCACCCTTACCGGGCCAGGGTCAGGGCACACCTAGCACCAAATGGGCCCGTCAGCCTGCTCATGGGGGAAAAAGTAGGCAGGAAGAGGATCCAAGAAGTTTACCAGGCAACCCTGGGTCCGAAATTCTGTCTCCCTTTCCTGGGACATGATGCCGAGTTGACCTTGGCCTTCAGTGTGCCCAAGATCACCTTCACACTAGAGGGGTTGCATTGCCTCCTCTCCTTGCCCAAGAATGAAGGATGAATCCCTCAAAGCCTGGAAATAGCTTGGCAGGGGAGCCAAGGCCGAGGAAGGAGCAGAGGATACCAGCAGAGGCACCTGGCCATGGGGGACAGGGGACCCCGGAGCTCAAGGACACTATTTTCATTTGCTGCTTAGCCATTTTACTTCTCTCTTCGCCTTTTCCCCCCTTCATATCTGCCCAAATTCTACACTCCAAGAAACTTTCAGCAGCTTCCCTGAAATAAACCATAGTATTGCGGCACTGCAGAGCTGGCTGGGCCTACATCAAGTTGGTGTGAAATTGCCTTGTTCATTTTATTAAGAAACTTCCTCTCTTGCCACCTGCCTGCTTGGAGGCCTTAACCGTTTTTTGATTTTTCTTTTTCTTTTTCTTTTTTTTGAGACGGAGTCTTGCTCTGTCACCCAGGCTGGAGTGCAGTGCTGCAATTTGGGCTCACTGCAACCTCTGCCTCCCGGGTTCAAGCAATTCTCCTGCGTCAGCCTCCTGAGTAGCTGGGATTACAGATGTTCGCCACCACACCTGGCTAATTTTTGTATTTTTAGTAGAGACGGAGTTTCACTATGTTGGCCAGGCTGGTCTCAAACTCCTGACCTCAAGTGATCCACGTGCCTTGGCCTCCCAAAGTGCTGGGATTACAGGCATAAGCCACCATGCCCGGCCTGTTTTTCTATCCAGCACGGATGGAGTACAGCCTCCCTGCCCCCTTCCTCCCCAAAGTAGGCTCAGTTTAAATATATACATGAAAACAAATAAAATTCAAAGAAAAGCAAGGTTATGGGGTGGCAAGCAGTAAGATCCAATGGAAGCTCCCCGTCTCTGCATGTGAGCCATCGCACTGAGAATGCGATCAGGCTGGTAAGTACCCGCGTCTATCTGCAAGATGGGGAGAATCTCCTTTTACTACTTTGTCTCTTGGCCTCAGTCTTATAATTGTACAAATTGAACGTTCATCTTTCTTTTTTAGTTTTATTTATTATTATTATTTTATTTTTCCATAAGTTATTGGGATATAGGTGGTGTTTGGTTACATGAGTAAGTTCTTTAGTGGTGATTCATGAGATTTTGGTGCACCCAGCGCCCGAGCAGTATACACTGCACCATATTTGTAATCTTTTATCCCTCGCCCCTCTCCCACTCTTCCCCCGCAAGTCCCCAAAGTCCATTGTGTCTGAATGTCCATCTTTCTGATGGAAGTCACAGACTCCCCCTTCGCCTCCTTCACATGCCTCAGGTGCTGTCAAATTGCCTCCTCTATCCTTCCCCTAAACACACATCTGTCCAGCCAGTGGTTCCCAAGCTGTAAAACTGCAGTTACATAAATTGTAAGGGTGTCAGGATCCTGTCACCATGCAGATTCTGGTTCAGCAAGTCTGGGGCAGGATACCCAGACTTCTCCAGCCCTTCCAGACAGCCCCAGACACCTGGGATTCTGCATTTCTAAGAAGCCCCCAAGTGATGGCCATGTTGCTGGGCCATACTTAGCTTAGCAAGACTGTAGATGAGTGGATCGCAACCCTGACTGCACATTAGAGTCACCTGGGAAGCTTTTAAAAATCACTATTTTTAAAAGGAGTATTTGGGCTGAGTGCAGTGGCTCACGCTTATAATCCCAGCACTTTGGGAGGCTGAGGCAGGAGGATCACCTGAGCTCAGGAGTTTGAGACCAGCCTGGGCAAAATGGCGAAACCTCGTCTCTACAAAAAAACACAAAAATTAGCCGGGCGTGGTAGCATGCACCTGTAGTCCCAGCTACTCGGGGCGGGGGGTAGGGGTGGGGTGGGGTGCTGAAGTAGGAGGATCCCTTGAGTCTAGAAGGTGGAGGCTGCGGTGAGCCAAGATCATGCCACTGCACTCCAGCCTGGAGGACAGAGCAAGACCCTGTCTTGGGGGAAAAAAAGAGTATTTAGAAAGCTCCCTGAGTGATTCTAGTGTGCAGCCGCAGTGGAGACCCACTGGTCTGGAGTATGCCGTCTCTTGGAGAGGCTGGGCAAGCCTTTGCACCTGCACCTGCACCCCTTATTTTGTCCTGAGGATCCCATGACCCTCCCTCCCCAGAGAGGGACACTAACTCCAGAGACTTTTCCTAACTTTTCCAAAGGTACAAAGCTGGTAACTGGTGGCACCAGGAATCAAACCCAGGTCACTCCTGTGACACCCACAGTTTTCTCATCTGTATAGTAAGGGGATGAGCAAAAGGAGGTTAGGCACGAGGACCTATGTTCTTCAGCTGCAAAGATGATCTTATGGCTCATTTCTGCACTCCCTTGGGGAGAGTTCTGGATCCTCAGCCACCTGCCCTGCCTGGTTATTTCTGTAGAGCATCGCCAGCTGTGATGTACTCTAGGCCCAACAATCACAGCAACAATCTCCTCTATTTTACAGATGAGGAAACCAAGACACAGAGAGAGAACATGACTTGCCTAAGGTCACACAGTGAGTATTTAGTGGGGCTCAGACTCCAACTCTGGAACAAAAGGAAAGGGTGACTTTGGAGTGGTCCTGGACTGGAGATTTAACTGGTCTGCGGGTCTGTGTGTTCCCTGGAGAGAGAGAGACCCTCAGGAAGGCAGGAGGGCTGTGCACCCTTCTTGGGCTCTGCTTCTGCCCCCAACCCTACCCTTCATGGCCAAAGCTAGGCCTGAGGACCTGTGATGCACTCTAGGCACATCCAGAGCTTCCAGGAAAGACCATTCAGTGGCTGGTTTGGTAAAGATCATCTCTCGGCCAGGCGTGGTGGCTCACGCCTGCAATCCCAGCACTTTGGGAGGCTGAGGCGGGCGGATCACGAGGTCAGGAGATCGAGACTATCTCGGCTAACACAGTGAAACCCCGTCTCTACTAAAAATACAAAAAATTAACTGGGTGTGGTGGCGGGCGCCTGTAGTCCCAGCTACTCGGGAGGCTGAGGCAGGAGAATGGCACGAACCCAGGAGGTGGAGCTTGCAGTGAGCTGAGATTGCACCACGGCACTCTGGCCTGGGCAAAAAGAGCGAGACTCCATCTCAAAAAAAAAAAAAAAAAAAAAAAAAGATCATCTCATCCCGGGGCAAGGCTCAGGAAGTTCCAGGGACTGCTGGTCTTTGTCCTGCCTCCCAATTACCCCAGTGAAGAACCCTCCCCTTGGCCCTTGGAAGCCACACCTGGAGGCTCATCCCACACACACCCCAACCTAGCTGTCCAGAAAGAGACCTTTGCCCTGGGAAGGAGAGAACAGTAGAGGAGCTTTCCCCAGGGAAGAAAGGCCAACTGGGGACCCCTTGGTTAGGAGCCTGGGGCCAGAGGCATCAGTGGTCCTCATGGGACCCTTAGTCCTCCACCTCCCACTCCCCAACACACACCCACACATACTTCAGCACAGGGTCAGAGCTGAGGGAGGTGTCTGAGGTTGTCTGGAAGGGCTGGAGAAGTCTGGGTATCCTGATCCTAGAAAGGGACCGTCCCTGCATCAGAGTGACCACAACCCTGGAACTTAAAAAATAGCAATTATATGGCCGGGTGTGGTGGCTCATGCCTGTAATCCTAGCACTTTGGGAGGCCGAGGCAGGTGGATCATGAGGTCAGGAGATCGAGACCATCCTGGCCAACACGGTGAAACCCTGTCTCTACTAAAAATACAAAAAATTAGCCGGGTGTGGTGGCGGGCACCTGTAGTCCCAGCTACTCGGGAGGCTGAGGCAGGAGAATGGCGTGAACCCGGGAGGCAGAACTTGCAGTGAGCCGAGATCGTGCCACTGCACTACAGCCTGAGCGACAGAGCGAGACTCCGTCTCAACAACAACAAAAAAATAGCAATTATACACTAGCCCTGCTGTCTACACTTGCCTGGCACGTTACGGTCTCACTGAATTCTGTCTCATTGGATTCTCACAACCATCCCATAAAGCAAATACTAAGTCTATCCTATTTTACAGAGAAGGAGAGCAAGGGCCAGAGGATTGAGTGATTTCACCTAGGCAGCCGCTGAGCGGCTGGGATTCAAACTCATGGCCATGACTCCATGCCTGAGGTTTGACAATGGAGTCAGCCACACCTGCCTCTAACCAGGAGATCCTTGAGGGGATCCCTCAAGGATCCTGATATGTTTCCATATCAACCCCCTGTGGCACATGGTATTTTCTAAAGACAGCCATCACAGTATCTTCCGTCCCACATGCTCTTCCTATTATGTGACGGTGACACCCCTCTGTGACTACAACAGAAGTGACATTATGTGACTCCCAAGGCAAGGGCCTGAAACAGATGATAACGCTTCCACTTGCCTCTCTTGAAATGCTCACTCATGGAACCCTATGCCATGCCACTAGGAAGCCCAGGCTACAAGGAATGGTCTCAGGTAGGTGTTCCAGCTGACAATTCCAGCTGAGGTTCCAGATGACAGCCAGCGTCCAGTGATAGCCATATGTTCAAGAAAGCCTTCTAGACAATTTCAGCCACCACCATGATCTGACTGCAACTGTATGGGAAACACTGTGCAACACCTGCCCTCGATGAGCCCTGAGGACCCCGGAAGTGTGAGGGATAAGTTTTGGGGTGATCTGCGATGCAACATAAATAACTGGAACACCCTCCCTCCGCCAGTCCTCACACACTCCTGGCCCAGCCAGATCCCTGAACAGCTGGCGCTCCTTCAATGTGTCTTTCATTCACGAGCACACTGACATGCATGGGCAAACCTGGGTATTCTGATCCGTTTGTCCAAACAGCCTGGACTGTGAAAATAAACACCCAGATGGCAGGTGTTGACACACATACCCTGACATGGGTCTATTTCGGGGCCTTCAGGCCTCCCACTGTGCACTGAGAGGTCTCCACCTGGGCAGGGAAAGACTTCGTTTAACATTTTGCAGTCTTGTGTTGGGTGTGGAATGAGGATAAAGCATGTAGAATCAACCTGTGATGGATCCTTGGCCTTAATCAACTTCTTCAGGGCTCTCCTGATCCCTGGCCTTTTTTTTAAAGATAGCTTTATGGGGATATAATCCATACACCATGACATTTGTCCTTTTAAAGTGTGTAAGTCAGTGGTTTTAAGAATACCTACAGTTGTGCAATCATCACTATAATCTAACTTTTTTTTTTTTTCATACAGGGTCTTGTTCTGTCACCCCGGCCGGAGTGCAGTGGTGTGATCATGGCTCACCACAGCCTCAACCTCCTAAGCAATCCTCCCACCTCAGCCTCCTAACTGGGACTACAGGCAGGTACCACACCCGGCTAATTTTTTTTTTTTTTTTGGTAGAGATGGTGGGGTCTCACTATGTTGCTCAGGCTGGTCTTGAACTCCTTGCCTCAAGTAATCTGTCTGCCTCGGCCTCCCAAAGTGCTGGGATTACAGGCAGGACCGCACTCTGCCTAGAATCTAACTTTAGAACATTTTTTATCATCTCCCAAAGAAACCCTTTGCCAATAGCAATCACTCCCCATTCTCCACTCCCCGGCCGAGGCAACCACAAATCTGCTTTGTCTGTTTGTGGATTTGTCTATTCTGGACATTTCATCTAAATGGAGCCATGTAATATTTGTCTGAGACTGGCTTCTTTCACTGGGCATAATATTTTCCAAGTTTGTCCATACTGTAGCATGTATCAGTACTTCCCACCTTTCTTTTTTTCCTTTCTTTTTTTTTTTGGAGGGGGGATGGAATCTCCCTCTGTCACCCAGGCTGGAGTACAGTGGCGCAATCTTGGCTGCAACTTCCGCCTCTTGGGCTCAAGTGATTCTCCTTCCTGCCTTCCGAATTGCTGGGATTACAGGTTCTTGCCACTACGCCTGGCTAATTGTTATATTTTTAGTAGAGACAGAGTTTTGCCATGTTGGCCAAGCTGGTCTTGAATTCCCGACCTCAAGTAATCGCCCGCCTTGGCCTCCCAAAGTGCTGGGATTACAGGTGTGAGCCACCACAACTGGCCAGTAATTCGTACCTTTCTATGGCTGTATAATATTCTATGTTGTGTGGATATACCACATTTTGTTTTTCCATTCATCAGTGGATGAACATTTGCGTGGTTTCCACTTTTTGGCTATTATGAATAATGCTGCTACGTACATTTGTGTATGTTTTGTGTGGCCATATGTTTTCATTTCTCCCGGGTAGATATCTAGGAGTGGAATTGCTGTGACCCCTGGCCTTTGTACTCTGCCTCCTTGGCTAGGGATCTAGTATCTTCCTTGACAGGCCCAACTATCTCATCCTTCAGGTTTCTTAAAGGAAGCCTCGCTGACTCCCATGGCTGAGTTGGGTCTTCTGTGCCACCCTACCTCCAATCTTTGCACATTTCATATGGTGATATGATGGCCTGGGTCCTGATCTTGGCCCCCACAGGTGAGCAACTTGAGAGAGACTATCTGCTTTGGTTCACCACTGTCCATCCCAGTGCCTGGCTCTCCTGCTGCTGGAAAGACAAGAGACAGATTCTGAGGCCAGAGCAATCAGGAAAGTCTTCCTGGAGGAAGCGGGGCTGGAGTTGGGTTGATAGGTTGGTTTGCCCCAGAGCGGGGCAGAGGGCTTTGATTGGCTTCGGTGGAAGAAAGGTGAAGAGAGCTTGGAGAAAGGAAAGATGGATGGGTGACAGGCAGGCAGAGAACAAAGCTCAGAGCCCCGGGGGCTGTTTAGTCTCGGCCCCTGTAAGGCTGCAAAGTGCCAGTGACTCAGACGTGGAGGGAGGCTCACAGGCTGCAGCGCGCGAGGCTCCCACATTAACCCTCACCTGCCTGGAATCGAAAAGCCACAATGGAAGCACTCGGCATTAACCCTCAGCTGCCCAGTCCTTGAGCCCCAGGGCCAAGGGCTGTGGACATGGCCTTGAGATCCCCGGGAAAGCCCCGCCCCCCAGAATCTGGTTACGTGAGGCTCAGCCTTCTGATGCCCGGTGGTGAACTTGCCCAGAGAGCACCTAAATACCGCGGAGTGGCCAAAGGCTTGAGCGCCCAGCGACAGACAAGTGTCCTAAGAATTGGTGCCTCTTCTAGGGAAAAGGAGGCCTGGGCTCCAAGGCCTTAAAGACTCGCCTAATTTTCCGCACGGATGAGTAGACCCAGGCCCAGTTCGGATCCGTCTTTATCTTATCGTCTGTGTCAGAGAAATATGTCATATTTCCAATCTCTGGCGGCAAGAAAATGCCGAGCTCTTTTGCTATTGAAAAAAAAAAGGGAAGAAAACACTGCGGCCCTAATCCTGCCCAATACAACCCAGAACCCAGCCTTGGGTGTTGCCCCGAGGGCGCAGCGCCGCTCCCATCGGCGCTGGGGGTCCAAGCGGCCCTGGGGCCCCGCAGGCCCGGGCTGAGGCCACCCCTCTGTTCCCGCGTCGGTGGCCCTGAGCGCACGGCGCTCGGAACTCGGAGGTGCCAGAGGCTCGGGCAAAGCAGGCCTGGGGAGGGCGCGAAGCCGCGTTGTTCCGATCCTCAGCCACCTGAGTCCCAGCCTGGAACCTTCGGACCCTCGCGTTCGGCCCGAACGTTCGGGCCCCCTCGGTGCCAGGCGCCCCGAGTGCCGCGGCGCGCCGGGCGCGGGCTGGGAGCGGCGGACTGCGGGCGGGACAGCGCCCCCGCTCCTCCCGTGGGAGAGCGCGCGCCCCTCCAGGAAGCTCCCGCCTCGCCTCCCACTTCCCTCCCCACTCCCCTCCTCGGCCGGAGGGAGGAGCCCGAGCCGCCGCCGCCGCCGCCGCCCGCCCGCCCGGCCCGGGAGGAGGACCGGACCCCGAGCGGCTGGGAGCGCACGCGAGCGGGCCGTGGCCGCGCGGGCAGCGCCCTGAGCCTGTCCCGCGCCCGCGGGCCCGGCCGAGCAGGAGCAGCTCCCGGGGATGCCCGGGCGGCTCGGAGCGCGGGCAGCGGCAGCCGTGCGGTGAGGGCGGTGGCGCCCGCGGGACCTGCGGTGAGTGGGGCCCGGGCAGGCGGGGCAGCTTGGCGTGAGTGCCCAACTTCGGCCTTGGGGCTGGGCTCTTTGATCCAGCTGCGGGTCCGAAGGAACCCGGGTTCCGCCTCGGGGGGCTGCGGCGCTCTAGCCCCCGCCGCCAGCGCGAACCCGGACTCCGGCGCTTCGGTGACTCAGCTCCGACCCGGCCACGCGGGGGCGCCCCGCCGGCTCCCGGACTGCGGGGAAGGGCGGGCGGGGTCCCTGGGGAGGGGGGCGCCCTCGGGGGTCCGAGCCCAGCTGCTTTGGGGACCCTTCCACCCGCCCCGAGGGGCTTGGAGGGCGTACGGGAGGTGGAGACCCGCCGCTGCCGCAGCTGCTGAAGGCGTGAGGTCGCCCTGGCTCTCGGCGGGCGCTGGCTCCTCTCCGCTCCCCTCTGCCCTCCTCCCACCCCTCAACACCCACCCCCTGCCCCAGGCAACTGCCGGAGGGCCGGCTCCCAGCCCCGGTACTGGGAGCGCAGAGGGGGAGTGGAGCTGGGCAGCTTCCCAGAAGTCGGAGTGTGTTTGCAAACTAGTTTTTGCGAAAAAGCTGTCTGGCACCTGTGTGTTTAAAGGGGGTGTGGGGGTGGGCATGGAGAGAGCGGGCGAACAAGGCCCTCTCTTATTCCCCGTTTCTCACAGCGATGCTCCTCTGAAAATAGAGGGGTCTTACACCCTCTTCCCTGCTCTTCCCACCCCATCCCCCAGCCTCGCTCCACGTCCCCCCGAGTTCAAGAAGCTCTCCTATGGGGAAGGGGCTGCTTCAAAGGGGGCTGTGATTTGCCCAAGGTCACAGATGCTGCTGGCTCTGGTAGCTAATAGGGTGTTCATCTTGCATCTGAATCCCCTGCCCCATATGTACTGGGGGAAGGGACAAGGGGTCTGGAAGAATGATCTTCCAGACAAAACGCCCTTTTTTTTGTCTGCCTTAGTTTTTTGCTCCCTTAGAGGTGTGTGCTGTCATCAAAGGTTGGGGGGCTTTTTCTGCCCCTTGGGCATCCACAGCTTCACGGACTGCAGGGAGCCCATGGTTTTCAGGAAACAGGCGGTGTGCGCAGATTGTAATCCCTGGCAGCTGCAGCCTGCCCTGATGGGGAGGCCTGGGAGACCTGGGTCTGAACCCCACCTATGACCAACAGGGAACTTGGCCCAGACCCTCCCCCCCTGTGGCCCTCTGGGTCACCATCTGTGAAATGGGCTGATGTTCCGGGGCCTGCCTCCTGGAGAATGGACACAGCATGAAGGCGTGGTTTTATGGCATTCCGCCTGGCATAGGTCCAGGTGAGCTCCAGGACCGCCCCAGCCAGCTGGATTGGAAGGGGTCACCCAGGCAGGTTTCTCCATGGAAAGAACCAGGGACGAAGGATGTGGACGCTTGGGTTCGTTTTGCGGCCGTCACTTCCTGTCTGCGTGCCTTGTCACCCCTTGGACTTGGGGGGTTTTCTGTCTGTAAAATGAGGCAAACTGTGACATGATCCAGCTTACAGTAGGGCGGCTGGGAGGCTGGAACTGGGGAACAGGGAGCAGACGTTCTGCAAGTAGGGAGCACTTCATGAGTGGCAAGTGTGGTGTCTCTGGTGGTGTTCCAACGGACACTCCCTCTGGAATGTCATGAGAATTAAAAACTGGGGCATAAGGGAAGAAGATGGCTGAGAATGGAGCCTCGGTTTCTATGTCTGTAAAACAGTAAGTACTGGACCCCATCTGGTCCTCCTCCCAGTCCTCAGTTTTTATATCTATACACCTTCATATTCTTTTCAGGTAATTGTGTATTTCTGCAAAGGTAGGATTAAATTAGATTGCAAGGACTCGGGTGCCAGCACTTATTGGTACGTGGTGAGTGCCTGGTTAACTGTCATTGTCATTATCCATGGGAATATTAAGAAGCCTGATGTGGGTGACTGCATCCAGGATCCTTTGTGGGGTTGTCTCAGGCCAGCTTGCTCCTCCCCCTCCCGTCAGGACTTCTGGGCTGTTCTAGGGGCAGGGGCCTGGGGTGAAAGAAGACCAGGAGAAGTGGTAGGTCTCATCCAGGTGTCCCCATTTCCCCACATCTGGCTGGCCTCACAGGGCTCTAAGGAGTGAACAGAAAACAAAAGAGCACTCTCTAGTAATTTTCTCCCTCCTGTCAGAGCAGGAGGCATCATCGCCAGGCACGGTCCCGATCTGAGAAGCCCTCAGCTCAGGGTCAGGGTGCCCCCAGCCTGATGGAGGTCTCTGTCCCTCTCCCCTCCCCTGAACCTTATTCATAGATGGCACTGGGGCTACCGAATCAGGAGCAAAACACCTTGAGGACCCAGCTCCTTCCCCCTTGCAGAATATGGCCTCAGGGAGTGGAGGTGGGATCTCCCCCAACCCTGCCAGACACGGTGGTGTGGGCTCTGTGGGAGCTGGGATGCCAGGTCACCCTGTGATCTTGGCAGGCAGCATCTAGAAAAGTCCACAATCACACATCTCCCCACCTCCCTGTCCAGAAGGGAGGACATAGGGGTCCCACAGTGCCTGAGGACAGAGCCCAGGTTAGAGGCGCCTCCTGGCTCACATCCCAATGTCTTCTGCCCTCATTGGGCCACTGGACCTCGGCTGTCACTCCCATGGCAGAGTCAAGAAGACTGCTGTTCCATACCCTGGAATATTTCTTTCTTTCTTCCTTTTTTTATTTTTTATTTATTTATTTTTTGAGACAGGATCTTGCTCTGTCACACAGGCCGGAGTGCACTGGTGTGATCTCAGCTCACTGCAACCTCCACCTCCCAGGTTCAGGCGATTCTTGTGCCTTAGCCTCCCAAGTAACTGGGATCACAGGTGCACACCTAGCTAATTTTTGTATTTCTAGTAGAGACGGGGTTTTGCTATGTTGGTTAGGCTGGCCTTGAACTCCTGGCCTCAGGTGATCCACCCACCTCGGTCTCCCAAAGTGCTGGGATTATAGGCATGAGCCACTGTGCCCGACCATGGAACATTTCTTACTTATCTGGCCACACTTGCTCTGAGGTCTGCAATGAGACTGACTAGTGAGATTGTGTCACCATCCCTCCTCACTGCTGCATCTCCTGGTTGTATTTTTCTTGGGGCATTTGCCACTCTTTAAAACCATCTTCTTTACTCATTGGTGCACCAGCTTATCTGCCTCCCTCCCCAAAGGGTGTCAGATCCACAAAAAGGCAAGAGCAAACAGTGTCTGTCTTGTTTAGGGCCATGTCCCAGCACTTAGAACAGTGCCTGGCACATTGTAGGTGCTCAGTAAATCCTTGTGTGAGGAATGACTGCACCTGCCCCTCTTTGCAGCCTCCTGTTAAATGAGTCTGTGATGTTGAGTGATGGATCCTGGGAGAATTACGAGCTTGCCCTCTTGAGTCTCTGGAGGGATCTCTGGCTTACCATACTGAGTGCTGGAAGGAGCATGGCCTTGCTGACAGCTGGATTTCAAACTTGTAGCCTACAGAACTGTGAGAGAATCTAAGCCATCCAGTGTGTGGTGCTCAACTAGCCCATGGCCAACCAGAGTTTGAAACCCAGTAGCTCAGCTCCCAGCATTCACTGCACTCTTACAATACACTTTTCTCAGGTTGGGCATGTCTCTGAAAGACTGATGGGAGAGCCGGGCGTGGTGGCTCACACCTGTAATCCCAGTACTGAGGGAGGCCAAGATAGTCAGACCACTTGAGCCCAGGAGTTCAAGACCAGCCTGGGCAACATGGCAAAAACCCGTCTTTACCAAAATAAAAAATAAACAAAATTAGCTGGGTGTTGTGGTGCATGCCTGTAGTCCCAACTACTTGGGAGACTGAGGTGGGAGGATTGCTTGAGCCCAGGAGGTCGAGGCTGCAGTGAGCCATGATTGTGCCACTGTACTCCAACCTCGGTGAAACAGTGAGACCATGTCTCAAAAAAAAAAAAAAAAAAAGACTTGGGGTCCAACCAAAGGAAAGAGGGATTGCAGGAGTTGTCTGCTGGGAGTTGGGCATATTCCCTCCTGTGTTTTAGAGAGGGGACAGCCAGGGCACATCAGGCAGGCCAGATATCCTCAGCTCCTGATAAGACACAAAAGCCTGCAGGGATACAGTAGAGTTGTAGGGAGAATGGGCTTCTGAACCACACTAGGCATGTCCACACCACAGGGCCTTTACACATGCTGGGGAACAG
Organism: Homo sapiens; assembly: GCF_000001405.40. Lineage (NCBI taxonomy): Eukaryota > Metazoa > Chordata > Mammalia > Primates > Hominidae > Homo > Homo sapiens. The sequence goes on from NC_000016.10 coordinate 57,096,957, forward strand.
GTAGAGGAAACAGCGCATGCAAAGGCCCTGTGGTGGGGACATGCCTAGCTTGGTTCAGGAGCCCATTCATTCATTCATTCAAAAATATTCACTGAGTACCTGCTGGGCACCAGCTATGGCTGGGATACAGCCATGAACGAGAGAGACCAATGCCTTGCTCTCCTGGGGCTCCTGGTCTATTAACATCCCAGCTCAAATGTGGCCTCCTCCACACTGCCCTATCACAATCACTTCACCCTGCTTTATTCTCTTTATGACATTTTCCACTCTCTGAGATTTCCTGCCCTTGTCATTTGCTCACCTCTCTGTTCCCCCAACTCCATCCCGAACTCCTATGCCCAGAGCCTGAGTGTGTCTTGATCATGGTTGCCCCTCCAGCACACAGCAAAGTCCCTGGTCCAGAGGAACTGCTTAAGAAACATCTGTTGAACAACCAAATGGATGGCTGCATGGTGAGGGAAGCTCTCCTGGAAGGTGGAGACCCAAAGTCCCAAGTGAAAGAGGGATTACATCTGTGCACAACCCTCTTCAGTGTACCAGCTTTTCACTGCTGCCTTAAGAACATCATGAAGAAAGTAGTGGGGACAGCTCTAGTTAGCAGCAGCTCCATTTCCTGTATGAAGAAACTGAGGCTAGAGAGGTTAGGACACATGGCCCAGGTTGCATAGGGAATGGGTGACTTTCTCCAGCACACCTCAGTCCCTTGGGTGGGCAGGCAGTGGCAGCAGGTGACGTCCCACCCAGGGGACCTCACATCCTCCACCTCCCCAGCCCCCAGTCTTTCAGTCCTAGGCAAATCCACCTTCTCTCAGACGTACAACTTTCCCCATTCCCTCCTCCATGGGAGTCCCCTGCCCTCTGAGCCTGGCCAGATCCACTCCCAAGGTCCCCTAAGTACTCAGAGTCTCCGGAGAGCCACAGCACTCCGTGCCTATCCCCATGTGGAGCTTCCTGGGAGGCCGGAGGGGAAGGAGCTGAGGCCCAGGAGGGAGGAGTGGCAGGAGAGGACAAAACCCAGTCCCTAGACTCACAGGAAGTACAGTGGAGGCTGCCTCTCAGCCTGCTAGGTCAGCCCCTATAAGTGACACAAACCTTCCAGTGCAGGATGAGCTGAACCTGGGGCCTGGGAGGGTGGGGGTGGGGGTGTCCCAAGGGAAGCCACCTCCCCTAAGAGCCAGAGCTTAGTGATTAAGCGGGCACTACAGAGAATGACCTCCCTCTGAATGTGGTCTGGTGGAAGCTGGGGGTCCCCAGGGGGGCCTCAGGGCCAACCCCTGCTGCAGCCTCCTCGCCATGCTGTCTGCATCTGTATTTATCCCCGTAATGGCCTGGCTGCCTGTTGGAGTGTGGTGTCTTTGGAGCACAGCAGCCGGTGCCGTAGCCTCGGTGCAGAAATGATTTGTGTCAAGGTGCCGCCCCCACCTGGTCAGGAGTGCCAGCCTGCTCCCCGGGGGCTGCCTGTCGCCTGGCAGGAGCTGGTGCAGCAATGGGCATGCGGCAAGGGCCCCAGAGAATAAGGCTTGTGGCTGGACCCTGCCCACCAGAACCAGGATGCAGGATGTTGGGGCAGCCAGGCTGTGGCCAGGGTTCCTGTGTGGCTGGAAAGTGGGGCCAGATAAACTCTAAAGTCTTTTAGCTCTGAGACTCAAAGAACTCATGACTCTGAAATCCCAGAATTCCCAAATTCTGGAATTCTGTGAACCTCTAGTCCCGGGCCTCTACAATTCCAAGATGTTATGGTTCCTCTTCCTCTCACCTTTTCACTCTTCCTCATTTTCAACAAACTTGTGTCGAGCTTCCATTCTGTGCCTCTGGGTGTTGGGAGCAACGAAATGGAAACAGGGTTTGGTTCCATCTTTAAGCTCCAGTGAGGGCGACGCTTCTAAGCCAATGGTTACAGTATGCTGATATTGTAAGTGATTCCCTCTCAAGGACCAGGGAAATAGGAAGGGCTTTGTAGAGGAGTCCCTGGATTATTGGTTTTGGTGTTTTTTGTTTTTTGTTTTACCACATTGAAGTGTAACATGAAATAGAGCAGACATTCTACATGGACCAGTCAATGACTGTTCACAAACCAACATATCTGGGTCACCAGAACCCAGATCAGAAACAGACACGACCAGCACCAAAGCCCCCGGTGTCCCCTTCTTGTCAGTAACACCCGTCCACGTGTCCTACTGCTATCCTGACTTCCAGCAGCATAGATTTGTTTTGTCCATGTTTAAGGGCACCTAAGTGAAATCATATAGGATGACATACTCCTTTCTCTCTGGCCCCCTTCACACAGCACGTGTGAGACCCATCCGTGTTATTGCTACCTGTGTTCTTCCTTCAAGTTGGCTGTATGTGGTCTGCTGTGTGTTCATTCACCAGTTATGTCTCCCTTCTTCCAATCATGGGGGTTTGGGTGGGGAGTTCCAGTTGGGATTATTTGGATTAGCACTGCCATGAACATTCCTGTGTGTATCTTTGGGTGAACATACGTGAGTGTTTTCGTTGGGCACTAATGTTTCTCCTAAGTGGTTGCACCAATTTCCACTCCCTCTGGCAACCTGTGTGTGTTCCAGTTGCTCTGCATTATTGCCAACACATGGTATGGTCAGCTTTTTAAAATTTTGGCCGTCCTGGGGGTGGGGGTGGGTGCATAGTGCTTTTTTTTTTAAGACAGTTTCATTCTGTTGCCCTGGCTGGAGTGCAGTGGCGCGATCTCAGCTTGCTGCAACTTCCACACCCCACCCCCATTCAAGTGATTCTCCTGCCTTAGCCTGCTGAGTAGCTGGGATTACAGGCATCCGCCACCATGTCCGGCTAATTTTTGATTTTTTTTTTTTTTTTTTTTTGAGACGGAGTTTTGCTGTTGCCAGGCTGGAGTGCAGTGGTGCGATCTCGGCTCACTGCAACCTCTGCCTCCTGGATTCAAGCGATTCTCCTGCCTCAGCCTCCCGAATAGCTGGGACTACAGGCGCGTGCACCACGCCCAGCTAATTTTTGTATTTTTAGTAGAGATGGGGTTTCACCATGCTAGCCGGGATGGTCTTGATCTCTTGACCTTGTGATCCACCTGCCTCGGCCTCTCAAAGTGCTGGGATTGCAGGTGTGAGCCACCATGCCCTGCCTAGTTTTTGTGTTTTTAGTGGGGATGGGGTTTCACAATGTTGGCTGGGTCTCGAACTCCTGACCTCAAGTGATCCGCCCACCTCAGCCTCCAAAAGTGCTGGGATTACAGGCATGAGTCACCATGCCCGGCTGCATTTGGTTTTACTGAGCTGAGTTTGAAGAAAGAAATCACTAAGTGAAGAAGGGGGAAGGGCATTCCAGGCAGATGGAACAGCATATGCAGAATTAGGGAGGCACGAAAAATACTTGCTGAAACTGTGTGTGGCAAACAGCAGAGCTAGAGCCAAAAGTGTGAGGGAGGGGACTTTGAGAGCTTCATCAGGGAACCTGGATGTTGTCCTGAGAACAGCCGAAAGCCATGGAGAGGTTTTTCTCATTTTGAGCCAGTATCTGCAGTGCGTCAAGCATTTTGTAATTTCCATGTGTTGGATGAGAAAACTAAACTGAGACACAGAAGGACCAATGACTTGTCCAGAGTCACATTAGTGGAGGCCCAATAGGTAGAGTGGTATTGGGCTGGGAGCCAGAGGACCAGAACCATGTGGGTAAGTGATTCAACTTCCTAGCCTTGGTTTACTCACCTGGAGAATGGGAGTGCTGATGATAACACCTCATTTGGGGATGTTGTGAAGCTATAGAATTTCAAGGACCTGGGACAGGCATTATTATTCTCATTTTATTATGGTTATCTCTCCATCAGCATGGCCACACCCACCTTCACCCTTCTCTTGCAGCTGACAGGGTGGGGGTGGGCTCTCTGAGCTCCCACACTTAAGAAGGGCTAGCCCAGAGCTCCTGCCCTAACACCCTGTTTTCCTGCCCCATGACAGATCTCCTAGGAACTAAAGATTGCTATGATGGTTAATTTTATGTGTCAGCTTGGCAAGGCTTTGGTGACCAGTTGTTTGGTCAAATAAAGGTAGTTTTTAGATGCAGTTAACATTAAATCAGTAGACTTTTGAGTCCAGCAGCTTACCCTCCATTATGTGTGGCCCTCATTCAATTGATCAGAGGCCTTCAGGGCAAAGACTAAGGTTTCTCAAAGACGGAATTCAGCCCCAAGACTGCAGCATAGAAACCCTGCCTGGGTTTCCAGCCTTCTGGCTTGCCCTACAGATTTTGGACTTTCCAGCCCCGACAATCGCATGAGCTAATTCTTGAAAATACATTTCTCTCTCTGCATAGATAGATATCCTATTGGTTCTGTTTCTCCAGAAAACCTGGACTAATATGGTTGCCATTTATCTTCCTGGATCTTCTCATCTGGGAAATGGGATGAAGGAGGCAATTTAGACCTGGATGCATTCAAGATACGTTCCAACCCCCCAAAAGTTCAGTAAACTTAGCAGCCATCAGGGCCCGTAGGGAATGGGTGTCTTGTTAGCTGAGGGTTCTGGTTAACAGAGCATTCTCATCCAGACTAGAGGTTGCAAACTCAGAAGTCTACAGAGACCTGGCTGGAAGCTCGGTGTGTGAAGCCAGCAGGGCTTGTATGGAGACCAAGTGTGACACCTGCCTCATTATGCCAAATCCAACTACACTAGAGCCATCCCTGGGGTGTGGTCAGCCATGGGGTGGCCACATTGCAACTTCTGATCTGTAGCCTCGTGTCTCAAAGTGTGGTTCCAGGGGGGCAGCCCCAGCATCAGCTGTAGCTTGTTAGAAACACAGAATTTTAGGCCCCTCCCCAGACCTGCTGGATGACAATCTGTATTTGAACAAGATGCCCCACGTACTCAGCTAACCTGTGATTTGTGTATACTTAGCCCACATCAGAACCACCAGCAGAGCATGTTAAAACACAGGCCTACGGGCACCACTCTAGGCCTTCTGCTAGAGCAGGTCTGGGTGGGCCCAGCGTGCTGCATTTCTTTTTCTTTTTTTTTTTTTTGAGACAGGGTCTCACTCTGTTGCCCAGCCTGGAGTGCAGTGGCATGATCACGGCTCACTGCAGCCTTGACTTCCCGGGCTTAGGTGATTCCCCCCATCTCAGCCTCCCAAGTACCTGGGACTACAGGCACATGCCACCATGCCCAGCTAATTTTTTTTTGCCATTTTTTGTAGAGACAGGGTTTCACTATGTTGCCCAGCTGGGCTTAAATTCCTGAGCTCGAGATCCACCTGCCTCGGCCTCCCAAAGTGCGGGGATAACAGGAGTGAGCCACCGCACCCGCTTGGTGCTGCATTTCTAGCAGGCTCCGGGGAGATGCGTAGGTGACCCATCTGGAAACCACACGTGGTGACAGCTCTGAGCCACCACAGGAGCCTCTGCTATCAGAGATGAGACCCCACTGCCAGGATATGCTGGGTGCAGAAGGACTTGGAGGCCCTGAGGGTCCCAGAAGCCACAGCACCCAGGAGTGGGCCCCACCTCGAAGACCTTGAGGGCTGTGTATCCAAGCCCATAATTCAATCCCTAGTCCCCCGTCACTACCATGGTCTCTCTGGGCTTCCCTATGCTGTGTCCACCAGCCTGGAGGGAGAGCCTAGAGCCGTGTTTCTCAATCAGTTTTTTGTTTTTATTTATTTCTCTTTTTTTTTTTTTTGAGAGAGGGTCTCCCTGTGTTGCCCAGGCTGGAGTGCAGTGGCACGATCTCAGCTCATTGCAACCTCCACTTCCCAGGTTCAAGCAATTCTTTTGCCTCAGCCTCTGAAGTAGCTGGGATTACAGGCACCTACCACCATGCCTGGCTAATTTTTGTATTTTTAGTAGAGATGGGGTTTCACCTTGTTGGCCAGGCTAGTCTTGAGCTCCCGACTTCGGATGATCCGCCCGCCTCAGCCTCCCCAAGTGCTGGGATTACAGGTATGAGCCACCATGCCCGGCCCTCTCAATCAGTTTTAACCTCGCCCCCTTTATGTAAACTGTTAACTTTACACATCCCCCAAATTTTTTATCTACTTTCCCCTCTTCCCCAGACATTAAGAATTGCTGGGGATTCAGACCTCACATAATGGGTTCCTAACTAATGCCTGGTACTGACCGTGACCAGGCAACCACGCCCCTTTCTTTGTTACTGCCACCAGCAAAACAGAATCTATTTTTTTCTTTCTTTTTTTGTTTTGAGAGACAGGATCTCACTCTGTCACCCAGATTCGAGCGCAGTGGCACAATCACAGCTCACTGCAGCCTTGACCTTGCAGGCTCAAGTAATTTTCCTGCCTCAGGCTCCCTAGTAGCTACAGGTGTGTACCACCACACCTGGCTAATTTTTTTATTTTTTATTTTTGTAGAGACAGGATCTCACTGTGTTGCCCCAGGCTGGCCTCAAACTCCTGGCCTCAAGCAGTTCTCCCACCTCAGCCTCCCAAAGTGTTAGGATCATAAGCGTGGGCTGCCACACCTGGCCTGTTTTTCCCTTTTCTACACATCAAGTTGCATGTGCTTTTCTGACAGCACACGGTGCCCTTGCTAGAATTTACGACAGGACATCCCACTGTGGTCCCAGCTCCTCCTCTCCACCAGCCTCTGGAATGGGGGCTGCCTCCCTGGCCACCTCAGGCCTGCCCTTCACCATCCAGCAGCTCTTCTCCCCTTCGGGGTTACCAGGCCTCCTCCTGGGCCATCTGCTTCCCTGTGCCTGCCTCTCTCACTGTCCCCTCCTCTCCGCCCATTTCTAAGTTGGAGGTCCCCCCACCCAGCCGGCCCAGCAGCTCCTCCCCGACAGTGAGCTCCTTTACACTATAGCTGGTTCCCGGGTTCTACATCGCGGTGGGGCCAGGGCTACTTTCTCCTCACAGCCATTAAGAATCACTGATCATAGCAAAAGCTACCTATTGTTCCAAGTGCTTTACCTCACTGAATCCTCACAACACCTAGGAAAGCACTCTTTTTTGGTTGTTGTTTTTTGTTTTTGTTTTGATATGGGGTCTTGCTCTCTCACCCAGGCTGGAGTGCAGTGGTGCAATCTAGGCTCATTGCAACCTCCGCCTCCCAGGTTCAAGCAATTCTCCTGCCTCAGCTTCCCGAGTAGCTGGGATTAAGGGCACACACCACCACGCCCAGCTAATTTTTGTATTTTTAGTAGAGATGGGGTTCCACCATGTTGGCCAGGCTGGTCTTGAACTCCTGACCTCAGGTGATCCCAGCTGCCTCGGCCTCCCAAAGTGCTGGGATCACAGGTGTGAGCCACCACGCCCGGCCGGAAGGCACTCTTGTTCCCATTTTACAGAGGGAGAAACTGAGACATAGGGAGTTGAAGGAACTTGCCAGAGGTCACAGAGCAGTTAAATGGCAGAGCCAAAGTGGGAAGGATGGAGTGATGGCAGCCTTGGCTCTGGGCCTAGTCACCATCCTTCCCTGGCTTAAAAAAACCACTGCCTCTTGTTGGGCCTCAGTTTCCACCCCTGTGAAGTAGGACACAGTCCCTCTCCTGCTGGCCTCTCAGACCCTAGGGTTTGAGAAGCTGCCTGTGATTCTCTCAAGTGATGTGTGCAGGGGGAGGTGGCTATGATTGCTCTGGGGCTGCTGATGATGGAGCCTGCCTGACGAGCCCCCACCTTCCTCATTGATTAGGTGCTCACATATGCAGATACGGCCATAGGTGCTGGGGAAACAGTGATGATGTCCTCCTGAGGGACGGGGCAGACAGACACAGGTACATAGACAGATATGTAAAACGATTGTACATTGCAGTGATCTGTGAAGGAAGCAGCATGGAGCGGAGACAGATTACATCAGCCTGGGTGATCAGGGAAGGCCTCTGAGGATGTGATATTAAGCTGACAAGTAAGACCTTTCCTGTGAAGAAAGGCATTCCTGGAAAAAGGAACAGCAAGTGCTAAGGCCCTGAGGCAGGAGAGAGCCTGACAGCAAAGGGAGGCCAGTGCAGCTGGGCCAAAGGAAGCAAGCGAGGGGGAGGGTGGCAGGAAGTGGGGACAGGTCAGGCAGGGTCCTGTCATCCTGGGCACGATTTGGGGTTTGTGTGACCTGGATGAGGAGGTCACAGGAAGACTTTCAGGTAGAGCCATGGTGGCATCTGACTTCTAGGTTTAAAGACTCCCTCTGGCTCTGGTGTGGAAAAGAGAGTGCAGCTGAGCTTGCATCAGAGATTCCTGTTATGGGTCAGGGTGTGTCTGGGCACGAGATGATGGGAGCCTGGCTGGGCTGACATAGTGGAAGTGGGGAGAGGACGGATGCTGAATGCAGCTTGAAGGTGAAATCAGCAGCACTGGTGGCATATAGGAGGTGAAGATAAAAGGAGATTAAGGACGATGAATTCCTAGTTTTCTGGCTAAAACCGTGATGTTCTAGGCCTGTGGCTCAGCACCAATGTCCAAGCCTGTCCTGCCTAAGGGCAAGATGCCTCCTCGCTGGGGTCAGTGGACCCTGTGAGGGCTGAATCCTATGTGTCCGGTTTTTTTTTTTTTTTTAACTTTTAAGACAGGGTTTTGCTCTATCGCCCAGGTTGGAGTGCAGTGGCACAATCACAGCTCACCGCAGCCCCAAACTCCTGGGCCCAAGCCATTCTTCCACCTCAGCCTCCCAAAGTGCTGAGATTACAGGTGTGAGCCACCACTGGCTCCTGTGTGTTTTATTAACTGCATAGCCCCGGGGTGCTCAGGGAGTATTTGTTGAATGAACCAATGAATCAGTGCCTGGGAATTCCCAAGTCCTGTCCTCTCTTTGCCTCAGTTGACCCATCTGTAAAAGAGACCACTAGTTTCATAAACCCCTCTCCAAGCTCCTTGCCTGGGGGGTCTGGTCACCCCAGAAGGGCTGTGCCCATCTGTGCCAGGAGTCAGGACCATGCTTTAAGCAGGCCCTGGCTCCCCATCCCATCCCCCAGCCTGAAACCTCAAATTACCTATGGGGTGGGGGCTGCCCCAGAGGTGTTTCCATCGTGCCCAGATGCGCATGGCAGGCCCAGCCCTCCCTTAATGACACCTTGCCTGCCTGCCCTCCTGCTGGGGTAGGAGGGGAGGGGGCCCCTGGCCCAGCCTAAGCTGTAGTTTCTTTTTCCATTGCGTCAGGCCTCAGGGTCCAGTACGCCTGGCTGCTGCTGGGCTGGCGCAGAGGGACCCACTCTTCCCCCCGCCTGCCCCAACTCCAGACATCATGTGCTCCCCGTTTCGGGGATCCAGAAGCTTCCAGCCAGAGGGTGAGTTGGAGATGGGAGGACCTGCCCCTGGCTCGGGGAGGAGTTCCCTTCCCACCCACCCATTGCTCACTCTAGCCAGGGCCTGAGCCGATCCAGGTGGAGTTGCAGTGAGCTGGGGGCTCCTGGCCCAGCCACCGCCCCCTGCCCCTGTGACCTGTCCCTCCTGCCCACGCCCTCAGTCAGGCTGGAGGGAGGGAAAGGCAGGAGGCTGGTATAGTAACCAAGGCAAGATAATGGGGCTTGGATGAGGCAGAGGGGCGGGGGTAGGGTAGTGATGGGGACAGAAGGAGGTGACCCCAGAGTGTTCATATGAGCATCTGTCATTGTATTTGTCAGTCTGGGTGCGTATGTGTATGTGTGTATATGTGACCACACGTGTGTAAATGGACAAGGAAGCAGGTGAATCTGGGCGTGTGTGCCTGACACCCTCAGGATGAGAAGAGAAGTGTCTGATTTGGCAGCAGGAGATGGTGGCCCAGGTGGCATCTAACATGTCACAGAGGGGGCCTGTGAAGTGAGGAGGGGGTAGGTGAGCTAGAATCCACCTCGCCAGCAATGGTGGGAGATGCAGGGGTGTGGACTGGGTGACCCAGAGGAACTGGTGAACTTGGATACTCTGGGGCCCATCCTGGGTGTGTGTTCAAATGGGGGAATGCCCTTGGCTTCCCCAGCCCTGATCACAACCTGCCCGCTTAGCCTCAGGCTCCCCTGGCCTGGCTGATGTCCTGGCTGTCCCTGCCTAGGTCCCACAATGTTCAGCAATCTCCCCACCCTGGCAAAAGGCCAAGCATTGGCCTGGGAGACCTGATTCACATCCTGTCTCTGCCTTTTCCTGGCCCTGTAACCTCAAGCAAGTGACTTTTACTCTCTGGGCCTCAGTTTCCTCATCTCTAAAATGGGGGCAATTGTCCTGCAGGCATGGGAAGGCGCTCTCAGCCACACAGCAAGACTTTGGACATCCCTGTCTGCCCCCTTCCCCACCCCACCCCAACTTGGCACAGCTGCCCAGCTGCACACAGTAAGAGTGAACGCAGTTCACCAGCTCCTCCAGTGGAAACTGATTTTTACACAAGAATAAATCCTGCAGGCAAATTGTAGTGCTGTCCTGATGCTCTGAGCTCGTGTGATTATAACAAGGTTCTAGGAACAAAGGCTGGGAGGGAGGGGGCTGAGGACCAGCTTCATCGTTGTCCAGATTTTTCCCCTGCCAGGCATGTCCGGGGAACACTGGATCTGGAGGGGAAGCTGGGAGGTCTCCGCTGCCAGCCCCACTCTCACCCTGGCCTCCTGCAGACCGGGGCTTGCAGGGGACTGCATCTGCCCAGCAAGAGGCTGGCGCTCCAGAGTGCACCGTGGCCTGGGTGAAAGAGAGGAGGAGTGGACCCAGCATAGTGATGGTGGCTCGATCCTTCCTGCCTGGAGGACAGCAGCTGCCTCCTCACTGGTCTCTCTGCTACTTCTCCTTAGCTTGACAACCCCTTCTCCCCACAAGGGGCCAAGTAAGCTTTTAAAAACGCAAATCAGATAATGTCAGTTCTCTGCTTCTAAGACTTCCCATTGCTCTCAGAATGAAACTCAGACACCCTATCAGAGCCCACAGCTCCTGCAGGTCCTGGCCACTCTCCCTGCTCCCTCATTGTGTTCCTGCCAGACTGGACTGTGAGCCCTGCACGGGCTAAGACAGAGCAATCTTTTTTTTTTTTTTTTTTTTTTTGAGACAGTGTCTTGCTCTGTTGCCCAGGCTGGAGTGCAGTGGCGCGATCTCAGCTCACAGCAATCTCCACCTCCTGGGTTCAAGCAATTCTCCTGCCTCAGTCTCCCGAGTAGCTGGGACTACAGGTGCACGCCACCATGCTGGCTAATTTTTGTACTTTTAGTAGAGATGGGGTTTCACCATGTTGGCCAGGCTGGTCTTGAACTCCTGACTTCAAGTGATCCACCTGCCTGGGCCTCCCAAAGTGCTGGGATTACAGGCATGAGCCCACCATGCCCAGCCGAGAGCAGTCTTCTTACTGTAGCATTCCCAGCACTGGGACAGTTCTTGGGACCTAATAGATGCTCAGTACACCCTCTAGAGTGAATGAAAGCCTCAGTTTCCTCCTCTGGAAAATTATATTACTATACTTGCCTCGTAAGACTGAGTGAGGATTAGTGACATTGTTCAGGTGACATGCTCAATTAGTGCTCACAAGCACAGTGACTTGGATTTGTGTTCCCAGAGGGGGCCCACCCACCACCCCCACTTACTTCCCTCCACTGGAGAAGTTCAGGGTCAGTAAACCACTTAGCCTCAGGAGGACAAAGTATTAGGGAGTTGGAACCTGGCCATTGTTGGGTAGGTGTTTAGGGGCTAGGTTCAACCACTGGGATGACAGGGCCAGTGTTAAATGCACACATGCCAGTGGAAATGAGACCTGACCACAGGAGGCTCAAAGGGCTGTGTCCTGATGTCTCATGGGCAGATGGGAAACTGAGGCAGAGAAAGCCAGAGGACTTGTCTGCTGGGCCTGTGATGGGTGTGACCTAGGTCCCCCTCCACCCCTTGAGATGGGTTGCTCCAGTCTCACTCACACCTTGCACTCAAAGGAAAACAGAAGTCCTTCGACTGATCACATGTCAGTAATTAACCTTGACTGGAGGAAGATACTTGAGGCCCAGGGCACAGAATTTTGGGAAATTGTATATGAGTGAAAGGGTAAATTGTGTGTTGAAGATAAGGACCAATGCTGGCAGGATCTGAGGCATATGGAGGGTTTGTCCATTCATTCATTTATACACTCATCCTTTTTTCATTCAGCAAGTATATACTGGATGCTTCCTGTGCACCAGTCATTGTGTATGAGCTAGAGATACAGGGTGAAGGTGATAGACAATGAACAAGGGTGAATTTTTAATGTTACTGTTACAGGAAAGGGGTCCCGATCCAGACCCCAAGAGAGGGTTCTTGGATCTTGTGCAAGAAGAAATTCAGGACGAGTCCATAAAGTGAAAGCAAATTTATTAAGAAAGTAAAGGAATAGCCAGGCGCGGTGGCTCATGCCTGTAATCCCAGCACATTTGGGAGACCCAGGTGGGTGGATCACCTGAGGTCGGGAGTTTGAGACCAGCCTGGTCAATGTGGTGAAACCTCGTCTCTACTAAAAATACAAAAATTACCCTTGCGTGGTTGTGGGTGCCTGTAGTCCCAGTTACTCGGGCGGCTGAGGCAGAAGAATTGCTTGAACCCAGGAGGTGGAGGTTGCAGTGAGCTGACATCATGCCACTGCACTTCAGCCTGGGTGACAGAGCCAGACTCTGCCTCAAAAAAAAAAAAAAAAGAAAGTAAAGGAATAAAAGAATGGCTACTCCATAGACAGAGTAGCCCCAAGGGCTGCTGGTTGCCCATGTTTATGGTTATTTCTTGATGATATACTAAACAAGTGGCAGATTATTCATGCCTCCCCTTTTTAGACCATATAGGGTCACTTCCTGATGTTGCCATGGCATTTGTAAACTGTCATGGCCCTGGTGGAAGTGTAGCAGTGAGGACGACCAGAGGTCACTCTCATGGCCGTCTTGGTTTTGGTGCTGGCTTCTTTACTGCAGCCTGTTTTATCAGCAAGGTCTTTATGCCCTGTATCTTGTGCTGACCTCCTATCTCATCCTGTGACCCAGAATGCCTAACCATCTAGGAATGCAGCCCAGTAGGTTTCAGCCTTATTTTACCCAGTTCCTATTCAAGATGGAGTTGCTCTGGTTTAAACGCCTCTGACGTTACCAGAAGTGAGCTTCCTAGTGGCCAAAGTAGGAAGGAGAGAAGCCTGAGCAGTTGTCAGCTCCACTGTGGCCACAAGATGCCAACATGCTAGTTGCTCAGGAGAAGCCCAGGTTTTCCTGGCACAATTAGTATCTGAGACACCCATGTCCACTGTGATTTGTTGCTCATGTGACGGAGCAACACACAAGGAGCTGTGCATCCTTACAGGTGAAGACTGACCACAGCAGAGAAAAACTTCAAAGACAAATTTAACACAGCTACCAGAGACAGAGACTCTTTTTTCTTTTCTTTTCTTTTTTTTTTTTTTTTTTGAGATGGTATCATTCTGTCGCCTAGGCTGGAGTGCAGAGACGTGCAATCACGGCTCACTGCAACCTTGAACTACTGGCCTCAAGCAATCCTCCTGCCTCAGCCTCCCAAGTAGCTGGGACCACAGGCACGCACCACCATGTCTAGCTGATTTTTAAATATTTTTTGCAGAGACAGGATCCTCCTTGTTGCCAGGCTGGTCTTGAACTCCGGGCTTCCAGGCACTTGACCTCCCCAAGTGCTGAGATTATAGGCGTGAGCCACTGCGCTCAGCTGAGACTCCCTTTTCATGCATTTCCTTGCATTCTTCTTTCTTCAAACCTTTGCCTATGTTATTTGACAACCCGCCTCAATTTGCCTTCCATCTCTCCACTCACCTCTTAAAGGCCAGGTGGTAATGCCTCCCTATGGTGGGGCAGCATAGCAGGTGTCTGTCCACTCTCTGACCCTCACTTCTGTTCCCCTAGACTGCCAGGAACTCCTGCCACCGCCACCGGCTCCCATGGCCCACATACCCAGTGGGGGTGCCCCAGCAGCGGGGGCAGCCCCCATGGGCCCCCAGTATTGCGTGTGCAAGGTGGAGCTGTCAGTGAGTGGCCAGAACCTACTGGACCGGGATGTTACCTCCAAGTCCGACCCCTTCTGTGTCCTCTTTACAGAGAACAATGGCAGATGGATCGAGGTGAGGCTCTTCCGTGTGTCTGCGGTGGGTAAGGGGGTGGCTAGGCTGCTGGGGAGGGGGAGTCTCCCAGGACTGGGATCCAGGATGTCTGATGGAAGTAGTTGGAGTGTGGGCTGGTGGCAGGGGATTACTTGGTAAATTGTTACTCTTAAAATGAAATTTTATTTTAAATATATTTAAAATATTACTTTGTGTTTAAATTATTACAATTAAAATCTATAGATTTATATTTATATGATTTATAGTGATTATTTGATATCTTTTTTTTTTTTTTGAGACGGAATCTCTCTGTCCCCCAGGCTGGAGTGCAGTGGTGAGATCTCAGCTCACTGCAACCTCTGCCTCCCAGGCTCAAGCAATTCTCCTGCCTCAGCCTCCCGATTAGCTGGGGCTACAGGTGTGCACCCCACGCCCAGCTAATTTTTGTATTTTTAGTAGAGACATGGGTTTTCGCCATGTTGGCGAGGCTGGTCCTGAACTCCTGACCTCAAGCAATCCACCTGCCTCCACTTCCCAAAGTGCTGGGATTACAGGCATGAACCACCACGCCCCATCTTGTTATAAATTGTTATATATAGTTAACATTTTATAGTTTTATGAAATGTTTGCTTCCGCTTTTAAATAACCTTTCTAAATGAACACATGGTCAGTAAGAAACAGAGAAACAGTGAGCTCAGGCTTTGGGAGCTGGTCCAAGGCCCAGTGATGCTACTCCCTGCTGTGTGGCCTTAAGCAAGTAGCTGTCCCTTTCTGAACCTGTCTCCTCATCTGTGAAATTATTATATATTTTTTTTCTGCTGACTCCCTTGGAAGGCCCCAGATCTGGGGATATTAATGGTGCCCCAGGCAAGGACTTCTGAGCTGGAAGACTTTGGCTTGAAGGTTGGAAAGAGTTGCAGCTTGAGGAAGGATGTTGAGAAACCTAAGCTGTTCAGACCTTCAGGTTTTAAAACTTGCTTTGCTTTTGCAAAAGGAAACTATTGGAGTAAATGTAGAGAATCCAGATAAACCTAAAGGAGAAAATCAAAATTGTTAGGAACCCACCTGTCATAGAGAACCACTGTTAACCGTTTGGTATCCAGCCTTCCAGATGGCTTTATATGCATGTATATTTCCCAAAATATGTGTGTATTTTTTAATGGATATTTAACTAGGCCACGGTGGGAGTTCACCTGAACATACTGTGGTTTACAAAGAGTTCCCATGGATGTTGGCTCCTTCTTGTGATGCCAAGAAAACGGTGTGGGATTGTTGACCCACTTTACAGAGGGGGAAACAGGGGCCCCAGAGTGGGTAGGGACTTTTTTGTGTCACCCAGCTTGTTGATGGTACAACTGTAAGTGGGAGGTGGGACATGGGGCCAGCTGAGGACTCCTGGGGGAGCCACAAGCCTGTGAGAGGCATGTCTGGGGGCACAGTTCCCTTCCACCAGGTCTCTAGAACCCTTGAGTGCCCCGAGGGAGTGGTATCCCCCTGACTCATAGCACAATCCCCCACCCTCCCTGACAACCTCTGCCCCCACCCAGGCCAGCCACCCTGGCTAAAAATAGCCCAGGGCCAAGACCTCCTCCGTCCCTGCTGCTCCAGCCCTTGGAAATGGACTGGGTGGGAGGAAAAGTCAACACAGCCTGGGCCCCAAAATAGACTGTCACCCAGACTCCGCGGTTTGGGGCCTCAGCATCCAGAGGCCAGGAGGCGGGTTTCCTGTCCCAGTGCCACCACTGACCCACAGTACCAGGCCCTGTCCTCAGCCAGGCTTTGGTATCCACAGTAGGTGGGGTGTTGGGCTGCACAGTGTCAGGATTCTATACAAGATACAAATATCTCCCCGCGCTCCCGTGGGGAGTCCCTGACCCCACCTCCCCCGAAGAATCCTCCCTGCTTTCTGTTTCCTCTCTCAGTTTCCATGTAAAACATGGTTTGAAAAAGGGTTTTCCCAAAATAAAAAGTGAAAACCGCAAGTAGTCAAATCCTTTCCCTTTACAGAGGTGGAAACGGAGGCCCAGATGGGGAAAGGGCCTTGTCCTCCATCTCTTACCCAGGCAGGGGCAGGGCCTGAGCTCTTACCCTGGCACCTGGGTAGGGAGCCAGGGCCAAAGAATTAAGAGTGTGGGTAGCAGAGTCAGACCTCGGTTTCAAATCTCGGCCCTGCTCCACAAGCTGTCCAGCCCTGGGGAAGTCACTTAACCTCTCTGTGCTTCAGTGTCCTTGTCTGTGAGCTGGGGATAGTGAGTCACTGACGATGACCACAAGAGCCTGGCACAGAGTAGGCATTGTACAAGTTAGCAGAATGATTTCCAGCAGCCTGCGAGGTCTTGGACCAGCTGCCTTGACTCTGACTTCCATTTTCCTGCCCCTCTGCTAGTACGACAGGACAGAAACCGCGATCAACAACCTCAACCCCGCCTTCTCCAAGAAGTTCGTGCTTGACTACCACTTCGAGGAGGTACAGAAGCTCAAGTTCGCGCTCTTTGACCAGGACAAGTCCAGTATGCGGCTGGACGAGCATGACTTCCTGGGCCAGTTCTCCTGCAGCCTGGGCACGGTGAGCTGGGCCCTCCTGGGTGGGAGCAGGGGCCCAAAGACCGGGCAACCCCTCAAAAAGTCTCTTCTCGTGCTGTCTTTCCCTAGCCCCATCTTCCTGGGTGGGTCCCAAAGTGCAGATGCAGAGTGGGGAACAGTCTTGGCGGGTTCAAGGCCGGGCTGAAGAGCTCCCATCTGGAGAGGCAGCCAAACAGAATGCCTCTCAGGATCTGGGGCCCCAGGTGGCCAGGGATTCCGATTGTTAGATATAATCAGGTGTGGTCTTGACCTCTGGGGGTAGGAGCATCTGACCAGCAACCAAGACACCCACAGTAGTCCCGCTTTGTGGCAGACTCACTGTGTGACCTTGAGAAACTTCCTTTCCCTCTCTGGGCCACACTTCCCCATCCATCTCAGTCCTTGGTAAGCTCCTGGAGGCCGGGAGCAAGCGGGGCTAGGCGCCCCTGACACAAGTCTCAATCATTCCTTATGGCTGTATGCCCTTGGATAAGCTCCCATCCCCCTCTGGGCCTCAGTTTCCCCACATTTTCCTTGGGGATTATGATGACTGCTCTGCCCAGCCTACATGGTTGATAAGGGAATGAAATGGAAAATGCTTTGAGGGGTCCTAGTGGAGACTGAAATGCCCGGGGCCTTCCAGGAGATGGTGACCATGCAGAAAGCAAGGGACTGCCATGGTTGTGATGTCTACTTTTTGCGTAAGAAGCAGGGTACAGTAGTCAGGGTCCCTACCCTGTGGTATAACTGAGAAGAGAGCTTAAGGGCTTGTGGACAGGGCAGGGAACTGACAAGGGATGGGGAAACCAGTCCAGGGCTTGGCCCCAGAGGAAAGCTGACCACCTTCACCTGGAAGGAAGGCAGGGTGAGGAAGTGGCATTGCCAGGGCCTGGTAAGACCTGTGGCCCATAGAGGGAGGCCTCTGGACTGCAACTGAGGCAGAAGACAGAGTAATGGAGAAGCTCCCATCAAACGGGGGCCCCCACCTCTCACGCCACCTGCTCTCCCGTCTCCTGCCCATCCCCCCAACTGGCTGAACCTCTGAAAGCCAGAGGGCAAAAGAGCCAGGTGGCACAGTCCCCAGGGCACAGAGCAGGTGTGTGGATCTGCGGAGAAGAACTAGCCCCACAGGAGCAGGACTAGATCATACTGATGTGTGCTCCCCGCTGCACAGGACGACGCTCGCACTGCACCCAGGAAGCACGAACCATGCTGGCCCCTGAGTGCAGTGGGCAGACACAGGTGGGAGGGTGACTTTGCAATGTGGCCCACTTTTCCTCTCTATGTTGTTTTGATTATTGCACCCTGTGTAAGTGTATTACCTATTGAAACCAATAAAAATAGAAAGAATTGGCCGGGCTCTATAGCTCATGCCTGTAATCCCAGCACTTTGGGAGGCCAAGGCGGGAAGATCGCTTGAGCCTGGAGTTCGAGACCAGCCTGAGCAACATAATGAGCCCTTGTCTCTACCAAAAAAAAAAAAAAAAAAAAAAAAAAGCCAGGCGTGGTGATGCATGCCTGTAGTCCCAGCTACCCAGGAGGCTGAGGTGGGAGGATCGCTTGAGCCCAGGAGGTTGAGGCTGCAGTGAGCCGTGATCGAGACCTGTCTCAAAAGGAAAATACATAGAATCTGAGCTTGACTCTGTCCATCAGAGATCATATCCTGAGGCAGGTGGGGTCTGTGGAATGCCTCTGGAGGAGGGAGTTAGGGGGCTAACCTCCCACAGTTGTCTCCAAAATGCCTTTTCCTAGGGGCAAACCAGGCAGTGGGAGTCCAACTGCAGCGGGAGACCTCAGGCGGGTCTCTTACCCTCTCTGGGCCTCAGGCTCCTCACTGCCCAGATTGGCTGCTGTCCACCTCCCAGGGTGATGATGATGCTCAGGCGGGTCACCAGCCAGCCAGGGCGGGGTGCAGCCCTGCCAAGAGGATTTTTCCGGTGCCGGTGGAGGATTTTTCCTTCCCGGGCTTCCCCCGCTTCCTCACTGAGCGCCCTTTCTCCTCTCTCCCCTAGATCGTCTCCAGCAAGAAGATCACTAGGCCTCTGCTGCTGCTGAATGACAAGCCTGCGGGGAAGGGCTTGATTACGGTACCAGTCCCCTCCCGGCTCTCCGCACCCCCTCCATCCCCACCCCACACCCTCCCCCATCAATGGGCCGCTTCCCTGGCAGATAATCACCAGCTTTGTTTGGAGTAAAAAGGCCCAACTTACAACTTAGCAACAGGTCTCTTAGCAACCGGCTGCTGGCTCCACAAATGATGCAGTGGGGGCTGACAAGCTGGGGAGGCCTCCAGAGCCCTGCCAGCAGCCCCCTCCCTGCACTGGCCCCTGCCTGCCCTCCCCTGGGGGTCGTTCAGAAGTGCCCTGCCCATCAGTGCCCTGCTTGTGGCTGCGACGCGCAATGATTCCTGCAATGCGCAACGACTCCCGCGATGCGCAGTAATTCCGCTGGAGATGCACAGGCCCTTCGCCCGGATGAGCTCCTTGGTCTTCAAAGACTCCCAGAAGCCAGGGCCACCCCTGAGACCCAGAGAGGAAGTTCCCTGGGGCAGCTGAGCTAGCGAGATCGTCCCCTGGTTGTCTGGCTGGCTTCTGAGCCCACGCGATGCCTGGGAAGCCGGCCAGGCTGGAGGGAGAAGCCATGCCTTTGTGTGTTCCCGTGTGTTACTCCCCTGTCCTGGAACCTCACATGGCTCCCCACTGCCTGACCAACCCTTCGGTTCAAGGCTGTGAAGGACCCCTCAGACCCTGCCTGGCTCTCCTGCCTTGGTGTTTTTTTAATCTCCTTCACTTAAATGCCCTGCGTTCAAAGCAAACTGAATTCTTAGCATATCCTGAACATACCTCAGGCTCTTACTCTGTTCCTGCCCCCACGGATCACCACCTCCCAAACAACCTCCCCCAACCTCTTGGTTCCTAACTGGCCCATCTAAATGCCTTCCCAGGCCAGGTGCATGGCTTGCACCTGTAGCACTACTCCTTGGAAGGCTAAGGCAGGAGGATCCCTTAAGGCCAGGAGTTTGAGGCTGCAGTGGGTTATGATCATGCTACTGCCCTCCAGCCTGGGCAAGAGAGTGAAACCCCATCTCTGAATGAATGAATGAATGAATGCCTTCACAAGGCAGCTTCCACCTAGAAGCCATCTCAGACAGACCCCACTCACCCGGGTATGCCATCACCCCAGCATTTCTGGCAGTTCCACTCTAGGCCTCCATCCCGTCCCCTGGGAAATGGGGGTGATAATAGGACCTACCCTATAGGGTTGTTGAGCAAGTCCCAGTGGGAGGACGGCAGGGGAGAACGGGCAACATGGCTGGCCTCTGTCTGTGGGTCCAGAGGGCCAGATGCCTTGCGCTGGGTGAGGCCATCCTAGAGGCAGGAGAGGAGAGGAGGCCCCAGCGAAAGGCCCCAGCCCACTTGTGTTGCTGTGGGCAGCAGGGGAGGGAGAGAGGCCTACAGGGGGCCTCAGCAGTCTCGAAGTCGCCCAGCTAGGCCATCACTGGCTGGGCTGGGGTCAGGGAACCATAGCTGATGGGGAATGCATGGAGGACAGATGACCAATGTGAACTGATGGGACTCAGTTTCTCCCCTGGGCCTCAGTTTCCCTAGCTGTACAATGAAGTGGCTGTGATGCTGACACCTTGGTGTTCTGAGGAAGCTGTGCTCTCTGTGGCTGCCGCAGGGGCAGGAGAAGGCCGGTCATGCTGCTCTCTGGGCCAGAACCTCTCCCCGGGACTCAAGACCACCCCCGGTGTCTGGTCCTTGCTTCATCTCTGCCCACCACCCCATGGGCCCTGCGGATTTGCGTAGATCCGCTTCCTGACTCCTCATCTCCAGATGGGTTATTTTCCGCATTTTCCAGAAGATGGAAACTGAGGTGTGGGGAAGACAAGAGATTTGTCCAAGGTCACCTGGAACTGCCCTTCCCTTCCCCCTCCTAGCCCTGGAGGATTGCTCCTGGGGCACCCTGTGCCATCCTGCCTGGCAGGAGGCTGGGGGAGTCTGAGGAGCCCCTCATGTCCCGGCCTTACAGATCGCTGCCCAGGAGCTGTCCGACAACCGCGTCATCACACTAAGCCTGGCGGGCAGGAGGCTGGACAAGAAGGTAAGGCGGGCAGAGGAAGGGCTCCCATTGGGAACAGTAGCCCCCACCAGCCCCAGGGCTGTGTGGCCTCATTCCGGGACCTCGGGCCACCACCTCCATCACATTCTAGGGACTGGTCCAGCACGGGGCCCTCCTGGCCACTCCAGATTAGGACTCCTTCACCTCTGAGGTAGTGAGTGTTCCATCCCTTAGGGGTATTCAAAACACACCTGGAAACCTGCTCATTGGGGCATCCCCATCTCACTTAGTGTAAGTACATTCCAAGGTCCTTACCCAATGGGGCCCTGCCTGATGTGTCCCCAGTGCCCCGACTCTCCGACCTCACCCCTCCTCCCCGCACCTCACTCTGCTTCAGCCAAACCTAGCCCCTTGTCCGTGAATTAAACGAGGCACTCTCCTCCCTCAGGAGCTTTGCACTTGCTGTTCCCTCTGCCTGGGATGCTCTCTTCCTTGAATTTTCTCACGGCACCCTCTCACCTCCATCAAGCCTTTGCTCCCACATCACCTCCTCAACGAGGCCTTCCCTGAAATTGGTCTTCAATTTCCCACCCCCTCCTTCTCGTCTCCTTAACACTATTACTGTCTAGCATACTTTCTTTCTTTTTTTTTTTTTTTTGAGACAGAGTCCTGCTCTGTTGCCCAGGCTGGAGTACAGTGGTGTCATCTCAGCTCACTGCAAGCTCCGCCTCCTGAGTTCATGCCATTCTCCTGCCTCAGCCTCCCGAGTAGCTGGGACTACAGGCGCCTGCCACCACGCCCAGCTAATTTTTTTTTTTTTTGTACTTTTAGTAGAGACGGGGTTTCACTATGATAGCCAGGATGGTCTCGATCTCCTGACCTTGTGATCCGCCTACCTCGGCCTCCCAAAGTGCTGGGATTACAGGCTTGAGCCACCATGCCTGGCCCATACCTTCTTTACTTATTTTCTGTCTCCCTAACTTGAATATAACCTCTTTAAAGTAACAGTTGCCAGGTGCAGCGGCTCACACCTGTAATCCCAGCTACTTGGGAAGCTGAAGCAGGAGGATCACTTGAGGCCAGGATTTTGAGACCAGCCTGGGCAATATAGTGAGACCCCATAGATGGATGGATGGATGGATGGATGGATGGATGGATGGATGGATAGATAGATAGATAGATAGAGTGAGTCACATACAAAAAGTGGCACTTTTTAAACCTTAAATGATTTTTTAAAGGCCATGATATTCCTTATGTCATGTGCAGGATAGTTTCAGTTTTTCACATTCCCAATAAAATAAACTGAAATGACACCCTGCTGGGAGCCTCACCCTACCTTGGGAATAGTCACCCTCTTGAAGTCCTGGCCCATCTAAAATGCCGGAGTTCTGACTCACACAGGCTCTGAGTCTTGGAGGGTCTCTGAGCACAAGCTCTGACAGCCTCAGGGTGGGGGGTTTCTGCTGGGGGACCTGGTTGATCCCAGGGGGCTGCAGCTGCCCTGGGCCTCTTGCTGAGCCTTGCAGAGTCTGAGGGGAGGGGGCCAGGCTGGCTCTGCCCACAGCTCCTATCCTGACACCCGGCTGGGGAGGCAGCAGGGCCACACCCCCATCTGCCTGAACCTAGCAGGGCTGTACCTCTCTCACCCGCATCCTCCCACTTCTCCCAGGACCTCTTTGGGAAGTCAGACCCCTTTCTGGAGTTTTATAAGCCAGGAGACGATGGCAAGTGGATGCTGGTCCACAGGACTGAGGTGGGTACGTGGGGGCCCAGGGATCTCTAAGCAGTGGGCCTGCAGTCCAGCCCCTCCACAGCTCTGAAAAAGGGAGGTGCGGTCACAGCCGCTCAGTGTGCAGGAAAACCCACAGTGGCACCTGAGGGATATGCTTCCTCCCAGCCACAGGGACGCTCACTTCTGTCTCTGGAAGTGTGGCTGTGGGTCTGCATTTTGTCACCCTGTCCCCATTGGGCTGACCCAACCCCAGAGCACTGCTGCCCAGGGCCTGAGCTCACAGCATCCCTCTCTGTCCCACAGGTGATCAAGTACACACTGGACCCTGTGTGGAAGCCATTCACAGTGCCCTTGGTGTCCCTGTGTGATGGGGACATGGAGAAGCCCATCCAGGTGAGGGGGCTCTGGGGACCCTGCTCCCCACCTTGCCAGCTCCAGCCTCCCAGTCTACCTGAGGCTCCCGGGGATGCCTTGTAGAAAGCTCTTTCTCATACAAGTGGAACGAACCCCCATCTTTGGAGGAGGGAGGACTGGAGACTGGGTCCTCATCCTGGATCTATCTGATGCCCTGAAGTACCCGGGCAGGGCCCCCACCTTTGAGCCCCTCTCTAAAACTCTCTTGCCCTCCCCAGAGGGCTGCAGAGCTGCTAGCTAGGGAAACACCTTGGAAATTATCAAATTTGGCATGATGAGGACAGTGATTACCAGTCTCTCTAAAAGCTCTCAGTCCTCTGGCTGAGTGCAGTGTCTCATGCCTGTAATCCCAGCACTTTGGGAGGCTGAGGCAGGTGGGTCACTGGAGGTCAGGAGTTCAAGACCAGCCTGGCCAACATGGGAAAACCCCATCTCTACTAAAAATACAAAAATTAGCCGAGCATGGCGGTGCACGCCTGTAGTCCCAGCTACTCAGGAGCCTGAGGCAGGAGAATCACTTGAATGTGGGAGGCGGAGGTTGCAGAGCCCAGATTGAGCCACTGCACTCCAGCATGGGTAACAGAGCAAGATTCTGTCTCAAAAAAAAAAAAAAAAGTTATAGGCCGGGCGCGGTGGCTCATGCCTGTAATCCCAGCACTTTGGGAGGCCAAGGTGGGTGGATCACGATGTCAGGAGATTGAGACCACCCTGGCCTCTCACGTGAGGCCTCTCACCCACCCTCTCACGGTCTTTAGTAGAGACCGTCTCAAAAAAAAAAAAAAATTATAAAATAAAATCAAATAAATAAAAAATAAAAGCTCTTGGTCCCCAGGGGCTGGGTCTGAGAGCAGATGGGACTGGGGAGACAGCTAGGTCAGGACAGAGATTCCCAAGTAGGATACCAGGAATCTTAGGTTCTAGTACTGGGTCTGCTACTGCTGCTGTGAGACTTTGGGCAGGTACATCTCTTTCAGGGCCTCAGTTTACCCATCAGTGGGATGGGAACAATAATCCCTGCCTTCCTCCTAGGAGGGCCATAGCAGCTCAGACAGCATATAAAGCTGTGATTTCTGTGCTCATCTCAGAAAAAAATATGTCTAGAGAGGGCCCCAGGCCATAAGCTGGGTGGGTCACAACCCGAGGTGGAGGGGGAGCCATTTGCCAGGTGTATAAGGAGTGGAGTTGCCTGCACTAGAGGGTACAGCCTCCATCAGTGGGGCAGACACACTTTCTCCTTTTCCCAGCAATCACAGAAGTCTTCCTGCAGGAGGCAGTTCAGGAGCTATCCAGGCCAGCTAGGCAGATGCTGAGGAGAGGCACTACCCAAACAGAAGACAGAGGGTTTGCTTGGGGAGTTGAGAGGGGCTGGAGAGCACCTCTTGGGGGACAGCTCTGGGGTGACCGTGCTGAACCCACCCCAGGTCATGTGCTACGACTATGACAATGACGGGGGCCATGACTTCATCGGCGAGTTCCAGACCTCAGTGTCACAGATGTGTGAGGCTCGAGACAGCGTCCCGGTGAGATGGGCACGTGTACTGTAACCCCAAGACCTCAGCAGGGCTGGGGGAAGGGGCACCGGGTCTTGGGTCAGGCAGCCTGGGGCTGAGATCCCCCTTCTGGCTGCATGACCTTGAGCAAGGCATTCAATCTAAGACTCAGTTTCTCCATCTGTCAATGGGGGCAGAGGATTTGGGTGGGGATTGAATGAGATGATGCAGGCGAAGTGCCCAGCATATAGTGAGCAGTCAGGAGCTATCCATTTAAGTCATTCCGTGATGTTGGGCCCTCAGCTGGACAGTTTGGGGGTGCGTTATCTGGGGAGGAGGGAGGCAGATGCTGATCCTGCTACCATTTTTGGGTGTGGACATCCTGGGAGGCTCCCTGGAGGAAGCATGCTGCCCCCATTGTCAAGCCTGTGGAAGGGATTCTAGGGCCAAGGAGGAGGATCTGTTTCCAAAGAAGCCCCGAGGTGAGTGTCTCTTTCTTTTGCGTTGCCCAGCTGGAGTTCGAGTGCATCAACCCCAAGAAGCAGAGGAAGAAGAAGAACTATAAAAACTCGGGCATCATCATCCTGCGATCCTGCAAGGTGAACCAGCGTGGGCAAGCACGAGCCAGGGGCCAGGTTTCAGGCCACACAGAAGGGACAGACAGAGCACTGGATCTGGAGCCAGCGAGGCCTGTGTTCAAATCCCGGCTCTGCCACATCCTGGCCCTATGGCCTTCTGAGCTTCACCTCACCAGGCCTCAGTCTCCTCATCTGTGGAATGGAGATATTAACGAGGCAGAGCATGTCCAGGGTTACTCTTCTCTCACATTCCTGTGTGGAGGCCAGGGAAGGCACGAGCTGACCTTCCAGGGCCTGTCCTGGTGGGAGAATTGTCATTGCGAGTTGCTGCCGCCCACGGTGGGCATGCAAGGGGCAGAGGACATTGGGTGGGGACACCCTGTCCTCTCTGGCATCAGCGTCACTGTGACTCCCATGGTACAGCCGGGGCCACTGAGGCCCAGAAAGGCAATGAAGTTCATGTCAGCAGTGGCCAGGCTGTGGGTGGGGGCCAGAAGACCTGGTGGGCAAATAACTGCTGGATCTGGCAGAACATTAAGGAAGGCAGCCTGGGGCAGGAGAGCAAGAGACCTGGGCTCAGGGCCTGACAGCTCAGGAGTCTGGCCGCTGCTCTCCACCAGCAGGTGGATCCCAGACTCCCACCTTATTTGGAGCCTCGTCTGGCTAGGGTTTACACGAACATTCAGTGGTGTCACGACAAAAAAGCACTCCGTTAAAGGTCAAGATGTCAGGTTGCAGCCTTGTGATGGATGGTCCTTGTTTCTGAAGTTTCCATCATTCACATCACTTTTCACAATTTCTGGCACCTGCCTTACTTATTTTTTTGAATCAGTCTTTCTTCCCTGTATTATTGTTTTTTGTTTTTGTTTTTGAGACAGAGTCTCACTGTGTTGCCCAGGCTGGAGTGCAGTGGCGTGATCTCAGCTCACTGCAACCTCCGCCTTCCAGGTTCAAGGGATTCTCCTGCCTCAGCCTCCCAAATAGCTGGGATTACAGGTGCATGCCACTACGCCTGGCTAATTTTTGTGTTTTTAGTAGAGATGGGGTTTCATTATGTCGACCAGGCTGGTCTTGAACTCCTGACCTCAAGTGATTTGCCTGCCTTGGCCTCCCAAACTGCTAGGATTACAGGAATGAGCCACTATACCTGGCCTGTTTCTTTTCTCTTTTTTTTTTTTTTTAACTTAAATACATTTATTTAGAAAGAGATTATTAGAACTCTACCAAAATTAAAAGATCTGCCTTCTTTGCCAAAAAGAGACAAAGACCATCAAAACAACTTCTAGAGGAAGGCCTTGAGCTGGAGGCCTGCTCTTTCTCTTTGTTAAAAAGGTAGATTAATAAGGGCCAGGAGAAGGTAAGTACCTAACAGTGACAAATTGAGACACTCTGTGTCAGGTAACTGACACTGGGCCCTGGCACCCTGCCTGGAACCAGCATGTGTCTGTGTATCTGTGGGGTGTGGGGGTCTCTGTGAGTCCCCCACCCATTAGGAACCATTGCACTGAAGGCTTTGTTATAGAGAGATTTGGGTTTTGTTGTAATTAGATCAGGCCCATCAGCTTTTTTTGACCTCCTTGTCCCTACTGAGGTTGCAGGACATAGAGCAACAACTCCCCCATGGGGAGTGTGACCAAGTCAAGGGGACCCACTGACTCATCCGCTTTCTTCCAGATAAACCGAGACTACTCCTTCCTTGACTACATCCTGGGAGGCTGCCAGCTCATGTTCACCGTAAGGCTCTCCCCGCTGGCTCCCTCTGCACCCCCATCCCAGTGAGGGTCCTCCCTGAAGACTTGGGCCACTAGTGCAGCCAGAGGGACTTAGGGTAGACTTCAGGAAGGACTTCCCTGGGGCAAAGAGTGTGTGCGGCCTAGTGAGGAGGGCATAAGTGGGCTGTCTGGTCCTGCTGGGTGTGCCTGAGTTGGGGCTTAACTACAGGTCAGAGCACAGCTGCACAGCTTTCAGTCTGGTGGCTACACTCCTTCTGCGGGTGGAGGAAAACAAATTCCTCCTCACTGGCCACAAGGCCTTCAGCGATCCCTGCCTCCTTCATCTGCAGCCTCCTTCCTCCTTGCTCACTGGGCTCTAACCACACTCTTCCTCTGTTTGCCCAACATGCCAAGCTTTGCTTCATGTTAGAACTTTGCATTTGCTGTTCCTTCTGCATTTGTTGTTCCCTCTGCCTGAAACACTTCCCCAGAACCTTTGCATGGCTGCCTACCTGCCATTTTTCAGGCCTGAGGAGGTAACGGAGGTCACCTTCCAGGGAGCCCTCCCTCCCTCAATGCCTTGCTGCTCCTCTGTCATATCTTCCTATTTTCTTTCTTTTCTTTTCTTTTCTTTTCTTTTTTTTTTTTGAGACAGCGTCTCATTCTGTCACGTGGTCTAGAGTGCAGTGGCACGATCTCAGATCACTGCAGCCTCCACCTTCAGCTCTCAGTTGATCCTCCCACCTCAGCTTCCTGAGTAGCTGGGATTACAGGTGCATGCCATCATGCCCAGCTAATTTTTGCATTTTCTGTAGAGATGGGGTTTTGCTATGTTGCCCAGGCTGGTCTCAAACTCCTGGGCTCAAGCGATCTGCCCACCTTGGCCTCTCAAAGTGCTAGGATTACAGGCATGAGTCACTGGGCCTGGCCCTCACTATTTTCCTATTTTCTGGGCACTTGCCGCCCCGAGATTCATATGCATTTGTCGCTTCTCCCTGATCGTCGCACCCACTGGAATGTGAGTGCTTTTAAGTGTGGGCACTTTGTTTATTTTGCTTCCACTCCAACCCCAGCATATCACACAGTAACTGGCACATAGCAGGTGCTCCATCATTTCTCGTTGGAAGAATGAACTGCCACCTTGCCTGTGGCCTGGAGTCTTTGCCCCACAGACTCTGTGCCACTCATCCTGGCTTTGCTTCCTCACCCCAAGGGAGCCTCAGGCCCAGAAGGGAGGAAGCTGCTGGGGTGCCACGCTCTGCCCACCTCCCCATGTTGTCTCACCGTTCCCCATCACCACCCCTAGATCCTAATGGGAAATGGAGGGCATCACAGGATGCCATGGAGTCAGAGGATTGGCCTTGCTGACTTCTGACCCTGCTGCCCACCACTGCCCCCTCCCCTGCACAGAGGCCAGGCCCTCCTGTTCCTCCTGCACGAGTTTGTTCATTCAGCGAACTCACACTGACTGCCTCCTTTGTGCCGGGCTCTAGGCTGTGTCCCTGCAGCGGTCCCTCAAGGACTAAGACATGCTGCCCCTGACCTGGGGGAGTGACCCTCTAGCCATGTGAGGATTTGGATGGGTGGCCCCTTCTCTCCTACCCCACAGCAACTGAGTTCCCATGTAGCCAAATCTTCCCCGGGGTCCTACTTCTAACCCTCCCCTGCTGGGCAGGGGTTGTTCTTGCCTACCCCTCTGTGCCCTTTCTCCAGGGATTGGGCTGGGATTCTCTGGGGCTGAGAGAGCAGGTAGAGCCCTAGTCCCTGCCTGCCCATCAGCCCCGAGTCCCTGTTAATAAGCACCTGCCTTGTCTGCTGTTCCCAGCCCTGGGCCAGGCTTCTCCAGAGTACGTGCTGCGGTGAGCTCCCAGCTGATCGGGGAGACGGGCACTGCTCTACCAGGCAACCCCAGGTCCCAGGCCCCTTGGTGGTCTGAGGGATAATGGGGAGATGGCTTGGGTTGGGGGTGAGGTTATCTGGGAAGGTTGCAGTGGAGCAGTGGCATCTGAGTTGGGCCTGGAAGATGGAGCAAAGTTAGACGGGAAGAAACGATAGCCTGGCTCTGCATGCAGAGCGAAGCTTATGAATAAATGCCTGCATATGGGAACAGATGAATGTGTGGATAGGGATAGTAAGGAGAAAAAGGAATCTGGGACTGTACGTTAGTCTCTTATGTCATCACATCTAGGCAGTGGACTTTATGCTTGGGCAATAGAGAGCCACAGATGGCATTAGAGCAGAGGAGTGATACAATCAGAGCATTTCTAGGTTTCAGACCATCTTATTGTGGGGAGGGCTGGGAGATGAGTGGGCTTCCCATGTCCCATCTACCTCTCCTATTCCCTGGGAGTGGGATAGGGTGCTGGGGTCTCTGGCCCCACTGGGTGGCCTTTTTCTCCACTCTGCAGGTTGGAATAGACTTTACAGCCTCCAACGGGAATCCCCTCGACCCTTCCTCTTTGCACTATATCAACCCTATGGGCACCAACGAATATCTGTCGGCCATCTGGGCTGTTGGGCAGATCATTCAGGACTACGACAGGTAAGGTTGGAGAGGGGCTCTGAAGGTCAGCTAGGGTTCCATCCAACCTGGGAAGCTCAGTGTATCAAAGCTAGAAGGGACCCAGAGATCATCAAATCTAGGAATGGACAGCAAATGGCATAGGTGCAGTTATTACCCATTCCCATACCCTTGGCAGACATTGCTAATCAATTGCTGAACTCTAACCTGCCAAGCGCAGATTCAAACTGGGATCGTTTTCTACACAGTACACCAAGTAGCCAGTAAGAAAATGAATCATGATGGAAGATTAAACTCATTCATTATTGCTGCATCCTCTCCTTTTAGAGCTGGGGAATGGGAGGCCTGGGGTGGGAGTGGAAAATTTGTTCCAGGTCCCGCAGATCATGGGACCAGAGGCCAGCCATTCTGGTTCCTGGGCCTGGCGCCTAGTTCCCTAATGGTCTCGCTTCTATTGGGAACTTCTGAGGAGCAGCTAGCATGCACGGACCCTCCTCCCATGACCTTGCTTCCTGGGGACCTTTGGGTCGGGCTGGGTACCACGGAAAGTCAGTGAAGGGAAGCTGTGTGAAAGTGTGGCAGGTGTGGCTACCAACAGGATATGACATCACTGTCACAGATGGTGCTGATTGGGAGCTCCAGGTCAGAGGATGGAATGACCAGGAGGCTGACACATTGGGAACAGGGGAGGAAGAAGCAGGTGCCAGAGATTTGGCAGGAAAGACAGCAGGCTCAGGAGCCCTGTGTGGACTTGGCCTCCTAGAGAGGGGCAGCCAGGGATCTGTACAACATGCAGAGCAAGGGAGGTGGAAGTCATCATCAGCATGGTTGGGTGGAGTCCCAGGTGTCCAGCTGCCCATTCAGCCCATCACCGAGCTGTCTAATGGGCATTAAGACTTAGCATGGCCCCAGTGAGCTCTAGATGCCTGGCTGAGCCACCATCACTTTGTGCCCAGATCATTTCATTAGCTTCCTCATCAGTCTCCCTGCTTCTGCCCTGGCCCCCAGCTGTGTGTCCCCTCCACGGCAGCCAAAGGGATCCTTAGTAGATGTCTGTTGAGTGCACATACAAATGAAATGTGGTCCCTGTCCTCAGGGAGTTCTCACTTAAAGAGGAAGATAAGGAAGAAATCGTCGGAGTTCTGAGAGACCAGTTTACATGTGAAGCAGGAGCTATGGGAGCACAAAAAGAGAGGCATTTTAGGGTATCAGGGAAATCTACAGAGCGAAGGGGCCATTTTGATTGGGCCTTAGAGGATGAGTAGGAGTTTGCTAGAGGAAACAGATTAGGGAGAGATGTTACAGATGGGGGCACAACAGCATTGAAGTTGGAATGTGAAGGTACCCTATGTGTTTGGGGAATAGCAAGTGGCCAGTGGCCAGGGCTAGGGGAGTGGGGTGTGAAGGGGCGTGGGTGGAAGGAGATAAGACTAGGCTCTGGGACTGGATGACACAGGACCTTGAATGCCACAGGAGGGTTCTCATATTAGTAGAGTTTTCCCCAGCTATGAGCAGGAGGCTGAGAGACAGCCAGTACATTCATTCTACTTCCATCTTGACCTCCTGACCTTGGTTTAGTGGCTGGCTGAAGTCTCAGTTTGAGAAGGATCTAGAAGCTGTGCCCAGGCCCATTGGTTAGAAGTACCATTGTCGTGTCTGCCACAGGTATAGATGTGGTCAGGCCACATGTTCACCAGGTCCCCAGAGGTGGGTTGGGCTCATTAGGTAGATGATCCTAACAGCTTTTTCTAGAGGTGGTGAGCTCCTCCTTTCTGTCCTTGGAAGTGTATGAGGCAGAGTGGGCCCAGCCCTGGGCAGAGGGTCGGGTGGTGTCCTCAGGTGTCTTACAGTGTGTTTCTCTTCTCTCTCTGATTAGTGATAAGATGTTTCCAGCTCTGGGATTCGGGGCCCAGTTACCCCCAGACTGGAAGGTGAGTGAAACCGGAGTTAGTTTCCTTTTGGTTGAGATGGGGTTTGTGTGTGTGGCCTCTCGGGGATCAGCTCTGGAAAGGTCTTGGGCTGGGGCCCTGTTGCCCTGCCTTCCCTGTGTTCACCCCAGGCCACGCTCATTTCTCAAGCCTGATCCTTGGGCAGGCACTGAGGCTGTAACGGGGCAGCACGTTATGTTCTCTGTTTATGAGACCCATGTGGAGTGGGGGAGACAGATAGGATTGCCAGATGTCGCAAATCAAAATACAAGACACCCAGTTAAGTTTGAATTTCAGGTAAACAATGTTTATTTTTATGTGTTTATTTTTATTTATTTATTTATTTAGAGACAGAGTCTTGCTCTGTTGCCCAGGCTGGAGTGCAGTGGCACAATCTCCACTTACAGCAACCTCCGCCTCCCAGGTTCAAACAATTCTCCTGCCTCAGCCTCCCGAGTAGCTGGGATTACAGGTGCCCACCACCACCCCGCAGCTAACTTTTGTATTTTTAGTAGAGAGTTTTA
The DNA here is from genome assembly GCF_000001405.40 of Homo sapiens. Classification (NCBI taxonomy): domain Eukaryota; kingdom Metazoa; phylum Chordata; class Mammalia; order Primates; family Hominidae; genus Homo; species Homo sapiens. Next base: position 57,128,425 of record NC_000016.10, read on the forward strand.
CCATGTTGACCAGGCTGGTCTCAAACTCCTGACCTCAGGTGATCCACCGGCCTCAGCCTCCCGAAGTGCTAGGATTACAGGCCTGAGCCACTGTGACCAGTGCAGATAAACAATTTTTAAAGTATAAGTATGTCCTGAATATTTCATGGGACATACTTATACTTAAATCATCCATTGTTTATCTGAAATTCAAGGTTTTGTATGGATCTAGGGGTACAAGTATAGTTGTATTACGAGGACGTATTGTGTGAAATATGGACTTTTAGTGTATTCATCACCTAAATAATGTACATTGTACCCAGTAGGTGGCATTTCATCCGTCACCCCTCCATCCTCTCGCTGTGTGGAGTCCTCAGTGTCTGTTATTCCCCTCTGTGTGTCTGTTCTGTGTGCACCCATTGTTTAGCTCCGTCTTATAAGGGAGAACATGCAGTTTTTTGTTTTCTGTTTCTGAGTCATAGTGGGCATCCTGTATTCTATATGGCAACACTAAAGACAGGTAGTGTCATCGGTGCTGAGGTGGGGGCACCGTAGGCCTGTGGGGAGCCGAGGAGGTAACCCAACCCAGCTTGGGGCCATCAGGCTTCCTGGAGGGGGCAAGCTCTAAGCCAAGAGGGGAAAGGGAAGTAGCAGAGTGACTAGAGGTGGCAGTGGGGCAGGGGGAGCCTTCAGGGCAGAGAACAGACTGTGCGAAGCCTGCAGGACGAGCTGGAGGAACTGGCAGAGGTGGGTGATAGACCCTCCATTGGAGGTGAGCAGGGTGGAGACAGATGTGGGCGTTAAAGGGCCACGGGGACCCCTGCAGGGACCACATAGGGGCTCATCAGCAGATTGGCATTTCTAAAGGCCTCTCCTGGCTGCTGAGTGGGGCGTGGCTAGGGCGAGAGTGGGCAGAGTGGAGGGTGGAGAGAAGGGGCGAAGGCAAGGAAACTCAGGGCAGAGGCCAGGACTTTCTGTGTGACCAAGTGAGTGTGGGCCGAAGAGGTCACCAAGATTTCCAACTGGGCACTGAGGCGGGGGTGGTGCTGCTTACTGAGATGAGGAACGGGGTGGGTGCTAGGCTCAGCAGGGGAGATGGTAAGGTGGGAGTCCCAGGAGAAAGGTGGATGATGGCTGGGCACAGTGGCTCACGCCTATAATCCCAGCACTTTGGGACGCTGAGGCAGATGGATCATTTGAGGTCAGAGAGTTTGAGATCTTCCTGGCCAGCATGGCAAAACCCCGTCTCTACTAAAAATACAAAAATTAGCCCAGCGTGGTGGCACATGCCTGTAATCCCAGCTACTTGGGAGGCTGAAGCAGGAGAATCACTTGAACTCGGGAGGCAGTGGTTGCAGTGAGCCGAGATCGTGCCACTGCACTCCAGCCTGGGCAACAGAGTGAGACCCTGTTACAAAAAAAAAGATAAGTGGTTGATGGGTCAATGGGTTTGGGCTCTGGGGAGACAGAGAGAGACCTGGCCACCTGGGCCAGGACCCATGGTGCCACCTCTGGGAGGATGAGATTGCTAGGGAGACAGGTGGAGTGAGAAACAGCCACATGAGGCGGGGTGCAGTGGCTCACACCTGTAATTTCATGCTTTGGGAGGCCAAGGCAGGAGGATTGCTTGAGCCAGGAGTTCAAGACCAGTCTGGGCAACACAGTGAGACCCTGGCTTTACAAAATTTAAAAGTTGGCTGGGTGCAGTGGCTCACACTTATAATCTTAGCACTTTGGGAGGCTGAGGAGGGTGGATCACAAGGTGAGGAGTTCGAGACCAGCCTGGCCAACATGGTGAAACCCCGTCTCTACTAAAAATACAAAAATTAGCTAGGTGTGGTGGCGGGAGTCTGTAATCCCAGCTACTCGGGAGGCTGAGGCAGGAAGATCCCTGGAGCCCAGTGAGCTATGAGTGCACTGCACTCCAGCCTGGGTGACAGAGTGAGACTCTGTCTCTAAAAAATTAATTAATTAATTAATTAAAATAAAAAAAGAGACAGCTGCATGAGAGAGCCAGGCAGATGAAGCGGAGACTGAGCCCGGGGGCAGAGCAGGGAGGAAGTGAAGGAGGGAGGGGCAGAAAGCAAACCCATAAGTAGCAGCATTTATTGGGCCCTTAGAATGTTCTAGATACCACTCTGCCTGCTTTACCAGTTTCAACTAATTCTCACCAAAGCCAATGAGGTAGGCCCTGTTATGAACCCATTTTGATCGTTGAGGAAGCCAAGCAGTCAGGGCTCGGGGAGGAGGGAGTGGGGTTGGAGGCTGCCCCTGGGCCTGGTGAGGTAAGGCTGAGAAGAGACCATCCGTTTCACTGACCATGGCTGGGGCCATTATGGCAGAGACAAGATGGGGAGGGGAGAAGGGCATGGAGACATCAGCCAGTGTGGCAGTCAGCCAGCGTGGAAGTCAACTGGCTGTGAGGGAGGGGAAGGGTTAGGTCAAGCAGGTCTAAAGGCTGAGGAGGAGCCAGGAGAGGCGTGGAGGTGAATTGAAGCGGGGGTCCCTGAGGTGTGGTTGTGGGTAGTCCTGGGGCAGGAGGCGGGGGCTCCTCATAGAACCACGGGCACCAGGGGAGGGGTGGTTTGGTGGCTCAGAGATGGAGACGTCAATGAGGGCAGAAGCTGTGATGCTGGGGAGTCGCTGCAGATGGGCAGGGAATGCTGTCCCATTTTACAGGGCAATAAACTGAGGCTTGGAGCCTCAAAATGACTTGCCCAAGGCCATGTTCACCAACTGGGCAGTTGGACTCTAAAGTTTCTTCTCAGACACTGTTGCCTCCCCATGAGAAGCCTGTGGGGTGTGAGGCCAGAGAGCTCCTAAGCCTGCACATGGGTCTCGCTCGGCCAGTGCCCCTTCTTGTCTGCCCTGCTGTGCCGCATTGCTGTTTCCAGAGTGAATTTTTGCCTCCTGTCCTCTCTGGTCCTCTCTGGGGAGGATGATTTTCACCTAGAATTTCGGGGAGTGGCCCAAGGGCCAGGGCAGGAGATGTGGGTGTCCTGGCTCCCTGTGGTGTGAGGCTACGCCTCAGATGGGACCAAAGCTGGGCCACAGTGATGCCATTCGGGGGGCAGGGCGAGCTGGTGCGGCTGGGCCCAGCACGAGCCCGTTGCTAGGACACCAGCCAGCTTTCAAAGAACTGAATGAGATGTTTTCTTGAGCAAAAGCCTCCTTGTAAATGTCACAGGGCGATGCTGGGGAGGCCAGGGCTTGGCCAGGCTGGAGTGCCCGGCGGTGCCAAGAAAGATGCTGCGTCCAGGCTAGGAAAGGACAGATGCTGTGTCCCACCTCCCCCTGCCATGGGAGCCGCCAGGCCTGGCCCCTCCTGGCCCCTCACCCTCTCTCGCATTCTGACTCGCCTCACTCCTGCTGCCTGAAGCTCCTTCATTCACTCCCACCTCAGGGCCTTTGCACATGGCCTTCACTCAGCCCGCTGCTCCCTCTCCTGGGCTTCTGCCACCGATTTTCACCTAGAATTTCGGGGAGTGGCCTGCCCTCTGGGAGCCATGCTCACACTCACATGGGGGCCCTTCTTCCTGCCCAGAGCCCTGCCCTCATGGAACTCTGTGACTTGTTTGTGATTGCCTGGGGAAGGCACTGGGTTTCTTTCTGCCTGCATCCCAGCACCTGGCCTGCAGTGTGCAGTGCCATTGTTTGTTGACGGAATGAATTTGGGACCCAGCCCAAATTTGGGACCCCAGGCCTGAGCAAACAGAGGGGTCGGTTCTCTGAGGGTGGGAAGCTAGAAGGAACCAGAAGGAGCACGTGACCAGGCTGCCTGCCTTTGAGACCTCAGTTTCTCCCTGAGGGTGGCCCAGATGATCCCAGAGAGAACTCCTGCCCCAGAGAGTGGCTGAGGGTCTCAGGACGCGTTTCCCTTTGGAGATGGCATGAGGTCTTGGCCCTTCAACGTGAGCAGAGTTACTCAGATGAGGAACGGGATCTGGGCAGAAGGCACAGTCTGTGCAAAGGTCTGGGAGGAGGGGGAGCATACTCTGCAGGTGGGGAAACTGAGGCTCAGAGAGGACAGTCACTCTGAGATCCCTTGGGCTTTCTCCATGCCCCACCCGCTGCCTCTACCACCTGCCTCAGCCAGGGCCACAGGGAACTGAGCCTGAAGTAACTCCCTGACCTCAAGGCTGAGCCAGGCCAGGTTGGGTGAACAGGGCCATTGGCTGTCAGAAGGCAATAGGGAGTCCCAGGACAAAGGCCTGTGGCTGGCAGCCAGTCCCCAGGGGCCCCTCATCAGCTTCTGTGGCCTCCAGGAACTTGTTCTGTTTATGACTTTTCTCAGGCAAACCAGGGCAACCAGTATGGGAGGGGCTGAGCTGCCACTCCTGGTAGCATGGACACTTGTCCCCAGGCCCCACTGTGTGACCTGGGCACTCCCTGGCCCTCTGGGAACCTCACTCTTTCCAGCTATGAAATGGAGTTGCTGGAGGAGACAACCTCTGGGGCCTCTGGGGCAGATGGACAACCTTCCACAGCCCCCCTGACCGCAAGGCTGGGCCCTCCCCAAATAAAGAGGGGGGAAGAGTGGGGATGAAGAGCGGGGGGCCCGAGAAGGCAAAATATTCCTCCACCCCTATCAGCAGGGGGCTTTCCCACTGTGGTCTCTAAAATCTCCTAAAATCTGATTTTTCAGGAAGACTTTGGCCCAAGGGAGTCCTGTTTCCCTGGCAACCATTTTCTCTCTCAGCCCCTCCATACAAGCCCCCCTCGTAATCTCTATAGAGGCTCAGGAAGTCTCCATGGCAACAGGGACCTCCAGCCCCCAAACCTGGAGCCCAGACTGGGGACAGGGTGAAGTGGGCCCTGGACAGGGACAGGACCCAAGAGGGACACCAGGGGACTGGCTCTGTGCCGGGCGCCTAAAGCAGACAGCAAAGAACAGAAAACCCCATTGCCTGAAACGGGGAGGAGTCCTCCCACCACCTCCCCTCCCCTGGGCTGCCAGGGAGGCCAGACTGAACCCCACTGCTGGGTCCCTGCCCTCTCCCCCAGGAGTAAGACCAACTCCCACCCCCAGGGGAGGGGAGGGCACTGGGTCTCAGGCCTGTTCGACTGTGTGGCTCTGGTGCCTGGCTTCCCTTTTCTGGGCCTCGGTTTGTTTATTTGTAAAATGGGGACGCTGGATGCAGGAGAGCCTCCCAGTACCCCCATCGTCATGTCTTGGAGCTGAAGAGTCTGTCTGGGATTGTCTGTGCCCAGACAAAAGCCCTCCTCCTGCAGCTGAGGACCGGGGCACCCCTCCACCCTCCTCATTGAAAATCCCTGGGGGAGGAATGCCTTTGGAGGTTAGCGTGAGCTCTGGGAGCAGCCTGACCTCAGTTCGAGTCCCAGCTCTGCCCGCCAGGAAATGTGGGAAAATTCTAGTCCACTCTGTGTCTCAGTTTTGTCATCCATAAGATGAGGTGATAACAGCTGCCCTTCCATTGGGGTGTTGTGAGGAAGGAGTAAGGGGATTCCTGCACAGCAGTGAATGCGGATGTGGTACATGGTAGGAAGGGGGCTGAGGGGGATTTGGGGCTGTGGGGCTGCAAGAGAGGGAAGAAAGGAGGGACTGTCCCCCATCTGAGCTCTGCAGCGTCTCCCGAGGCCTTGGGTTCTGCAGGCACTGCAGTCTCACCCACAGCCCTGAACGGGGCCAGTTATGAGTCCTTCTATACCCCGAAGCCATGCGAGCAGCAGCAGCCGGATGTGATGGGTGCAGCAGTGTCCCGGAGTGTCCGGGTCAGTCTCTGATGATCCTCTGGGGCTGGGTGCTGGGCCTGGAGGCAGAGAAGCAGGATGAGTCCCTAGGGAGCCTATGATAGCCCCATCTGATCCCCTTGCAGCCCCCTTACACTCCCTGATCGCCAGGTCAGCTCTGAGTGGGCTGTCAGCTCACCCCCGTTTGGCTGTCTGGCGCAAGGCAGGCTCCCCTCTAAGCCCCTTTGCTTACTGTTAAGGTAGGAAAAGCCTCTGAAGCCCAGAGAAGCGGTGCTCTAGTTGTGGAGCCCACATCCAGCTGTAGCAGTGATGAGGGAGCATCCTGGAACCCTGGCCCACAGGGAAATCCCTGTCCCACCCGGGACTCTTAGAGGACTGATGGGGCATAGGCAGCCCCAGTCCCCAGAAGAGCCCAGGGTGACCTGCCAGGGTCTCAGTTTCCTCCACTATGAGGAGAGGGTGGTTGGGCCTCTCTGTGGGTCACACCCAGCAGTGGAGGTGAAAAGCAGATGTGGGGGGTATCAGTGGCCTAGAGGAGGGTAGGGGTGGGGGTTATGAGCCGGTGCTCTCAAAGGGAGCCTTGGCCTGGCAGTGGGTGGTGGCCTGGGTCTGGGTTTGGGGGCGGGAGGCTGCAGCTCAGCGTTTTCTCTGCGTTTCAGGTCTCCCATGAGTTTGCCATCAACTTCAACCCCACCAACCCCTTCTGCTCAGGTGAGTGTCAGACCCACCTGCAGCTGCCCTGTGTTTGCTACGGGCCTGGCCAGCTCCCTGGGTGGAGGGAGGGCAGAGGACAGGTTTTCATTTCTTTCTCCTTTCCCCTCCCCCTTACTGTTGCTCAGAGTGACAGAGGGGGAAGAGCTGCAGTTTGGAGTCAGATAGTCCTGGATTCAAGGCCAGCTGCTGCCCTTCCTAGCTGTGGGACCTTGGAAAGGTCACTGTACCTCCTGGGCCTTTGCCTCCTTACCTGCTCCAGGATAACTATGACAGCTGCTCTTCTCACTTTACTGGGTGGTTCAGTGAGAATTACAGGAAGCCACTGACAGGAAGTCCTGTGTAAACCAGGAGGAGGTGAGGGTGGCACCAGACACACCTGCTTTCACCTCCTTCCCACCCGCCCCCTTGCTGGGAAGGCCAGCCCTGCTCTGGGAGTACTTGGCGGGGGATCAGGGGGAGGCAGGGGCTGGGAAGTGAGTATGGTGTCTGTGTTCATCCCCACCCCTGGGCCTAAGAGGATTTCTGAGCCTCCTAGGGACAGTTAAGAAACTATTAGAGGCCGGATGCTGTGGCTCATGCCTGTAATCCCAGCACTTTGGGAAGCTGAGGCAAGAGGAGCACTTGAGCCTAGGAGTTCAAGACCAGCCTGGGCAATAGAGGGAGACCCCATTTCTACAAATTAAAAAAATTACCCAGGCATGGTGGCATATGCCTGTGGTCCCAGCTACTCAGGAAGCTGAGGTGGGAGGAAAGAAAGAGAGATGGGGAGGGGAAGGGAGGGTCACACCTTTAATCCCAGCACTTCGGAAGGCCAAGGTGGGTAGATCAGAGGTCAGGAGTTCAAGACCAGCCTGGCCAAGATTGTGAAACCCCGTCTGTACTAAAACTACAAAAATTAGCCAGGCGTGGTGGTGCGCACCTGTAATCCCAGCTACTCAGGAAGCTGAGGCGGGAGAATCGCTTGAACCCAGGTGGCAGAGGTTGCAGTGAGCTGAGATCATGTCACTGCACTCCAGCCTGGGTAACAGAGTGAGACTCTGTCTCAAAAAAAAAAAAAAAAAAGGAAGGAGAAAAGAGAAAGAAAGGAAAGAGAGAGACAGAGAGAAAGGAAAGGAAAGGAAGGGAAGGGGAAGGGGAAGGGAGAAGGAGGGAGGGAAGGAGGAAGGAAGGAAGGAAAGGAGGAAGGGAGGGAGGAGGGGAGGGAGGGAGGAAGAAAGGAAGAAAGAAAGAAAAAGGAAGATGAAAGAAGGAAGGGAGGGATGGAGGAAGGGAGGAAGAAAACTCTGAGTGGAGGAGAGGGGATGCAGGTGGGTATGGAAGAGGGCTGTTTCTATCATCATGAGACCTTTCCGCCTAGGACTTGGCTTCAACATAGCATCTACCTTCCCTGGGGATCCCCAAAGCTGGGCCAGGCTGTCTGATTTGGGGTAGATCTCCAGAGACATTTTGGTCAATCAGCTTCATCCCTGGCCAGGCCTTCTGGGCAGGGCTACAGGGCAGTGTGCTCATAACAGCAGCTATTTACAGAGCGCCTACTCTGTACAGGCACTGTGCGAACGCCTTGATCCCCCAACCACGAACAGAAGCCATAGCATGTCCAGAATGGACCTCCAGATGGCTTCCCATGGTCTCAAAGCATCACTGCAAGCTTCGCCAAGCCCCTTCTCTGGAAAGGCCTGAGAGACCCCCCTCCTGCCAACTGCCAGAGTGTAGATTATCAGTCCCATTGACAGACAAAGACGTAGCCTCAGAAAGATTAAACTACTTGCCCCAGGTCCCACAGCTAAGAAAGGCAGGATTTAGGCTGGACACGGTGACTCATGCCTGTAATCCCAGCACTTTGGGAGGCCAAAGTGGGCAGATAACCTGAGGTCAGGAGTTTGAGACCAGCCTGGGCAACATGGCGAAACCCTGCCTCTACTAAAAATACAAAAATTAGCCAGGTGTGGTGGCACATGCCTGTAGTCCCAGCTACTCGGGAGGCCGAGGCAGGAGAATTGCTTGAACCTGGGGGGTGGAGGTTGCACTGAGCCGAGATCCTGTCACTGCACTCCAGCCTGGGTGACAGAGCAAGACTCCTCTCAAAGAAAAGGCAGGATTCAAACTCTACAGGCCTGTCTGACTTCACATTCAGGGCTCTTGGCTTTTTACCATGCTGGCCCTTCCCTCTGGCAGCTTCCAGTCTGTCTCACAAGGCCTATGCTAGCCATGGCAGGGACATTTTGGGTAAGCATGAAATAGATGTTTCATCAGCAGTGAGATGAGAGTGGGTATGGGGTCAGGGAGACCTGGCTGATCCAGACTCTTCTCCCGAGGCAGGTGTGGATGGTATTGCCCAGGCGTACTCAGCTTGCCTGCCCCACATCCGCTTCTACGGTCCTACCAATTTCTCCCCCATCGTCAACCACGTGGCCCGGTTTGCGGCCCAGGCCACACAACAGCGGACGGCCACGGTGAGTAGGCAGCTGCAAGCCAGTCATGCCAGGAAACACGCACGTCCTCTGGGCTGGGGGGCAGGATATTCTGCCTTCTCTTTGCTTTAAATCCTAGTGGACACCTCTGGGCCTTGCTTTACCTTCACGTATTGTAAAAGTTGAGTCAAGCTCAACTTGATTGGTCCTGGCTTCCTGGAGCACAGACTGGAGAAAGCAAATCCATTCGTGCTGAGCAGGAAGCAGGGCTGTGATCAACGGGAGATGTCTCCCCAGGGCGAGGTACTGGTTATTCCCACAAGAGTAACAAGATGGAAAACTGGAGGCAGTGATCCCTGAGGCCCTAACGCTGACCCTTCTGAGCCACCTAGTTCCAATCAGAGCTGCCCCTGCCTTACACTGAGGGCTGCTGAACTGTCTGGCCCTGGCCCTACACTCAGCAACAAGCCTAGAGCCTCACTGGCCCGGCTGAGGCTGCCAAAGTAGCTGCGTGGCATCTGGAATATATGGTAAGCAGCCATCCCAGGCATCTGCAACCGTGGTCTCCCTTCCCTTCTCCCGCCCCCAGCTGCAGGCTGGCTCCCAGGCAGGCCCTACTGGCAGGGTCTGATGCCAGTGGTGGGGTCACCAAAGGTCACCTTGCCCACCTCCCCATTTCCACCATGACCTGCCCTTGCCTCTCTCTGCAGTATGAGTTGAGAGGTCTTCTCCCCCTGCCCTAAGGGCAGTTATCTGATGTCCCTTCTGCCTTCTCCTGACCTTGGGGACCTGACTGACCTATGCCCTATGCATAGGACTTCTCAGCCCCTGACTCAGCCCTGCTCCTCACGCTCCAGCGCCGTGACGGGGAATCAGGCACCCAGCCCAGATGCTGGTCTGGGTTGAGGAGACTTGACTCCAATTCCTTTCTGGCCACTACCTCCTGGGAGACCTCGGCCAGCCCCCACCCCTTTCTCATCTTCCACCTCCATTGAAAGAAGAGGGTTGCTGAAGTCACTTCTAGAGTGTTCATTTCACTAGACTCTAAAATATCCCAAATTCACCCACTTCCCCATGGCCACAGGTCTCTCAGTGGACCCTGCAGCTGCCTTCACCACTCCTCACACCACCAGTCCACAAGCTACCATTTGTTTCCCCCACTGGAGGGTCAGATCCAGCCGCTGCCCTGCCAAAAACCCTTCGCCATCAGATTGGATCCCCTGAGGCCAGCCTCTGCCTTCCTTACCGACCCGATCACTGACTGCACAGCCCTTTCCTTCTCTTAGGATGATTCTGCCACCTAACCCCCCGTGTGTTCCTCGAGCACTCCTAGCTGTTCCCCCGCAGGTCCTTCCTGGACTCTGCAAGGCCCTCCCTCAGGGCCTCCTCCCCCAAGCAGCCTTCCCTGACCACTATATGAAGCAGATCTCTTGCCTTCTCTGCCTGTTCCTGGCTGACCCTGATGATGGTCGGCAATGTCTAGTTCACATCCTTCTCTCCGTGCCTGGTCCAGTGCCTGGGCTGTGCAGGCTCATCGTGCTCTGTGAATGGATGAAGTCAGCACTGGCTGAGGGATGTCAGTTGTACAAGCTCAGTCAGAGCCTCCTCCCCCAGGGAAAGGGACCTGGTCCCATGCCTAAGGGGACCATTGGGACCAGCCAAGGGAGGGAGGCACCTGGTCACCAGGGAGGTGGCAGTTGACTTCCGGGAGGTGGTGGGAAAGATAGTGCAACTGCCCAGTGGGTTCACCTTGCCTGCTGCCTAGAAAGAATGATTTATCAAGACAGGGGAACTGCAATGGAGAAAGAGTAATTCACAGAGAGCCGGTTGTGCAGGAAACCGGACTTTTATTATTTCTCAAATCAGTCTCCCCGAGCATTTGGGGATCAGAGTTTTTAAAGATAATTTGGCGAGTAGAAGCTTGGAAAGTGGGGAGTGCTGATTGGTCAGGCTGGAGATGGAATCATAGGGGGTCGAAGTGAGTTTTTCTTGCTGTCTGAAGTGAGTTTTTCTTGCTGTCTTCTGTTCCTGGGTGCAATGGCAGAACTGACTGAGCCAGATTACCAGTCTGGGTGGTGACAGCTGATCCATGGAGTGCAGGGTCTGCAAAATATCTCAAGCACTGATCTTAGGTTTCACAGTAGTGACATCCCCAATTTGGGGAGGTTCAGACTCTTGGAGCCAGAGGCTGCATGACTCCTAAACTGTAATTTCCAATCTGTAGCTGATTTGTTAGTCCTGCAAAGACATACTGGACCCCAGGCAAGAAGAGGGTCTTTTTGGGAATGGGCTGTTATCAGTTTGTTTCAGAGTCAAACCGTGAACTGAATCCCTTCCCAAAGTTAGTTTGGCCTACACCCAGGAATGAACAAGGACAGTTGAAGGGTTAGAAGCAAGATGGAGTCAGTTAGGTCTGATTTCTTTCGCTGTCATAATTTCCTCAGTTATAATTTTGCAAAGGCGGTTTCAATAGGAGTGGGGAGTGGCAGAGCCTCTTCTGATGGTTCAGGAGGCAGTAGAGAATCTGTGGGAAAAATGGGTACCCTGGAGTGGCGGGTGCCAGGGTTTGAATCCTGCCGCTGTCCCTTCCTCACTGTGTGACTTGGGCAAGTCACGTCACCTTAGTTTCCTCATTTGTACAGTGGGAAAACTAATAGGATCAATCAGGAGGAGGTAGTATTAGGATTAAATAAGATCACTCAGCACATGGCACCCAAAAAGACCTGAGGGACGGAGAAGGACAGGCCAGCAAAGCGCTCAGGGAAGAGTGGCCGGGGTAGAGGGAACAGGAAGCGCAGGGCGTGGAGGCAGCACCCGGCCAGAAGGAGCTCAGAGTGCCAGAAGGAGCTTCCCGGCCCTGACCCTGGCAACCCGGAGCCTGGGGCATGTTTCTTCTTATGGAATGGAATGTTTCCTGCTCTAAACCCATTTCCTCTTTTTGTTTTTTGAGACAGAGTTTCACTCTTGTTGCCCAGGCTGGAGTGCAATGGTGCAATCTTGGCTCACTGCAACCTCCGCCTCCTGGGTTCAAGCGATTCTCCTGTCTCAGCATCCCAAGTAGCTGGGATTACAGGTGCCCACCACCACGCCTGGTTAATTTTTTGTATTTTTAGTAGAGATAGGGTTCCACCATGTTGGCCAGGCCTGTCTCAAACCCCTGTCCTCAGGTGATCCGCCCGCCTCAGCCTCCCAAAGTGCTGGGATTACAGGTGTGAGCCACTGCACCCACACCCATTTCCTCTTATGAAATGGGCGTAGTAAACCCCCAGTGTGCTGTGAGGACCTGGGTGCAGGCTTAATGGGCAGTAACTGGGAAAGGCCTGGGAGGGATATTTTTTTTTTGAGACAAAGTCTCATTCTGTTGCCCAGGCTGAAGTGCAGTGGCACAGTCTCAGCTCACTGCAATCTTCACCTCCTGGGTTCAAGCAATTCTCCTGACTCAACCTCCTGAGTAGCTGGGATTACAAGCACCTGCCACCACGCCGGGCTAATTTTTGTATTTTTAGTAGAGACAGAGTTTCACCATGTTGGCCGCACTGGTCTTGAACTTGTGACCTCAACTGATCTGCCCACCTCAGCCTCCCAAAGTGCTGGGATTACAGACCTGAGCCACGGCACCCGGCCGGGATTTTTTTTTTTTTTTTTTTTTTTTTTTAATTCCTGGGTTTGCTGGGCTAGAACTGGCTAGAGAGGGCACAGCAAGAGGCAGGCTTCACCTTGCACTCCCTCCTGTTCGGGTGCCAGGCCATTGTCCCACCCAGTCTTGTCCACCCTGAGCAGGCTTTCAAAGGGATAGAAAAAGAAAGTCTTGCATGTTTGTTTAAGGGGAAAAATGTGGGGCAGGGAGCGGGCGTGCAGCCCAGTGTTAGCGCCAGGGCCCTTTCACAGCTGCACCTGCAGAGCTGGGGCAGGACTGGGCAGGAACCAGGGTCCTGGGGAGAGGTGGGTCTGTGTCTGCTGGACCCAGGTCTGAGGGGGTTTGGGCCCCAGGAAAGGCCAGGAAGGGCATTTGTGTGTTCTGGGGAGCAGCTGCGGAGAGCTCCCCAGAGGGAAGAAGCAGAAGGACTTGAGGCCCAAGCACCTGGTGCTAGTCCTCTGGACATCCCAGCCACTTTTGCTGCGACTTGGTCCTCCCGGCCTGGGGGAGGCAGCCACCTCCTGGCTCCTTTCTGCTGGAAAAGCTCTGTCACCCACCCAGGCTGTGTGACCTCAGGGGATGTCTGAGCATCTCTAACCTGCAGGAGTGGGGCCAAGGGGCCTCTTATCAGGCTCTCCCACTCTGATGTCCAAGAACAGATAAGGCCATTCTCTACCTCCTGCCTTACCTTATCCCCTTGGCCTCAGGGTACACCAGTGGAGGGGAGGTGGGGCTGCCTGGTGGTTCAGCCTCAAGCTCTGGGAGGTTCAAATCCCAGCTCCCCCACTTCCTGACTTCGTGGGACCGAGAGCAGGTAGCTTAAACTCTGTGAACTTGTTTCCTCATCTGTGCGACGAGGATAATGGAAACAGTCCCTGCCTTCTAGAACTAGATAGGCATAGAAATTGCTCAGCATAGTGCCTGGCACACATAAAGTGCTTCCCTGCTGGCCGAATCTTTTGGGGACACCTCTTGAGCTAGCATTCAGTGATGCCAAGCACAATTAGTCCCAAAGCAAAAGGAAGTCATTTATGAATTATCCCCTGATGCTTTTGTCAGCCGTTTTTTAGTTTGGGGAAGAATATTTGGTGTGGCTTCACCCTCCCCATCCCCAGACATATGTGCACCGATGCACACCCACGTACAGGAAATTGAGAGCAGGTGGTGGAAGCCTCTCTCTAGGCAGGGCTGCACTCTCCCATTCATTCACTCAACACATCTTTACCAACCAACTTCTGTGTAGCACTGGGGAGACCATGATGAGTGACACAGGGCCTCTGCCCTCCCAGAGCCTGCAGTCTAGTGAGGAGCCCTAGGCCAGGAGCAGGAGGCAGGGAGACTAAGCCTGAGGCGATGGAAGCACGGGCTCACAGAGGTGGCATCCGACCCAGATGGAGGGCTCAGGAAAGGCTTTTTGGGAAAGTGACATGTGAGCTGAAACTTGGAGGATGCTTGAGTTAGCCTCATAAAGGATGTGTGTGCGTGGAGTGTCTCAGGCGGAGGGAACGGCACGTGCCGAGGCCTGGAGGTTTGGTGTGTGGGTGTATCGGAAGGAAGGAATGTGTTGAAAGAGGAGGAGGTGGGGTGAGGTGAGGCTGAAAGGTAGGCCAGCTCCTGCGGGGCCTCGGAAGCCATTGAGGAACCTGGGTTTTCTCTGGAGGGCGGTGGGGAGCCACTGGAAGGTCTTATGCAGGTTTGAGTGAGCCTTGGGGGGACTCCTATCTCAGGCCTTCATCTTTCCCTCTGCCTTGGCCCCTGAGACCTGGGCCTTGCTATTCATGGCCCATTCCTGGTTGGTCACCCAGGTGTCTGGTGTCCCAGTGGAGGGGGAGCTGGGAAGCACCCAGCCAGCTCCCTGGAAATTCCACCCGCTCCCCTCGCAGGGTCCTCAGCTGCCAACTTCCCTGAAATGAGCTAGGGAGTAAGTGCAGCTTCCCTAGACTCTGCCTGGAACTGTTGTGGTCAAGTCAATTTCTTATAAATCAAATCAAACGTTAAATGCATTAGGGGAAGCAGTTGTTTACAGCCCTAGAAACCTGAAGAACCTCGGAGTAAAGGCAAGAGTTGCTTCATCCTTGTTGGGAGTTGGGTTTTTGGATTCAATCTGACAGTGATGGGCTGTTTCTGGAGGTGGGAATGCTGGGGACAGGGTGAACCAGGACCACCTGCAGGGACAACAGAGCCTGCAGAGCCTCTTCCAACCCCTTGCACCCGATTCCACCCTCCGTTCTCTCCATCTACAGCCCCTTCCCCTTTGATCTGTCCTGGGGGTAGGGCTGTGTAATAGACGTTTGAGGCTCCTGAACAACTCTGGCTTTGTCCAGGCTGGGCGGGAAGCCGGGGACTTGTCAGCTGCACTTCCACTGCCGAGGTCTGGGCTGCTGACCTCAGGCGCAGCTGGGCACTTGCTGAGGCCAAGCCCCTGTGTGTGGGCATGGTGGCTGGTTGATTGGCACATAGGGGTGCGGGTTAAAGTCCAGTACCAGGGCTCTGGGCCCCACCCTGGGCTGCTATCCTGGATATTCAGGCCCTCAGACACTGGCATGCTGGGTGGGAGGAAAGCTTTTCCCTGCCAGGCCCCTCTGTTGGAGACAATGACAGACCACTGGTGCCAGTGGGCGGTGGAGGAGGACATCATGTAAAGAGCCCCAGCTTCGGAGTCAGCCAGGCTGGGTTCAATCTGGACTGTGCCAGTTCCCGGCTGTGAGGCCTCAACAAGTTACATCACCTCTCTGAGCTCCACTCCTCTAGAATGGGAGTCAGCATGAGGGTGACAGGCAGGGTCTGTGTAGTGCTGTCACTGTGTGGTATCACCTCCTCTGGCCACTGGTGCCCACAGTCCTGCAGGAACCTGGCCCTGTCTGCCCCCAGGCTCCCCAGGGAGGAGGGCTGCCAGCTAAGAGGTAGGCCCAGGCCTGAGCCCCACGCATCTCCTAGGCACGGGGGCTGATAGAAACGAGGGAGCCAGGAGGGCCACGTGTGGAGGGAGTGGGCACTGCCTGCCTGAGCTGGAACGGGCTTGGAAACAGATCCCACCCACTGAAAGGTGTGGCCCATTAGACCAGGACCAAGCATTCTTTTCTTTCTTCATTGCCCGGCCTCTTAGTGTCTTTCTACCTATCTGCTTAGGTGTCCCAGAAATGTTGCCCTGGACTGTTTCTGATGGTATTGAGGTGGGGTTGGAGGGCCGCCTAAGGGAAGGGGCCCAGGAACAGTGGTGGGCTGTCAAGGGTAGGGTCTGGATGGGCTTCTGAGGCCCCTCACAGCCAGGGATGGGGGGCTGGCAACAGCAGCCCTCCACTGTGGGATTCAGGCCACCATCTCCATGGCAACAGGTATCCCCAGCCAAGGGATTGGTCTCTTAAAGGCACAGTGCTGGAGCTAGACCACTGCTGCCTGGAGCTGGGGGTGAGGGTGGTGGGGTCCGTGTCTCCACACAGCTCACCCTGCTCCTTCCCTCCACTGTTGTACTTGGGGGGCAGACAGGAACAAGGCACCCTGGAAGGCTGAGCTTGTAGCCTCTGCAACCTCCCCAGGGAACAAGTGGCTTTGCTGGATATGAAGGTGGCTAAGGGCTGACCTGGGGTCCAGCTTGGTTCCACCCTCCTTAGCTCCATGACCTTGACTAGTCTAGGCCCCAGTTTCCTCTTCTGGAAGACTAAAGCCCCAAACAGAGAATATGAAGACCACAAGAGCTGATCTGTTGATGTTACGGATGGGGGAAACTGAGCTTCCCCTAAAGGGGTCAGCGGGTACTAAGGACAGAGCTGAGCTGAAAATAAGTTCTTGGCTGGGCGCGGTGGCTCACGTCTGTAATCCCAGCACTTTGGGAAGCCAAGGCGGGTGGATCACCTGAGGTCAGGAGTTTGAGACCAGCCTGGCCAACGTGGTGAAACCCCAACTCTACTGAAAATACAAAAATTAGTCGGGCATGGTGGTGGGTGCCTGTAATCCCAGCTACTTGGGAGGTTGAGGCAGGAGAATCACTTGAACCCAGGAGGTGGAGGTTGCAGTGAGCCCAGGTTGTGCCAGTGTGGGCGACGGAGCGAGACTCAGTCTAAAAAAAAAAGAAAAAAGAGTTCTTGGCCAATTTGGAATCCTGGGCCCTCACCCTCAGATGGTCCAATGAGCCTTCCTGCACTTCACTCAGGCACACCCCGGCCCCACTTCACAGTTTGTATTTTATATATCTCCCACACTAATTATTCAATTTTTAAAATTTAATTTATAAAGAAACTCTATATCCCATTGTAAATGAAAAAAAGCAGTATCACTTGCCATAAATAGAGAGTAACAAAAATAAACACAACAAGCTGTACAATGGTATTAAAGCCTAGCTGGAGACTATTGTCTCCTCAAGCTCTGGGCTTCCTGCCTTCCCTTTCCGTTGATAAGGAAGCTTAGCAAATGTTAGAGAGACGTGAAAGACACAGTAGTACCAAACCAAGACTTGCTCCTGGGTGCAGTTCATAGAATTGAAAGGCCACTGCAAACCAGTCCTCTTCCGGGGTGACTTGATGACTTGATGGTGCTCAGTGCTGTGTTTGGGATGTGACTCAAATCCACTTATTTGTCAGCAGAGTCCCACACTCCTGGAAGCCCTGGCCCAGACGACCTGCTTTAGCTCCCGCAAGGTGTCTCAGATTGTCGTGTTGAGTAGGGAATGGAGGGGGTCACAGGTGCCCATGCCCAGGTGCAGCAGAGAGGGGGAGACCGGTCCCAGAGCAGCCCATCAGCCAGATGAGTCCCCCTGCGCCAGCCGTGGGCCTGTCGGGAATGCAGCTGACTGGGCCACTGCCACGTCAGGCACATTATCTGCAACAACTCCCACTTTGCAGATGAAGAAACTGAGGCACTACGAGTCAAGTCAGTTGCCTAGAGTCCCACAGTATAGCAACTGGCAAGGCCAGGCCCAGAGTCCAGGGCTCTCAGAGGCCCCAAGGGGGAGTCTAAGATAACACACAGGGCAGGAGGGGAGAGCAGTTTGTACTTCCTGCTGTGACCAGGTCAGAGTTTAGAGCATGAGAGGCCTGCAGGGGTGGGGTGCTGAGAGCAGGACGCATAGTGAGTTGTCTGGGACTTGGCTGCAGCTGGGTAAGATGCACTGCCTTCCTCCAGGACTCGGAGGGTTTGGGATGAAGGAGGGAGGGAGAAGGGGTGCCAGAGCCTCGACCTTGCTGAGTGCCCCGTTGGCCCCCTCCCTGCAGCAGTACTTCATCCTCCTCATCATCACGGACGGGGTCATCAGTGACATGGAGGAGACACGGCATGCCGTGGTGCAGGCTTCCAAGCTGCCCATGTCCATCATCATCGTGGGCGTGGGCAATGCGGACTTCGCTGCCATGGAGTTCCTGGATGGGGACAGCCGCATGCTGCGCTCCCACACGGGGGAGGAGGCAGCCCGCGATATTGTGCAGTTCGTTCCCTTTCGAGAGTTCCGCAACGTGAGTGTGGGCCTGGGCTGGGAGGGGGCGGTTACAGGATCCCAGCCACCATAGCTCATAATCAAGCTTGAGAGTCTTGGGGTTGTCTGGCCCAATCCTAGACTTCTCCACTCCATTGACTATGCTCTTCTGAGGGCCTGCCATGTGCCAGGCGCCGTGCCAGGCCTTGCCCCGGTGGTGGCCATTGTGATAGTGTGAGCACTTGCTTCCACAAACTGATGGAACATGGAGCCGTGGGCATCTAGCCTGAGGCTCTGGGGCAGGGCTTCCTGGAGGACCTGCCCTCTAGTGGGGTCTGATGAGAGGCTGGGGCTATCCATGTGGTGTAAAGTGCAGGAGGAGAGAGGGGTTTTCCTGATCATCACGCCCCAGCAAGCCCCCTCATTTTGTAGACGGAAAACAAGGCCTCCCAGTCATCTTAGGTTGACCTCCTCTCCCTAAAGCCCTCTGCCTGGGAGAATGGTGTCCCCAGCCTTGTTCCTGGAAGTGGCTCTGGCTTTATTTGCAGGTGATCCCAGATCTGCCCACAAGGAGGCCGGGG
This sequence comes from Homo sapiens, assembly GCF_000001405.40. NCBI lineage: Eukaryota > Metazoa > Chordata > Mammalia > Primates > Hominidae > Homo > Homo sapiens. Next base: position 57,146,863 of record NC_000016.10, read on the forward strand.
TTGGCCTCCTGATCACTGCCCTAGCAGCAGGGTCCATGAGGAGTCCCATAGGGGAGCAGTCTCTCCACTGTACCGCTGTACTGTAATGCCACCCCCATACTGCTGGCTGGGGGCTTAACCCAGCCTCAGCAAGAACTGCCCATGCTGGTTTGCACCCAGTGGCCCTCACCTCTCTTCCCAGCATCCTCTGGGGTTGCCTGCGATGGTTCTACTCCTTCCTCTGGAGCATTCGCTTCCTAAGGACAAACCCTGGGCATCGGTCACCCCTTCATGCACAGGTCGGTGACCGAGTACCTCCATGTGCCTGGCCTGTGGCTGGCTGTTCACTAGTGAACCATACTGTCAGGCCCATTTATTCCCGCCAAGAAGGTGCTCAGGAGATGTTTGCCGGACACATAGGTGCTTCCCGCAGACGGAGTCATCCTAACCCGTTACTCCCAAGCATCTCAAGTGCTCCAGGTAACACTTACACCTAACCTAAAGGAAGGCACTGCGATCAGGGGGAATTTCAGGCCTGGCCTGGGCTGAGATGAGGGATGCCACTTGCAGACAGCCCTGGCCCGCAGCCCTAATTTTGTCCTCAATGGACACCTGCTGTAGCAGCCCTCTGGGCATAGTGCCGCTCACAACTTCCGGTCATTAATCCTTATTCTCTCTCTTCCCCACCCCACCCTCCTCCACCCTGCAGGCAGCAAAAGAGACCTTGGCCAAAGCTGTGCTGGCGGAGCTGCCCCAACAAGTTGTGCAGTATTTCAAGCATAAAAACCTGCCCCCCACCAACTCGGAGCCCGCCTGAGCTCCAGTGCCCAGCAGCAGCATGTCAGCTGAGCCTCCTGCCCTCCCCCAGGAACATGCACGCTCACTCTGCTTCCTTGTGGGTGGCCTTTTTTTACCGATCCCCTTTTTTATTTTTTACAACCGGACCTCCACCCCCAACTTCCTCCAGCCCAGCTGGGCTTCCTTTGTTGGAGTCAACTGTTGATGCTTCCAGGCCAAACTGGCTTCCTCTCCTCCTCTCCCCACCTTTGCCATTCTTAAGTATTGAATGTACTTTGTATAATTTTAGTGGAATTGTTATTGAGAATAAAATTTTTACAATCATAACTGGCTTTTTCCAAGTAACTAGCTGCAGACTCTGATGAAAGAAACATGTCCTTGGTGCATACGTGTCGTAGCCTGCACCTAATTAATTCCTGCTGTTTTTTTAATACTGTGACTGTGTTCTATTTGTTATATGCTCAGGGTAACAAATGAGTTTCAGACGTCCCTGCGTCAGCTCCTTCCTCAGCAGGGACCTGACGGGCTCACTGATCTAAGAAAGGAAATGGAAAATGAAAATCCACCCCACAAGTCTAATAAGTTGGTGTAGTCACTTCTGCATGGGGACATGCATTCCAGATGATAACCTGTTAAATCACTGCCAGTTAACAGTGATAACCTGTTAAACTGGCACAGAACCTGGCACATTGTACAAACTCAATAAATATTCATGGATGAATAGAATGAATGTGCAGGCCCATACCAGTTTCTGACATATCCCTACCCCACAACTGGACAGCAGTCCCAGCCACCCATCTGCTCCTCCTTGGGTCTCCCGGGTGTTTGGGTTGGCCACCTAGAGGTCTGTGAAAGCCTCTCTGGCCTCAGGACCCAAAATGGGGCTGCTTCTGACCCTGCTGTTTCTTCCACATCCCCCTCTCTAGGCTCAGGCCCAGTTTTATGAAACCAGCCAGAGGACCCCTCTCTGAAAGTTCAGCCCCGCTCCCAGGTCCCTCCTTTATTCCACATAACACCTCTTTCTCCTTTATCCACCTGACTCCCGCTTGGACCTCCAGGTAAGCCCCCTGGACACGGGCTTCCGTGTAACCAGTAACAGCTAACCCTCCTATTAAGCACTTTGTTTCCAGCTCCGTGTTCAGTATTTTGCAGGCACTTTTTCTGAGACAGGGTCTCACTCTGTCCCACCCAGGCTGGAGTGCAGTGGTGTGATCTCGGCTCACTGCAGCCTCAACCTTGTGGGCTCAAGCAGTCCTCCCACCTCAGCCTCACGAGTAGCTGGAACACAGGCATGCACCCCCACGCCCAGCTAATTTTTGTAGACATGGAGTTTCGCCATGTTGCCCAGGCTGCAAGCACTATCTTGGTGAACCCTTCCAATAGCTCCTGACGGTGACCATTTCAGAGATGAGGAGACAAGCAGAGAAGCGAATCAAGTCTACTAGAGGCAGAGCCAGGCCTCATACCCAAGTCTGGCTACCTCATGGCCCACACTTGCTCCACTGCATTGAATGCCTTCCCTTGGCTCTGGATGGGGTTCTTCTGCTCAAGCTGCTAATGAATTTGTCACTCTGTGCCACTGAAATTGGAAAGTCATTTGTCCCCATCTACTCTTCTGGCCAGTAATTCTTACTAGGGCCTGCTAGGATTGGGCACCGCAGCAGGTAGATTCCCACCTCTTAGTGCCTGGTAAGCTCCAGCCAGAGTTTTTCTGGTGGGAGCAAGTAAGGGATACCTTCATCCTAAGCTTCTGGTGCCGCTGCTGATTCTGTGGACACCAAGAGTCAGCTGAAGGATCTGTTAGGGACACTTCTCTCAAGAGGGCCGCAGGACTGCACAGAGCTCTGATTTGCAGACTGTCCTTTGGAAAACTCCAGTGCACTGGCCCCCAGGCCAGCAACATGGGTGGAATCCCACTCCTCCCTTACACCTTCCCGTGGGAGCGGCTTACGAGCTTGGTGAAACTAGGGAGACTGCCGTCCACTGGGCCACGTGAAGGCGAAGCCCTGGCCTTGCAGTGGGGGTCTGTCCCACATGCTCCCACTCTCAGATCACTTCCTCAGGTGTGGTGGCCGTGGTCCCCACATCCAGGCTTCATGTGGGGGCAGATCCAGCCATCTCTGCTGTCTGCCCCTTCTCTGCCTAACGGTGGGTAAGTCAAGCAGGCCCTTTATTCCTAGCTGGCTTCAGTTCACAAACTTGTCTAAACTCTTGTCTAAAGAGTTTGTCTAAACTCTTGACAAGGCCAACCAAATCACTTTTTATTTTCTTATTTTTGAGACAGAGTCTCACTCTGTCACCCAGGCTGGAGTGCAGTGGCACAATCTCAGCTCACTTAGCCTCCGCCTCCTGGGTTCAAGTGATTCTCCTGCCTCAGCCTCCCAAGTAGTTGGAACTACAGGCGCACGCCACCTTGCCTGACTAATTTTTGTATTTTTAGTAGAGATGGAATTTCACCATGTTGGTCAGGCTGTTCTCGAACTCCTGACCTCAAGTGATCCACCTGCCTCGGCCTCCCAAAGTGCTAGGATTACAGACATGAGTCACGGCGCCTGGCTCCAAATCACTTTTGTAAAAATCCAAGCTTTGGTGCTGCTACTTGGTTCCTGCACATGGATAGCAGGCTGAAAAGTGAACTTGGAAATCCAGCCAGAAAGACTCCTTTACCCTTGAATCCCTTCCACGGAGGCCTGGGCACTGGCATTTGTTTAGAAGTTTCACTGAAACCACAGAAAGCCAGACTTAAAGGCTCAAATGAAAATTCTGGTTCAAATGAAAATTCTGGTTCTGTCACTTAGCTATGCAACCTCAGACAAGCCATTGAGCTCCTAGGAATTCTGATTTCCTGTAAAATATAGAGAAGGGCTGCTTCACAGGACTTTTTTCCCCCAGAATGAAAGACACTAGAGTCCACAAAAATAACGCACAAATGCCCCTAACACCCTGGCATATACATAGCAAGCTCTCAGTATACACTGAATGAAAGAAACCAACACAAGCAATGATGTACATGACTATTACTAAAATAGTAATGGAAGACCAGCTTGCAGTATAAAGCACAGGTGAATGGCTGTCCCTCTGTTTTTCTGCCTCTCCCCTCTGCAAAGCTCTGATGCTGGGGCCATGTTCTGCCGTTACCACTGTGAGGCTCCCTCTCTCTCCGAACCGCTGCTCCAGCAGGTAAGGGAGCAAAATGTCAGCCCTTGCCAGTGTCACTAAAGCACAAATGTGTGACTGGTTTCTGTGTTCAACCTGTGACTACAAAAGTGTTGCCAAGATCCTAGCCTCCCACTGAGCAGAACTTGCATTCCATCCTGTGACGCCTAAGTGGGTTGGGCATGCCAGAAAACCAAGAAAATACCCAAGTCCAGATAATCTGCACTGCCATGGAGCTGTTTTTCTGGAGGGGCCTAAGATGACAGCTGAGCCATATACCCACGGCTAGGACAACCGCGCCAAGGAACCGGGTGTGCCTAAGCAATTAACATTTAGCCAAAAGGGAAGCATACAGCAAAAGCTGGTGGTTGGAGCTTTGACGACCAGATCTGACCCTTCACCCATGCCAGTGTTCTAGCTGCAACTGAGGAATGCCAGTGGAATGGATAAACCTGCATAAATCACCAATAATGGAAGCTCTGGCTATGCCACCCAGAAAAAAGGGAGGGCTGATGGTAACAGCACTGAGGGTGGCCACCATTTACTAAACACTGTGTGTCTGATACCGCACACCTAGCACCTAATCTAGGTTATCTCTATCTCCCTAGGAAATTGGTAGTGTTATTCCTATTTACCAAGGAGGAAAGTGAGGTCCAGAGAGGTCACACTAACCTTGCCCAAGTGACACAGCTAGTCACAGCTGGCTCCTAACTCATAACCACTATGGTGGAACTAGGCTGAGTTCCCAGGGAGGAGCAGCAGAAACAGTGGGGAAGGGCTTAGGCAAATGAAGCTCCTCTCTTGGGTGGGAAGGAGGAAGCCAGACAGGAAGAACTCAGGAGCTAGAGTGAAAGAAATGAGGATGCCTGGCACTAAGTCACCCGACTTAGGGCCTCCTGACTCCCAGTCCAGAATGATTCTGAAAAAAGCTGAAGCCCCCCTCCGCCCCACCCCTCTGGATTTGGGGAGCCAGCTCTCAGTCTCTTGCATCCTTAGATTCAGGGAAGATATACACAAGTAGGTAGCCAGCCACCTTTTTCGGTCTAGTCGTATCAGTTTCCCTGGTTTTTACAGATGGAAAAATAGACGCTTTGAATATCACACTCATTTTCCACCCAGGTGGGTGACACAAGCTAGATAATCCTCCCCATATAGAGGTGGCAGTAGGATTCCTATTAGCTTTCTCCCTCACATGGCTGGAGAATTGTAAGAATCCTACCACTCAGAACAAAGTAAGCGAGCTTAAAGAAACCCATGCCAAACTTTGTTTTTGTCCCGTAATTACCATAAAATCCCAATTATTAAGGCAGGAGTACTACACTTTACAGTTTAAAGCAGTGTTTCCTTCCAGCCCTGTTTATTCTATTCTCCTTTGGGTTTGAACTTCAAGGTCTACACTAGATACTTTCCAAGGCTGCTTCCTCTGTTGGTCAGATCAGACGCTGCTTTGTTAGCTGTGGTTGCTACAGAAGCTCTGTTTCAGTTCCAGAGCTCTGTGCTGATGGGGACAATGGAATATGATGCAATGATCACCAGTGATTCTCAGTCTCTCCTGAGACACCAGAAGGTAAGTCACAGTCTGAAGAGTCTCACTCAACCTTCTCAACACAATCTAGCTGAGAGACATGGGGAGAGGTGGAAGCACAATATTCAGTAGAGGAAAAACAAGATCTTGTTCTCTGACAGGTTTATTAGCTTTCATGTTAATGGATGTTTTTAAACCCTGCAACCCTCTGTCAACTTCTTTCCACATCAAGAGGCCATGAGATACAGTAATGGCCTCTTAAGAGTCATGCCACATAAAGATGATGACTTTGATGTCCTGGCCTGCCTCCTGTAACAATGTGAGGCTGTTTTGGGTACATGCTGTAATAACAACAGGACTATCACAGGAACAATGAAGCAGAGAAGCAGAAGGTGCCTACAAAGTTTTACCTAAATGTCTTGTTTGTCAGGATGGAGCTGATGCGCCCATACTGGCAGAACAATTAGCACAGAGTAGTTCTGAAAAGGAGGAAGAATTCACAAAGCATCAGTTATGGGTGCAGGGAAGTCGCCATCTGCCAATGGGCACCAGAGTGTCACTGTACTGGAAGGGGAAAAGGAGTGGGCTGGATGAGATCCAGGGGCCTCTCTGCCCATGTTCAAAGTCAGTAGCTGCTCTGCCTGCCGGCATCACAGTGTCAACACATTTTGTGTGTGTCTCACTCAGTCTCACACCCAAGAAAGTAAAAACAATTGATGTAGGAATAAGGGGAATGGATAAAGAATGGTACATGCTTATTCTAAAGCAGGAGAGCCTACAGATTGTTGTCAAAGCTCATGTCTATCTCTGTCCTCGAGGCCTCCACACCATCTCCCTCTCCCTCCTCCAGAATCCAAGGGATGAGCCCGTTTCCCTTTATGAGACGAGGTGGAGCAGTACCTCTAGTTTTTGGCTGCTCATGGCCTCAGAGTTGCTGTTTGGAAAGGAAAAAGAGCAGCAGAGGCAGCAAAGAAAAGTACTAGGGCAGCACCTTTAGGTTAGAAATAGATTCCACAGTTAAAAGCACAAGTATAATATGCATTAAACAGAGAAGGGCCTCAATAGAATGGTCACAATATGCAAGTGTGTCCCACTCATTTACAATATTAGGATTCCAGGAGCTGCCAGAAATAAGTCATCTCATTAACATACCTACCTGCAGTTCTGATGTCTGGCTATTAGTAAACAAGGCCTACGTTTGTTTCTCTAAAATTTAGAATCTTAAACTAAATCCTTTATTTCAAAAACAAACATAAAATAATTTCCCAGGCAGAGAAAAGGTTTGAGATGGAAGCGTTCTTGTTAGCAGTCCCTTCCTGCATAAATGGGGTTGGAGAGAGAGGAGAGAGGGAATGGCCAAGGGTATGGAAAGCTTTCACAATGCATGCCGAGTGTGAAGTGACACCCCCAGCAGATGGGGTTTATCATCTTTACTTAGTCACACAACATCAAGGACTGGTTAGTTCCAGGGAAGGGCTCCATTTCACTACCTGGGTCAGTTCTCTTCCCCCGCATGCTCCACAATGCAGTAGAACCAAACAACACATTCATTTACAATAGAATGTTTAAATAACACCTGTCCAATAACTGCCCTTACTTCTTTGTGCTGTCGGGAAAAGAAAAAACAGAAAGCAATAAAACCCAAACCCTTTGGCAAGCCAGCCGGTGCCTATTCTCCTGGGGCATTTTTAGTGGAACTTCGGCTGGGCCTTGCCCTCCTCCCAATATCAGTGAGGAAAGTGGCAGCGGGACAGGTTTGGTCATCTGCAGTGGAGTAGAAAGAGGAACCAAACACGATTCGGGCCACAGGTGGATTCTGGCACATTTTTAGATTGGATTGGTTAAAAATGTCATGTTGTACACAGGATGCAGGCAAAGGAGTTTTTTTTTGAGGGACATAATGCCTATAGGCAGCATGAACGGTCCGATCTACCCTTGGGGAGGAGCTCCCTGTGTAGGGACGGAGAAACTAGGGGGCCTCGAGGAAGGTGTTGGTTCGGAAGATGGAGGAGACAATCTTTCCGGTGGCATTGATGGTGCCTTCGCTGTCTGAGCTGGACTCGGAGTCGCTGCTCCCAGAGTAGGCACCCAGGCCTGGGAGGATGCCGATACATACTGCAGCAGAGGGGCAGTGGATGGAGGGGCCACTCAGGGAGGTGTTTCCGAGAGACTTGCAGGATGAGGGCTCTGCAATAAAAGGGGAAAGACTGTCACTTCATCACCCTTTTCCAAAGTTGGGGACTGACTTACCATGTGCCAGGCACTGTACCAAGGGATTTTCCCACAGAGGAGCCTTAGAACAATGCTATGCAGCCAATACTATCATCACCCTCGTTTTAGAGATGGGGAAACTGAAGGAGGAAGGGAGGCTCCAGGAGGTGAAAGGACTTCTGAAAGTAAAGGGGCAGAGCTGAGACTTGAATCAAGGTCTTTTTAACCCCAGAGCCTGACTACACTCTCTTGTTCCCCATCAAATCCGAGTTGGAGAACAAGCTACTCTGGAGTGTAGCCTAGAGTGCTTTGATTTCCCTGTGCTCACACAGCCGTGAGAATCTGAAAACAGATTAAGAGAGACACTGTGAGCAATATTAACAATTCCATTAAGTTCTCAGCGTATTACACCATTTCTTATTTACTGACCAATAAGCCAGCTAGCACAGATACAATTTTAAGGCCAAACATCAGCTACAAAATAACATTCTTTTCTTTTTAAACATTTTAAAAAATCGGGTAGCCCCCTGGACTAGAATAGGCTCAGAAGGACTCACCAGAATAACGTTCTTTATTAAGAAGGGCCGCTTTTCCCAAGTGGGAGAGAGGAGCAATTCAGAAACCAATTTAACACAACCTTTGCTTTCCAGTTGTGTTCTTTTACAAATGAGAAAACTGAAGCCTGTCAGGTAACATTTTAAGGCCATGCAGAATGTCATCTAGGAGCTGGGACTCTTTTTCTTACAGGAAACCCACAGTTACTCTGCCACCTCAATGACAAAGACCTCAATCTAGACAATGCAGGGCTTGGCTGGGCATGGTGGCTTATGCGTATAATCCTGGCACTTTGGGAGGCTGAGATAGGAGGACCACTTGAGGTCAGGAGTTTAAGACCAGCCTGGGAAACATAGTGAGGCCCTATCTCTACGAGAAAATGTTTTGAAAAATTAGACAGTGCCAAGTGAGGTGGCTCATGCCTGTAATCCCACACTTTGGGAGGCCAAGTTGGGTGGATCACTTGAGGTCAGGAGGTCAAGACCACCCAAGGTGGGTGGATCACTTGAGGTCAGGAGTTCACTGGCCAACACAGTGAAATCCCATCTCTACTAAAAGTACAAAAAATTAGCTGGGTGTGGTGACGCGTGCCTGTAATCCCAGTTACTAGGGAGACTGAGGGAGGAGAATAGCTTGAATCCAGGAGGAGGCAGTGGTTGCAGTGAGTTGAGATCGCGCTACTGCACTCCAGCCTGGGCAACAGAGCAAGACACTGCCTCAAAAAAAAACAAAAAAACTAGTCGGGTATAGTGGTGCATGCCTGTGGTCCCAGCTACTTGTGAGGCTAATGTGAGGATTGCTTGAGCCCAGGAGTTCAAGGTTACAGTGAGCTATGATGGCACCACTGTACTCCAGCCTGGGCAACAGAGCAAGACCCTGTCTCAAAAAACAAACACACAAACAAACAAACAAAACAAAGAAAGAAAGAAGGAGGAGGAAGAAAAGAAAATGCAGGACTTGAAGATGAAAGGAAAAGTTAAGAACTCTACTCCAGCCCTTCCATTCTTCCCTGAAATGTTTCCGGCCTTATTTAATCACTACAACTTGATGTATAGGCATTATCCCCATTTTACTGATGAGGAAAGTCAAATGACTTGGCAAGGTTGTAGGTTGCTTAGGGCAGAAAATGTGAAACTAAACGTGAATCAAAAGAGAACATACGAAAATGATAACCTGAGCTCACTGCAGAGTAAGGGTTGGAGTTCATACTTTGTTGCCACAGGCTGACAAGCATACTACCTTCTAGGGTTTTGCCTTAGATGCACTAACACCTCATTTACCCAGACACCTCAAGTAAATGTGAAAAGAATACACAGTTCCAAGTATAGGAAACCAGGAGTAAGCAAACAATACCACTGAGCAGTTAGAAGAGATATCAAACGGCCCGCACACAAAGTTCAGGAGATCAATGTATTTGCTTGTTTGTGCAAGAAGCTCTAAGAAGGGAAAAGGAAGTTGCCAAAGATAAGCAATGTTAAAACACGGAGATGGAGAAAAGTCAAATGAAAGCCGACAGTGGCTACAGAGATAGAGCAAGGCTACAAAAAAAAGGCAGGAGCAAATACTTGTACTATCATAAAAGCAAATTTCCTTAAGATACTAAGAGTTCTTCCAAATCTGTTAAAAAAACAACCAACAACCAAATAGAAAAGTGAATGGAAAACATGAACAACTCAAAGAAAAAGAAACAGATGAATTTTAAACATAACGGGATAAACAATATATTAGGAGGGAACATGTTAGGAACAGCAAACTTCATTTGCTGTTCAGGGAGTACAGAGAAATTTGGCAAAGTTCTTCGAACTTAAATGATGTTCATAAGAGAACATTCATTGCAGCACTGTTTATAGTAGCAAAAGAGTACTGACAACCAAAATGTCCATTAATAGATGACTAGTTAAGTAATGGACTACTATTCAACCATGAAGAAGAATAAAGTAGCTGAGCATAATGGCTCATGCCTGTAATCCCAGCACTTTGGGAGGCCAAGGCAGGAGGATCATTTGAGCCCAGGAGTTTGAGAACAGCCTGAACAACACAGGGAGACTCTGTCTCTACAAAAAATTTAAAAAATTAGCCGGGTGTGGTGGTGCACACTTGTAGTCCCAGCTACTCAGGAGGCTGAGGTAGGTAGGAGGACCACTTGAACTGGCGAAGCTGAGGCTGCAGTGAGCCATGATCGCACCACAGAACTCCAAACTGGGTGACAGAGCGAGAACCTATCTCCAAAAAAAAAAAAAAAAAAAGAAGAAGAAGAAGAAGAAGAAAGCATCTCTGTGTGTACTGTTATTGAATGATCCCCAAGATATTGTGCTAAATGAAAAAGGCAAGGAGCAGGACAGTGTGTGAAAGTTACAATCTGGGGCAAAGTGGCCATGCCCATGTAGATGCATGTCAGTGTCTGAGAACAATAAATAAAAACTGGTAGCAGAGGCTGCTCAGGGGAAAGGAAATGAGTGGCTGGAAAATGGGGGAGACTTACTTTTTACTCCACATTCTTTTGTCCCTTTTGAATTTTTCCTTTTCTTTTTTTTCTTTTTTTTTTTTAAGAACATAAGGCTCACTATGCTGCCCAGGTTAAACTCCTGGGCTCAAGTGATGTTCCCGCCTCAGCCTCCCAGAGGGCTGGGATTACAGGCATGAGCCACCTAGCCTGGCCTAAATGTTTTATTATGTGCATATATTACCAATTCAGACAGTTTTTTAAAATGCAGCTGTGCTTGGGTAGACAATTTTTTAAAAAAGCAAATACAAAAATTCAAAGAACATCCTGAGCCCTTAAACTAGGGAGGAATAGTCCCATTTATCTCTGTAACCCCAAGAGCATCCCAGTATTAAAGCTAAGAAGGCTGTAGAAGATGAGAGGGGTTGCTTGTGTGTATTCTCCACTAACGGTAAGCCCCTTGAAGGCAAGCATTCTTTTATCACCATTCCACCCCCAGGACATATAGCACAGGGCCTGGCTCAGAGCAGGCTTGCATTCACAAGGGTCAGAAATCAGAATGCAGGAAAATGTGTCAGACAGTTTACAGTTTCATTGCAAATGGCTAATTTGGGGGGAAGGGGTATAAAAATGTGATGCTCTTTTAACATTTGGAACATAACATCAAACTATACCATTCATGACTTAAAAATACATTGTAGTACTTATGTATACCAGATAGAATGATATTTTCAGCATTCTGTTAGAAAAATTTGGTTGTTTAAAAAAAACAAACCAGCCAGGCGTGGTGGCTCACGCCTGTAATCCCAACACTTTGGGAGACTGGGGCGGGTGGACCACCTGAAGTCAGGGGTTCGAGACCAGCCTGGCCAACACAGGGAAACCTTGTCTCTACTAAAAATACAAAAATTAGCCAGGCGTGGTGGCACACCCCTGTAATCCCAGCTACTTGGGTGGCTGAGGCAGAAGAATCGCTTGAGCCTGGGAGGTGAAGGTTGCTGTGAGCCGGGATCGCACCACCCCACTCCAGCCTGGGTGACAGAGCTAGACTGTCTCAAAATAAAAAAACAAACCAACAAAGAAAAAAAACCTTAAAAGGATATATAGATCAGTTACCTAGAAAACTAATTTATGTGAAATTGTTGAATGAGGTATTTCATTTTATCAAGTACAGACACCCCTGCTTAATGATGGGAATATGACCTAAGAAATGCATCATTAGACAATTCCATTGTTGTGAACATCATAGAATACTTATACAACCTAGATGGTATAGCCTACTACACATGTAGGCCACATGGTATATAGCCTATTGCTCCTAGGCTACAAACCTGTACAGCATGTTACTGTATGAATACTGTAGGCAGCTGTAATACAATGGTCAGTATTTGTGTATCTAAACATAGCTAAGCATAGAAAAAGGCATAGTAAAAATACGATATTATGATCTTATGGGACCACCATCATATATGCACCCATCATTGACCAAAATGGCGTTATGTGGCACATGACCATATTTCAAGGGCGAATGGAATTTAAAGTTCTATTTTACATAGAAAAGAAGGATGAAAGTCAGAGTGCCTGTGGGGGTAGAGAACTGGCCTAACGGAAGAATGGAAGTTAGCTACAGAAATATAATCAAGGAATCTGGACCACTGTGGTATCAGAAGAGTTTAAGTGAAGAGACCAAATACCCCAATTATCTAGGAGGTTTCAAGAAAGAAAAGAGATTGCAAATCTGACAAATTTCATTCCAAAAGCAGTTAACTGTCCAAAGAGAACAAAATGGTGCCCTCTGATCTCACCCATTTGGTGAAGTTTCCTGCCAACTTCTGCATTTGCAGGACCACATTGTCATACCAAATTAACACAGAAAATTACTAATAGAGAATGTTCTTAGTATTCAGACAGATGCGTGACTTGGGAGTAGATGGGGCCAACTTGTGCATTCACTGGCTCTGCTCAGTGCTTAAGTTCAAAATCTTCGCTGGGGGAAGCCTGAATTTCTATCAGAGTCATAGGGGCCCAAGACGGAAATCCTCCCACTGCTAAGGACAGGGCTGAAGCAAGCTTCAGGGAGCGTTCTTCTTGTGGAGCCTTAATTCCTAGCAAAGGAGGACACTTCCTGCCTGGTTTCTGTTGCAAGAATGCAGGAGTAGGAAGAAGGGATTTAGAATGACAAAAAGATGGCTCTGAAACACAGCTGTCTGCCTGAGATAGTTCAAAGAATCCACACAAGTTTTCCTTTCCACTGATTCATTTGTATAGTTCCTACCAGGAAATAAGTACCATATAAAGAGCGACTAGCTTACTTGTAGAAATACATTTAAGATTCCTATGCCAAGAGCATTTAACCCCAGCTACTCAGGAGGCTCACGTGGGGGATTACCTGAGCCTGGGAGTTTGTGGTTGTAGTGTGCCATGACTGCACCTGTGAATAGTCACTGCACTACAGCCTAAGCAACAAAGTGAGATCCTATCTCTAAAAAAAAATTAATTAAAAGAAAAATATTCCCTTTGGGAGGCCGAGGCGGGTGGATCATGAGGTCAGGAGATCGAGACCATCCTGGCTAACAAGGTGAAACCCCGTCTCTACTAAAAATACAAAAAATTAGCCGGGCGCGGTGGCGGGCGCCTGTAGTCCCAGCTACTCGGGAGGCTGAGGCAGGAGAATGGCGTGAACCCGGGAAGCGGAGCTTGCAGTGAGCCGAGATTGCGCCACTGCAGTCCGCAGTCCGGCCTGGGCGACAGAGCGAGACTCCGTCTCAAAAAAAAAAAAAAAGAAAAATATTCCTATGAAGCTTTATGTGTGTGTGTGTATACACATATACAGTATACATTTATCCTATTTAAGCAAATTTCCTATTTATTAAAAAGATGTCAGTGAAAAATTCCAAAATTGCTGATGGGAGTATAAATTGGGATAACTTATTTGAAGGGCAATTTGGCAATATTTACCTAAATTACAAATGTATATCCTCTCTGACCTATCAAGTCTACTTCAAAGTATTTAACCTGATAGATCTGTGCATGTGAAAAATTATGCATGTGCAGGATTATTACTGAAACATCAGAACAGGGAAAGAATGAAACAATCTAAGTGTTCATCAATTAAAAAGTAGGATAAATGATATACCCATGCAATATACAATACTACACAGCCTTAAAAAGGAACGAGGAAGTGCTCTATGTCCAGTTATGCAATGATTCCCAAGGTACAATAACTGCTGAATTAAGCAATGAACAGAGTAGGTTAGATTAAAATACTACTAACAATGAAAGTATGAAAACAGTATATAATGTATTCTTGCCGAAAAAACCAACTTGATCAACCTTCCAGATCAAACTACCATTTTACAGGAAACACAAGGTAGCAGGAAACAGCATGGGGATGCAATCAGTAAAATCTAGAGCCAGAGAAATGCTAAAGAACAAAGACCCAGTTTCTCCACAAATAAAATACAAAGAAAACAAAATATAAATTTAGAAAGGAAGAACTTACAGATTAAATTCAAATTAAAAGGTATATTAGCCTACTGCTAAGATGGCAACATTGCCAAATTAATCTACAGATTCCAACAATTCCTGTATCAAAATCGTAACTGCCTTTTCTGCAAAAACTGACAAGCTGATCCCAAAATTCATATGGAAATTCGAGACTCCAAATAGCCAAAACAATCTTGAAAAAGAGGAGCCAAGTTGGAAGACTCACACTTCCCAATTTTAAAACTTACTCCAAAGCTATAGTGATCAAGACTGTGTGCTAATGGCATACAGATAGACATATATAGCTCAGTGGAAGAAGAGAGTCCAGAAATAAACCCACACATTTATGGTCAACTGATTTTTAAAAAATATAAACCACTGAGTCGTATCCTTTTAAAGGGTGAATTTTATGGTATGTGAATTATACCTCAATACTTTTTTAAAAAAAAGCCATAGTAGCCAAATATAATGTCTGGTCCTTGCTAAGATCATAATTTTTTTTTTTTTTTTTTTTGAGACGGAGTCTCCCTCTGTCACCCAGGCTGGAGTGCAGTGGCGTGATCTCTGCTCACTGCAAGCTCCACCTCCTGGGTTCAATGCCATTCTCCTGCCTCAGCCTCCCGAGTAGCTGGGACTACAGGCATCCGCCAGCACACCCAGCTAATTTTTTGTATTTTTAGTAGAGACGGGGTTTCACCGTGTTAGCCAGGATGGTCTTGATCTCCTGACCTCGTGATTCACCCGCCTCGGCTCCCAAAGTGCTGGGATTACAGGTGGGAGTCACCGCGCCCGGCCAAGATCATAATTTTTAAAAAGAAAAAACTTTTTTGAGACAATTGGAGAAAATACTAACTTAATATTCGATAATATTTGGTAATTACTGTGATTATTATTATTATTATTTTTGAGACAGAGTCTCGCTCTTGTTGCCCAGGCTGGAGAGCAATGGTGCAATCTCGGCTCACCGCAACCTCTGCCTCCCAGGTTCAAACGATTCTTCCGCCTCAGCCTCCTGAGGAGCTGGGATTACAGGCATAGCCAGCAGCCCGACTAATTTTGTATTTTTAGTAGAGACAGGGTTTCTCCATGTTGGTCAGGCTGGTCACAAACTCCCAACCTCAGGTGATCTGCCTGCCTCAGCCTCCCAAAGTGTTGGGATTATAGGCATGAGCCACTGCGCCTGGCCTGTGATTATTAATATAATGGTACTGTAATTGTTAAAACAAAGAAACAAAATAAGAACTTGTATTTGCTAGAGACATATATTAAGAATTATGAATGAAATGATATAATGTCTGGAATTGTCACAAAATATTACAGTTGAGAGATATAAATGAAATAAAATTGGCTATGTGTTAAAAACTGCTGACTGGGTGTGGTGGCTCACACCTGTAATCCCAGCACTTTGGGAGGCCGAGGCAGGTGGATCACTTGAGGCTAGGAGTTCGAGACCAGCCTGGCCAACATGGCGAAATCCCGTCTCTACTAAAAATACAAAAATTAGCTGGGCGTGGTGGCACATGCCTGTAGTCCTAGCTACCTGGGTGGTTGAGGCATGAAAATTGCTTAAACCAGGAAGGCAGAGGCTGCAATGAGCCAAGATAACCCCACTACACTCTATCTTGGGTGATAGAGCAAGACCCTGTCTCAAAAAAAAAAAAAAAAAAAATTGTTGACGGTCTTTCCTGTAGGAGATACCTTACAAAGAAAAAAAAAAAATCAGTGAAGCTTGGTAATGGGGGTTTATTATACTTATTCCAACTTCTGAATATTGCTTAAATTATCCATAATAAAGCATTTAAAAGATACATATTTACAATTGCTTGCACATGCATAGAATAGCTCTTGATGGCTACATAAGAAATGTGGCTGGGCTTGGTGGCTCACTCCTGTAATCCCAGCACTTTGGGAGGCCGAGGCAGGCAGATCACTTGAGGTCAGGAGTGCAAGACCAGCCTGGCCAACATGGTGAAATCCTGTCTCTACTAAAAATACAAAAATTAGCCAGGTGTGGTGGCGCACGCCTGTAATCCCAAATACTCGGGAGGGTGAGGCAGGAGAATTACTTGAGCCCAGGAGGCGGAGGTTGCAGTGAGCTGAGATTGAGCCACTGCACTCCAGCCTGGGTGACAGAGTGAGACTCCATCTCAAAAAAAAGAAAAAAAAAAGTATAATTCTGTTTCCCTCTAAGGAGAACTAGATGGAAGAGATACGGGTAAAAGGCAGGCTCCTTTTTTTTTCCCCCAGACTCTTCTTTTTAAAAGTAGGTTCTAGACCAAAAGGGTAACAGCAACAGACCACCACCACTGGTGCTTAGTAGATGCATATTAAAAAGCATCATCTTTTTTTGAGAGAAATTAATGTAAGCCCTGTTGATCGATGGAATTTAGTTCAGAGTCTCAATCCCACATGGAGTTAGAATAAAACTGAAAACACACTCGAATTTCTCATCCCTAATCCAGCCCCAGTAACATTCACCTTCACTTACAAGTTCTTGCCTCTTAATACAGAGGCAGATTTCATCACATAAAAGTAAAAACCAAAGAAGTATACTCCTTGAGATTGTATTAAGCTTCTAGGCTCAATCCAGTACAACAATGAGCAGGAGCCAGGTATTTACCTCCCACTGGTAGCAAACCAGGTGAAATCAAGAAACCTGACATTTGGGGGAAACAGAAAAACACCTTTTGTGAGCAGAGGTGGTATGACCAGGGCCTGGTAAGCACTCCTGGGAGAGTACTATTTTCATTGATCAGTTTCACTGGTTTCTAATATAATAACTTTTGCAGGTATAAAATCCTGCCTGGTATAAACTCTGGCCTGGTAATAAAATCCTGCCTGGCATAAAAAAGTTGGGTAAATTAAGCATAGGTAGGCTTGCTTGAAGACAGAAATGCATTCATTTGCAGAAGCAATGCATTACAGCCCTTTACTGTGGTTCATGTGTATTCTGAGTACAAGGAAGTAATGAAGGCTGCCACCCACCTTGATTCTTGTCATCTGGCTCAGGGTCCGGTTTCAGTCTTTTCACACTGTTGCCACTCTCTGAGCTGTAACAAAACACATGGTGACTTGAGCCATGTCCAATCTTGTGGATCAAAGCTTAGGGAATCAGGAGCTCCAATAACTATTTATATGGGTCTTAGGCAGTCTCAAGAGGCTGGGATGATAAAAATGAATGAAAAGTATTCATTTCAGATTCTTAATCTCCTTCCAATTGCATCATCAGTCATAAAGACAATTTAAACTCCTGACAAATCCAGGAAATAAAGCACTGTATCAACCATCACTTCAACTTCAGATTCTTGGCCGTCTTTATCACTCAAATTGGTTAGAACCACAGATGGATTTCAAGAATATTTAGACATGTTCATAAATGACAAACATTTAGTAATTACAGATTGAAGAAAACATCTTTAGTGACATGCTAGAGATTCTGAGAGTCACCCACAAGATTTTCACTAAAACAATGTATAAGGAATGTATTTCAATGAAGAAAGAAATGATCCCAGAAGGAAGGGACCCCAGAAGGAAGGGGTGGTGAACAAATAAACTGGCAAATACAAATATAAATCTAAACAAATACTGTATCAAAAAATAATGTCTAGTTTGTGGTGTTCAACAGACCATACTGAAGTCACCTCTAAGACTGGGGACATTACTGTGTGTATGTACTAGTTGGTATTTTCTTGCAGGGAGTACACAGCAGGTTCCATTTAAGACTTATGTGGGAGGCCCGGGTGCGGTGGCTGACGCCTGTAATCCCAGCACGTTGGGAGGCCAAGACGGACGGATCACCTGAGGTCAGGTGTTTGACACCAGCCTGGCCAACATGGTGAAACCCTGTCTCTACAAAAAATACAAAATTAGCCAGGCAAGGTGGTGCATGCCTGTAATCCCAGCTACTTGGGAGGCTGAGGCATGAGAATCGCTTGAACCCGGGAGGCACAGGTGTGCCAAGATTGCGCCATTGCACTCCAGCCTGGGCGACAAGAGTGAAACTCCAGCTCAAAAAAAAAAAAAGAAAAAGAAAAAGAAAAGAAAAAGAAAAGAGAATCAGAGTATACAAAACCACATGCAATTAAGTTGGAAATCAATGACAAAAGAGAAACATATTTTGCAGCCTCTAAGACACTGTTATATATATATATATATATCATCATAAGGTGTTAAAACGTGTGTGGCGAGGGGGAAGGCTTATCTTTCCCCTCACTGAAATATGGTTGTTACCTCAATATGGAGATTTAAAAAATACATTTCTAAATAATTCCTGAGTCAAAGAAGAAATCATAATGGATATTTTAAAATACTTAGAAGGAAATATAAAACTCATATACAATGAAAGTTAAGGAAAATTTATAGCTTCAGATGCTCATAACTAAAAAGACTGCACATTCATGAACTAGGTATCTGACAGTTTTTTCTAACAATAAATAAAAGAATAAACTAGAAGAGAGTAAAGAATATTCCTTTGAAGAAGGTAAGAAATTGCTGCTTGTTTTGGTCTTATGCTTCATGACATATACATGCCAATGGCTTCCAGACCTTCACCAGGCAGCAGAATCACTCATGGAACTTTGAAAACTACGACTCCCAGACTTCACTTCAAACTTACTGAACCAGAATTAGTGCAAGGCCTGCGAATATAAATTATTAACAAACTCCCAGGTGATTCCAATAAACTCAGGGTCGGACAGATTAGGAACTCCTGCCCCAGGAGACTACCTTACTACACAAAGAAACATTAAATGATGTTGTTTCAAAACCCAAAAGGGGTTATATGCAGGTCACCAAATACGCTACTACAGAGCCTTTTCTAAAGGTGATCTAAGAACTAAGGGAAACAGTTACAACACCCATTCTGCGACCACCAAGAGCAGTCTCAAGGGATAACAAATTGATCACCTGGAGAGCCCTCCCTTGGCATATTCCAGTAAAACTGACCCAGGTCCAAATCCTGCGAGTCCCTAGTCTTGCAGGAAAGCTTATGTGAGAACTTGAAAGGAATAATTCATGGTTTGGGTAGCGAGCCCTTCTCAGGATAACTCCTCCCCTCTGTTGCTATACCAGCATGACATTTTTACATGTAGGCAGTGTTCCTAAGAACATCTGCAGCAGATGGGTGGTGTGCCAAACCACAAGACTGCATCAATACACTCCCTTCAAAACATATGGCTGGTTGCCAATATATCATATTGATTTTCCTAATAGACTGCACTTAAACTTATCATTTCGCCCACAGTCTGTTGGGTCAAATCTAAATGACCAGATTCAATCACTCTGATGACATTTCAGGATTTGGAAAGGGAGGAGCAAACATAGCAAAGAACTTATCATAGCCTTGAGACAGTGCTATCACTTCCACATCAATCCAAACCTAGCCACAGCCAGGTCTGTAACCCTGCCAGGGCTGCCATGTTCTTTCAGGACAGGATGCCTTTGCAGCAGCTATTCCCTCTGCTTAGACTGTTCTCTCCCTTGTTGCTTGTCAAAGCCCTAGTTGTCCTACCTAATCAGCATCTTTCCAATGGTTTCCCCCAACCTCCCCAACATGAAGATGCACACAACACCCTCCCAGCAGCATTGTATGCTCCTCCTCCTTGCTCTCAGTACACCCTACACAGATCCTTTCACAAGACTCACTACCTCATTTTTCTAGACAGAAGCCCAAATAATGAACTCTAGCTCTCTGTTTCTCTATGATCTTGCACAAAGAAGGGTCTCAACCTCTCAAACTCTTGGTCTTCTCATCTACAAAACAGGGATTATAATTGTACTTCATAGGGTTGTTGAAGAATACATGGGATTATGCACAGGAAGCACTTAACACAATGCCTGGTGTGGCAGATCCCCACTGAAGAGTAGCTATTATTTATATTTGTTGAATAAGTGATCAGAGAGACGAGGGTCAAAGCCTATAGAAGGCCTCAAATCTGGAAAGGGAGAGATAGGTGAGCACACCAAGGGAACTTCACCAGGACTCACGCGAGGCAAGCGTTGGCTCTGGCTTCCATTACAAGTGGTGTTTCAGAGTACACGGTCAGAGAGAAATCTGAGTTGTGTGAGTGCTGACTAACCTCTTATGCTTCACAGCTCCTGCCAACAGCTTCGCCTGGGAGAACTTGTTCTTGGTTTCTATAGGCTTCACAGTCAGTTTCTTTTCCACTTCCTTCTTGTTCTCTTGAGAAATTCCAACCTTCTTGAGGTTATTGTGAGTTACCAGTTAAGGGTCAAACTAAGCAAAAGGGAAGACAACAAATATAACCCACTAGCCCTTCGGCTGTGCGATGTAATGTCTGGCCTACTTATTTAAATAAATGCCCCACCCTTCTTTATTCTGCCAGTCAAATCCAGCCAATTCAAAGATAAATGAAAGAGACCATGGAGGAAGACAGCATATAAAGCCCAAAATAATACAGATAAGCAACCTTTTCCTCTGATTCTCAATGAAAATCTGAGCATAGCCACAAAACCCACTATTACCAAGGACATGGCCAATATCATGCTTGATGAGGAAAACAGATCTTAAGGAATATAAAGAAAACAGAAAAAAAAATGTGGCTTCCCTGAAAACATGCTTCCCCCTTCAAGGGTTAAATCAAATTTTGCAGAATGTTGTTCTGACTATCAGTGGCAATTAATCTTAGACATCACGAAGACTAACTCCTGCTCCACTGGTGCAAGGAAACATCAGAATCACCCCAAGGCTCATTAAACATGTCAAGTCCCTCCCTGCCCCAAACCTACTGAATGAGACCTCTAGAGGCCCGGGAGTTTGTTTTAAACACTCTCTGAAGGTGATTTTACACTTGATCTTAGCCAAAAGGCCAAGAAACAATCAAAGGTGATTTTAATGAGAAATCCTGTGCATATATACAAGAACTGAAAAGCTATTTTTAAAAGCATGACCAGTTCGCTTGTAACATCAGTTTTTCGTTCTTGATGCCAATCTCTGGCTCTCAACTTTTTACTCTTTTGAAGTGAAGAAAGGCCCCATATTTTTGTCGGGGAGGTCACTTTCACTTGTTCCCTCCACCAGCCCTCCCTCCTCTCCCTCCACTTCTCCCTCCGTTTTATGCTCTCTCTTGAAACGTCTTAGACAACAGATAAGTATTCTGACACAGTGCAAGTCCTTATTTAAGATGCACTAGTGCCTGGAACAATAGTGACATCTAGTGCCCAGGAAATCTAAGAAGCATGAATTATCAGCCCAAAAAGGTGGGTGGAAGTAGAGGATGTATGGTTAAGGTTATTTATCTACGTGTCTTTGAACAATGGAGAAAATCCTAAGATTTTCCAGAAATCCTAAGATTCTAATTCTAATCACTCTCCAGGCAACTAACTCTGTTCTTATGGGCACAAGTTACCTTAAATATTTGCAGTATGCAATGGAAATTAGATATAATGCTTAGTACTATTATGAGTTTAATGAATTTAATGTTTTTAGGGTCATCATGGAAATAGATAATGTTAATACTCATTTTTATTTAAAAAAAAATAGATTGGCCAGGCACAGTGGCTCATGCCTGTAATCCTAGCACTTTGGGAGGCCGAGGTGGGCAGATCAACTGAGGTCGGGAGTTCAAGACCAGCCTGACCAGCATGGAGAAACCCTGTCTCTACTAAAAAGACAAAAAATTAGCTGGGTGTGGTGGCACATTCCTGTAATCCCAGCTAGTCGGGAGGCTGAGCCAGGAGAATCGCTTGAACCCGGGAGGCAGAGATTGTGGTGAGCTGAGATCGTGCCACCGCACTCCAGCCTGGGTAACAAGAGCGAAACTCTGTCTCAAAAAAAAAAAAAAAAAAAAAAAAAAGATTTCATCTTTCTAGGAGAGAATGCCAAAAAAAAATTAGCATGTTGTGATTTTTTATCTGCAACTCCATCATTAGGAGACAGAAGTTCTCAAAACTCTCAATATTAAATATTAAAAAAAAACAAAAATGGAAAAAAAACACAACAAAAGCATGTATATATTTATACATTATTTATACCACGACATAGACAAAACCCAACATTTAACTTTTTATTCTTTTGAAATGAAGAAAAGTCCTAACCTTTTAGGGGTAGGGGGTGTTAATAATCTTATTTTTGATCCGCAAAGTACAAGCAATTTTTCCTTCTTAAGCCCCTCTTCTCCCAAAATGCTTTAAAAACACAAACACACCTCAAAAATCTCAAGAAATTCATTAGATCAGCATTCTCTTAAAATTGCACCGTTTTTTAACATACACAATACTGCTAAATACTGGTTTAACCTGAGACGAAACAAGAGTTCTGTTATTTACATGGTTTAAACCACAGCTTATTTGTATTCAGAAGTATCCTATTATACAACATATCATATAGTAATCAAGCAAAGCCTAGAAACAGTTCCTAACTTAGAGCTTCAATAAACAAATGTCTAATCCTTCAATTCCTATCTCAACATGTCTCTGGCTACTTGCATGCTTGGGATTAGTGTATTAGATGTCAGTGACTTGGAAGGCCTGCTTTTCTTCAGTTTTTCTAGACAGAACTTTCCAAGTTTCCAGTTAAAGCCCTTATCCCTGGAGCCTCATTGTACTGCAATGTTACCAGGACACAAAGGTTTCTTTTGTCTCACTGCTGCCCTGTTCATTCTTTCCTTTTAATTGAAAACCAAAGGGCATCTCACACTCAACAGCACTTCTCCCCAGATGCTACTTTGGGGGACACTATATGTCTTATTTGCTAGTCTACCAAAATAAAACATAATATCATTCAAGTGAGAAGTGTAATGAATGTATTTCCTTAGAGGAAAAAGCTTGGTGTCTGAAACAACACAATATGGGTATCTGCCTATCTCTACAAACGAACACATATTATTTTGGGGTCATCAGGGTCAGGGAAGGGGGAGTTCAGAATAATCAGCCTCAATCCTACAGTTGAGATTGAGGTATAACTTCCCATGAGCTTCCATCTCCATGTTGCACCTGAATGCCAGTAACAGAACTGGGACTGGAAGCCAGGTCTTTTCCTACCAGTTCTGATGTAAATCAATTCCCAGGGAATCAGGGAATCTGTCCATGTCTTCTCCCATACAACGCTTTTTTTTTTTTTTTTTTTTAAGATAAAGTCTTGCTCTGTCCCCAGCCTGGAGTACAGTGGCGTGACCTTGGCGCACTGCAATCTCCACCTTCCAGGTTCAAGCGATTCTCCTGCCTCAGCCTCCTGAGTAGTTGGGACTACAGGCACAAGCCACCATGCCCGGCTAATTTTTGTATTTTTAGCAGAGACAGGGTTTCACCATTTTGGCCAGGCTGGTCTCAAACTCCTGACCTCAAGCGATCCTCCTGCCTCGGCCTCCCAAAGTGCTGGAATCAAAGGCGTGAGCCACTGTGTCCAGGCCTCCCACGTAACTCTTAAAATGGAATGTGCTGCACATTCTCTGCAAGAAAATACCAACTAGTACATATACACAGTAATGTCGTCCATCTTAGACGTGAAGCCTGTTGGATTACACCAGTGATGTTACTCAACATATAAGCTTGAAATATCCAAATAAGCTTCCTCACATGAAGATAAATGGTCCTATTAATATCTCCTATGAATCATTTATTAATTTATTCACATATTTACTGAGAATCTACTATATGCCAGGCACTGGAGAAATCAGAAGTGACCAAGTCAGATAGTCTTTTTTCTTATGGAGCTCATTTACTTTACATTCTAGCAGGAAAGAGATAAACAAACCAGTAGGCAAATAAATAAAGACAACTTTCAGATAGTGACAAATCTATAAAAAATGATATTACTTGCTGGGTGCGGTGGCTTACGCCTGTAATCCCTGCACTTTGGGATGCTGGAGTGGGCGGATCACCTGAGGTAACGAGTTCGAGACCAGCCTGACCAATATGATGAAACCTCGTCTCTACTAAAAATACAAGAATTAGCTGGGCGTGGTGGCATGCACCTGTAACCCCAGCTACTTGGGAGGCTGAGACAGGAGAATCGCTTGAACCCGGGAGGCGGAGGTTGCAGTGAGACGAGATCGCGCCACTGCAGTCCAGCCTGGGCAACAAGAGAGAAACTCCATCTCAAAAAAAAAAATTGATATTACCGACAGCAATTTTAGGTGGGGTGCTTAGGGAAGGTTTCTAAAAGGGAGAGCTGAGCAGAGGGCTGAGCTGTGAAATGCATCTTGCAAAATCTGAGGGCAGAACATTTTGGGCTGAGGAAACAGCAAGTCTGAGGCCCTGAGATTGACTCAGAAAGCATGGTGAAAGAGAACATAAAGAAGGCCAGCAGGCTGCAGTACAGTCAACATGAGAAAGAGTGGCTTCAAGATGCAAGAAGGAGGCGGGTTGGCCTAAATAATGTAGAACCTTCTACGGCCTGATACAGAGTAAGACTTTAGTCTAAATGTAAGGGGAACCCACTAGACTGTTTCAAATAGAAAAGTGACATGATGCCATGTATGGTTTTTAAAGTTCCCTTTCTTGTCTAAGGAATAGATTATTGAGGATGAGAGCAGAAACAAACCAATTAGATGGTCACAGGAGTCGAGAAGAAAGTCTACTACTACTACAGTAGCAGTAGATACCAACAATTCAAGAGATTTGGAGTACGTTTTGGAAACAGTTCTTGGCCCAGGCACCTGGAGGCATAGGACTACCAGTTACTGGGACTGGGAGGACCAGAAAAAGAAGAGACTTTGGGGAAGGGCAGTGTGATGAGAGTGGGGGTGATGTGGCACAGTATTGAGAATTTTGATTCAGCCAAGTTTCATTTGGGATGTCTATGAAGACATTCAAGTGGATGACCAAAAGGCAACACTGATCTAGAGCAAAGTCATCTTTGCTGCTTTCTCAGCCCTTCTATCAGGACAGGGCATGCTATACCACTAGAGAACATCTTACTAAGAATATAGGAAAGTTGCTAAACATGTTCTTTTAAAACTCAGAGCCCAATTTCTCCCCTGGATGAAGCTGACTGCACTGCCCACCTGTGTCAGAATCTAATCCCAGTACTAGTAGGATTGATGCCTTGAGTTAACCCTAAGAAGGATGTGGACTTTTGACTATAACACTCTTGCACACAACACAAACTCCACAAACCACTACCAGCTTTTCAGAATTACAGGAATATCAGTGTTCAAAGGGACTTGAGAGATCACCAGGTAGAAAACCCTCTTTCTGTTGATGAGGAGACAACATCCATAGATGCTGATGAGAAAATGGACACCTTACAGGTTTTCCTCCAAGTACAAAGGATATTCTGTATTCCTTCAGTTCTTTCAGTTCTTCTTCTCTTCGTTGCTTTTCTATTAGTTCCTGCTGTCGAGAAACCTCATCAAGGAAGTTGGTCTCATCTTCATCTAAGCCTCTTACCATGTTTTCTGAGGAAATAATTAAACAAGGCACACTTAGCAGGCTAAAGGGAAAAATAAGATTTTTCCTTTCCCCTTTTTAAATAAGCAGCAGATTCTTCAGGGGATTAAAAAAAAAAGAACTGGTAAATACCATGGCGTTTGAATAGATAACAGGGCATAAAAAAAAACAAGGCATTTTTTCCCATTACTAAATATTACCATAGAATTAAAATGGGTGTTTTGAGCTCTAAACAAAAATATTCAATGTGGTCTAGAAGGCTGAAGGCTGTCTCTTTTCCACCAAATAAGCATCCGGAGACTCGAAAATCAAGACAATTCCACGGCTAGTTAGGAAAAGTGCTGCACAAGGCAAAAGTGCGTCAAAAGTACCCCACAGAGCCCCTTGAACTCTCTGTTTTCTGAAGCTTACTGAATTTGAACTGTTCCTCGTACTCCTGCTGCTTCCTGTCCTTCTGTTCCTGTAGCCTTTCATATAGAGATCGAGGGTCATAAACCTCCTCTGGACATTCTGAAAGGAAAAGGAGAGGGGAGAGAGGTGGACGGGGAGGAGATATACACTTCAGATTGTTTTCATATTATTTTGGAATCACAAAAGGTTTTAAAGACAAAGTCAAGTCTCTGCATGATCTGAGGGTGTGGATAACACAAAAATAGTACAAAGTCCAGTTTCCCTTTGGACCTCAGAGAGGGGCCACCAGTTCTCAAAGCCAACTATCAATGTCAATAGCGCCCATGGCCTGAGACAGTTAACTGATTGAGGGGCCAGCCCAAACCCTCCACAGCAGCAGTGTTCTCAGTTGTTCAGACCATGGATCCACCTGTATAGATGGAGGAGAGGAGCAGAATCTCTTGGAAGGAAGTGTGGTAGGCAGAAAAGAAGCAGGATGTGAGTATGCTGGCTCTGCTCCCAGCTGTGCAGGACCTTACATAGGTGACTTCGCCCCTGAGTCTCAGTTCCTCAACTCTAAAGTATGGACAATTGGCCAGGCATGGTGGCTCACACCTGTAATCCCAGCACTTTGGGAGGCCGAGGCAGGAGGATGGCTTGAGCTCAGGAGTTTGGAACCAGCCTGGCCAACAGATGAAACTCCATCTCTACCAAAAATACAAAAATTAGCCAGGCGTGGTGGCTGGTGCCTGTAATCCCAACTACTCGGAAGGCTAAGGCAGGAGAATCTCCTGAGCCTGGGAGGCAGAGGTTGCAGTGAGCCAAGATCGCGCCACTGCACTCCAGCCTGGGCAACAGAGTGAGACTCCGTCTCAAAAAAATAAATAAATAAAACCAAGTGAGGACAATTAATACCTACTCTGCAGGGTTGCTGTGTGGATTAAAGACCATTATACTGACTGTCACAGTATACCTTCTGGATCTTCAGGTTTTCGAACTTTCTCCCATTCTTCTTGCCTCCTTTTGCGCCGTTCATCTAGTTCTGCCTCAGACACAAACCTCTTTTTGATAATAAGGTTACCATCATCCCCTCCATCCATAATGAAACAACCAATCTACAAAACAAAAACAAAAACAAAAAAAATCATTTCAAGTGAGAACTGCAATTAAAATTCTAAAGAGAAACAAGGAGATTTAGCTCCATCTCACCCAGCAACAAACTAAAAATTATCTTCCAACTTTGAATTGAAAAAATTCTCGGCCGGGTGCGGTGGCTCATGCCTGTAATCCTGGCACTTTGGGAGGCCGAGGCGCATGGATCACGAGGTCAGGAGTTCAAGACCATCCTGACTGACATGGTGAAACCCCGTCTCTACTAAAAATACAAAAATTAGCCAGGCACGGTGGCACGCACCTGTAATCCCAGCTACTCAGGAGGCTGAGGCAGGAGAATCGCTTGAACCTGGGAGGCGGAGGTTGCAGTGAGCCAAGATCACACCGCTGCACCCCAGCTTGAGCGACAGGGCAAGATTCTGTCTCAAAAAAAAAAAAAACTCTCAAATAGTTTAATTTATAGGCCATTGATGAAAGCACATGAATACATTTTTCCTGACATATCAGAGAATTTTTATTAACATCGATGTTATCTACACAGTTGGCAAGAGGACCTGGGATAATTCTTATTACCTGGTGTTCCATAGTAAATCTCATATTGCAGCTATTTCTCTGTCCCTCTAATCTAGAAAAATTGGCCTCCTGAGCATCCCATCCTTTTCCCAGCTCTCATCCTCCTTTATTTCTGTAACATCTGACATTGTTTCTTCTTGAAATTCCTGTTTCTGAGACATTACACTATCTTGATTCACCTGCTCTTGCCTCCAAGTAGATTAAGATGGAGAATCTCAGCTATTGAAGACTTAGTGTTCAAGTCCAGTCTGTATAGCAGGGAAGGTGCACAAACCATGAATGGAGAAAGTGAGACTGGAAGAACAGATCTCCCAACTTCAGTTCCACGTACTTTCCTGAATACTAATCTGACTCTTCATTTATATCTCTTCTGACCTTCCTCCCTGTAAACCCCTTGTCTGTGCCATTTAAGATTTGAACTTCAATCCTTCTCTTTTCTCACTCCCACAATCACCTCAACCATTTTATGCATATTTTGACACAGAAGATTACCGAATCTGTTATTTCTACCTGAGCTTTTCTTCAAAGAGGAGAGAAGGAAATAAAGATAGCAGAGTGTATATTACTTATTACTCCTTTTTTTTTTTTTTTTGAGATGAAGTCTCGTTCTGTCACCCAAGCTGGAGTCCAGTGGTGCAATCTCAGCTCACTGCAACCTCCGCCTCCCAGGTTCAAGCGATTCTCCTGCCTCCGCCTCCTGACTAGCTGGGACTACAGGCGTGTGCCAACACGCCCAGCTAATTTTTGAATTTTTAGTAGAGATGGGGTTTCACTATGTTGGCCAGGCTTGTCTCGAACTCCTGAACTCGTGATCTGCCCGCCTAGGCCTCCCAAAGTGCTGGGATTACAGGGGTGAGCCACCGCACCTGGCCATATTACTCCTTTTAAACTAAACCTCTGTTTTTCTTTATTGGTTTCTTTCCTTTTGAGTAACTGTGGAATTAACCCCTACCCAGACATGTTATTCACAGCACTATGTGCTAACAAGGAGGCACATATTCAATCCAATGTCCATTCCAAGATAACCACTAACAACAAAAACAGTAAGTTTCCACGCTACCACAAAAATAAAGCAGCTAACAGTTAATGAGCTCTTACCATGTATTATATTCCTTTTATGGATATTATCTAATTTACATGATCATTGACCCTATGAGAAATATTATCTGTTTACAGATGAAGTTGAGGTCCAGAGGAGTTAGATTATTTGTCTAAGGTGATACAGGTGGTGAATGGTAGAGCTGAGAACCAAATCCAGGCCTGATATCAAAAATGCATACTCTTACCAACTTTACCATACTCCTCCCCAGAAAACACTAAATCTTAGTTGAAAACAAAGACATGTCGACTTCAGCTTTCTTCCTACTTCAAATTCCAGTGCTGAGAATATTCATGCAACATTTTTATTTAGTAAAGCTAGAAATGGAAGCTGAAAAAACAAACCCAAACGTTCAGAACAAGAGAATAGTCTCAGCCTGAATACTACTGTTGCTGAGGTTTAGTTTAATGTAACAATAAGAGCGAATTGTGAAAATTACTAGAAAGAAATGAAATCAACTGACAGACGCTGTTGCTCCCACCTAAAGCCCACAACCTGGACACTTCTGATTTAGCAGCACTCAATGACTCCAGCCAGAGGCTCATTACTGAAGCAGAACTGTTCAGTCTCTGTGAAAATGCCAAAAATTCCTCAAGTTCTACAGAACAACCTCTTATGAAACCAGAGCCAACAATTTCTTAAATGTCTCTGGCAGAGAAAACGTGAACTTTCTAGGGCTCTAATGGTTGGGAGAGACATTCCGAACCCTCAATTTCCCCCTTTCTTATCCCCTATTAACCGTGTCTCCTTTCTCATCCTGTATTAATCATCTGGTTTCTTTCCATCACCCATTTTTCCTAGTAAATAATTCAGGGTGGGATAGTCCTTATAGCCCACCTAATATGATAATCCACTCGACATCTGAATTTACCATACACACCCAGGAGAAGGTCATCCAACTCATATATTAAAACTTCAAGAGGGACCACTGCATTCCCTTCCTAGGCAGCCAACTCCCTCTCTAAGCAGATTTGACTGTTAGGATAGTTCTTCCTTAAACTGAACTGAAATCTGTTTTACTATAAATTCAATACATAGGTTCAATCCACTGGGACTATACAAAAAGAATCAAATCTTTTCTAACATGACCATACTTCAGTTGTTTGAAGACAATTCCCATGTTCCTCCTAATTTGTTGCTTTTCTGAGCCAAACATTCCTAGTTACTTTAATTTTATAAGATGGAGAAAAATAATCATGTCTGAAGGAAATGAATTTATCAGATTAGATATGATTTAAACCTGGGAAATAAATACTAGGATACGGCAATGCCATTGGTGTCCCAGTAAATGTCTCTCTTCATTCTTGTTATATATATATAATTTTTTTTTTTTAAGACAGAGTCTCGCTCTGCCGCCCAGGCCGGAGTGCAGTGGCACGATCTTGGCTCACTGCAACCTCCGCTTCCCAGATTCAAGCGATTCTCCTGCCTCAGCCTCCTGAGTAGCTGGGATTACAGGTGTGTGCTACCATGCCCGGCTAATTTTTGTATTTTTAGTAAAGATGGGCTTTCATTATGTTGGCCAGGCTGGTCTCGAACTCCTGACCTCAGGTGATCCACCGGCCTTGGCCTCCCAAAGTGTTGGGATTACAGGTGTGAGCCACTGCACCCGGCCTATATTTTTAAAAGAGAAAATTTAAAAATCTTCCAATATGCCAAAAACAACAACAACAACAATAAAAACAAACCCTAGAATTTTACATTTCTACCTAAATAAGAATTCAGAGAGCCTCCTGGGCTCAAGCAGTTCTCATGCCTCAGCCTCCCGAATAGCTGGGACTACAGGCATGCACCACTACACCTGGCTAATTTTTTTTTTTTTTTTTTTCGTGAAACAGGGTTTCACCATGTTGCCCAGGCTGGTCTCAAACTCCTGGACTCAAGCAATACAATCTGCCCACCTCAGCCTGCCAAAGTGCTGGGGTTATAGGCATGAGCCACTGTGCCCGGCCTACAATCTTTTATACACAGGGACAAAACCAGAAATCAGTTGGTTAATGAAAATAAGAAATAAAGTAAATGCATATTTAAAAAAAAAATTTAAAGGCAAGCGTTGCAGGGGAAAGAAAAATACAAGAAATGTATTTCTCATCAGCTCTCAGTGGGTTGGTGTCCTGAAAACACAGTCACACTGTCAAAACTAATGCACACTTACAAAAGTCTGCTCTTTAAAACTAATATCTTAATTCAGGCTGGGCATGGTGGCTCATGCCTATAATCCCAACACTTTGGGAGGCCAAGGCAGGAGGACCAGCCTGGGCAACAAAGTGAGACCCCCCATCTCTACAAAAAATTTAAAAAACTAGCCAGGCATGGTGATGTGTGCCTGTAGTCCCAGCTACTCACAGGCTGAGGTGGGAGGATCATTTACTCCAGGAGGCTAAGGCTGCAGTGACCCATGATCGCACCACTGCGCTCTAGCCTGGGCAACAGAGTGAGACCCTGTCTCAATAAATAAATTAATTAATTAGTAATAAAACTAATATCATAATTCTGGCATTCCCTTGATCCCCAAATAAAGAAAATAAGCCAAGTTAGATGGACACACATAGTAATAAATTTCTGTAAGTTTAAAAAGACTAGACTAAAACATAGACTGCTTTATGCATCTTTTTTCAAATTAGCATTTTCTTCTGTAGGTCTTCATTCTCTGCATGGCTTTGCTCAGGCTGTTCCCTCTGCCAGGAATGCCCTTGCTTTCTTTTCACCCGATGCAAACTGCTGCTCCAACCGCCCAGAATCAGACTAAAGACCATCTCCTTTATGAAGCTTTCCAAGACCTCCTAGAGTAGTTAATATGTATTTCCTTCCTTTGTGTTCCTGCTATGATCATTCATAACTCTACTACAGCCCTTATTCTTTGTGTTTTATCATCTGTGACTGTTCCAACAGCTCTTTGTCTCCACAGTGCTTATTATTATTAGCACAGTGTCTGGCATATATTAGGTATTCAAATACTTACTGAATAAACCAACCACGAGGAGCTGAAGAATCTGAGCAGGGAGGAATGAACTCACATGAATATTCCTAGGTACTGTGCAATGTAAGTTATAGAGATTGGTAGCCATCAAGCAAGTATTTGCTGAAGTGTCAGTATCATGGGAATTCTATTCAAACGCCATACAATTTGTGCAGTAAGAAACAAAGGACTAAAAATTAAATCTCTTTACTATATTATATAATTGATGTCATCTTTCAAAAATAACTGCTACTTTCCGTTAATTTCAACTGATTAAAAATGGTCACTTATCCTGCGAAAGCAGTACTTGATGGAGACAGCGTTTTTGTTTGAAGAGTCCAATGGCTGTTTATTCTGCAAGAAAGAGGTGATAAGTACCTGTAACTTACTGACCTGCTGGAAGTAGACAAAGAAGCTAGAAAATTAGATTGTGTTGACTTCTAATTCCTATTGTCTAGGTAAATTTTCACAAGTCTCTTCTTTTTCCCTTTTGTTTGCTAGGGTAATTAAAAACAAATCAAAAGACAAACAGCCCAGGGATATCAGGGATACGGGCTCTAACTGTGAAGAGCCCTGTAGGAATGCAGAGGACTTACATTAGGAATGCTTACTTTGTCCTTACTGTGTTCCACTTTAGAAAGAGTAAACAAATGCTGTCAGCTTTCCTTTACTCACGTTTTCCAAAGTGACTCAAGTTTAATTATCAAACTAAACATTACATTATTTTTTAAAGGATTTATTCAATTTCTTCAAATAGGGAATTCATGGAAAACTAAAACCATTTCAAAATTCACTTTGTCCACCAAACTTAGAGTCCAAATTGGCACAAATAAAGAACGTGGTTTTCAAATCTGCCTGACCGTCAAGAAAACAAAGTTCTTATATTTCAAGCCAAAGTAACTGGTAACACTGAACTACTGGGTTTACATTGGAGACCGTCCCATTTAATTTCCAGGGTGGTGGGACAAAATGGGCTCAGTTCTTACATAGCACACTACACATGTTTTAAAATACAAAACTTACATTGTTGCTCCCCAAATAATTGCTATTCCTAACTTGAAAAATGACTCCATTTAGCTAGTGCCATGACACAAAGTAATGAGATCTGGTTTCCTATGGAATTGAATTATGTGATGGCAAACTACTTGAGTGTTTACATCACTGGCCACCATATCCTTCTAATTCTAAAATTAATTAGATTGTACATGTTAAAACACACCAGAATCAGGTTTCTGTGTTCTGTTGTTTTAAGGCTTCACTTTCAGTAGCAAAAGCAATAGGTCAATCCATTTCCTTTTGTGAGTAAATATAGATTATTGCTTTCCAACATTTTTTACTCTGATGTTCAAGTCACACTGTACTTCAAAATGCAGGACAGCAACTAAGAGGAATTTGCCATCTGGCTAACTCATCTATATTTCAAATAAAGACTTATTTCTGGCCAGAAGGCACTTCTACCAAGATACAGTTATTTAGATTTTTAAAAATTTAGCTGACTTTTCCTATATCATAAAATTTATTTAGAGAACAACAACTACTAACAGAGAGCCCGCTGTTAGTATTTATTACTAGGCAAAGTGAAGTCAATCTTCTAACACCAAAGCTTAATTAACATATTCCGGTAGCAAAGGAGACTAAAAGAATCTAAAAACTAAACCACAGAAAAAGAAATTTAATCCATATTTTAAATGTTTATCATAAGGAGCAATTTGCAATAACCTTTCAGGCATCTATGAAACACATACAATAAAAAATTCAGCTTTGCAATAATCTTTCAGGCATCTATGAAACACATACAATAAGAAATTCAGCCAGGCATGGTGGCTCACACCTGTAATCCTAGCACTTTGGGAGGCTGAGGCAGGAGGATCGCTTGAGGTCAGGAGTTCAAGACCAGCCTGGCCAACAGGGTGAAACCCCATTTCTACTAAAAATACAAAAATTAGCTGGCTGTGGTGACATGTGCCTGTAATGCCAGCTACCTGGGAGGCTGAGGCAGGAGAATCGCTTGAACCCAGGAGGCGAAGGTTGCAGTGAACTGAGATTTCACGCCGCTGCACTCCAGCCTGGGCAATAGAGCAAGACTCCGTCTCAGAAAAAGAAAAAAAAAAAAGAAAAGAAATTAAGGCCTGGTGCACTAGCTCACACCTGCAATCTGAGCACTTTGGGAGGCCAAGGCAGGATTGTTTGAGCCCAGGAGTTCAAGACCTGCCTGGGCAAGATGGTGAGACCCCAACTCTATTAAAAACAAACAAACAAACAAACAGACAAACAGGCTAGGCACAGTGGCTCATGCCTGCAGTCCCAAAGCTGTGGGAGGCCAAGCTGGGAGCATCACTTAAGGCCAGGAATTTAAGACCAGCCTGGGCAACACAGTGAGACTCTCTCTCTACAAAAATATTTAAAAATTAGCCAGGTGTGATGGTGCACTACTTAGGAGGCTGAAGTGGGAGGAAGGCTTCAGCCAAGGAGTTCCAGGCTACAGTGAGCTATGAGGGCCATTGCACTACAGCCTGGGCAACAGCACAAGACCGACCTTGCCTGGCGAGGGGGAAAAAAAAGAAGTTAAAAAAAAAGTATTGATTTATTTATCTTTCCATAGCACAAGGGCAGGGTCTCAAATGTGCATTTATCTTGAATTCACCTATACACACTAGAAGAAAGATAACTAATTTAAATATCGGTTCCCTTAGCTGATCCTCATTCACATGCACCTCTCTGAATATAAATACTTCCCTCACTATGCATGAATGATTGTATTCATTGTATTTTTTACATATTGTGACTCCTAAATACAAACCAACAACTTCATCTGGGGCTCACAGGAAGAAAAACAGCAGTTTTTTCCAAAGCCGAAATAAAACTTGCCTGAGGATATAGAGAAAAAAAAAACCCAAACCAAACCAAAGCATTTTTGCTATTCTCTCACTCAACAATCAACACAGTATAATTCTGTGAGGGATATGTCCCCACACACCAAGCAACCAACCAATTCTGTAGCAGACACCAACCAGCTGGGTGTCCTCTAATTCAGTTCAATTCTGACACTACCTACCTGGATGGAGACCGCGTCAGATCCCATAGGTTGAGGGGTGAGTCCCACAAGACTAGCCTCCATTTTAGATACCAACCACAAGAATCAGGTTGTTTTACCTGTAGTTCTAACCAACTGGCTATTAATCAGGGTTCCCATGACCCCCTCCTTAGGTTCTATTAATTTGCTAGACCAATTCACAGAACTTAGAGGAACTTAGAGGAACACTTTACTTACATATACTGGTTTATTATAAAAGCATATTACAAAGGATACAGATGAAGCAATGCATAGGGCAAGGCATGTGGGAAGGGCACAGAGCTTCCATGCACTCTCTGGGGCACCATCATCCAGGAACCTCTCATGTCCACCTATCCAGAAGCTCCCCAATCCCAGTCTTTTGGATTTTTATGGAAGCTTCATTACTTAGACATGACTAATTAAACCAGTGACGCTGGTGGTCATCAGCTCGTCTGCCTTCTCCTCTCCCCAGAGGTTGGACATTGGTTGAAGGTCCCAACCCTCTAATCCTGCCTGGGTCTTTCAAGTGACCAGCCCCCATGCTAAAGTTACTTAGGGGCTGCCAGCCATCAGTCAGCTCCTTAGCATATAAAAAGACACTAATCATTTTGGAGATTTCAAGGATTATAGGAGTCATATGCCACAGGAGACAGGGATGAAGGCCAAATATGTATTTTACAATATCACACTGGCCATGTCAGAGTTCTGCAACACTGGTATTCCTACAATTAACATGCTGCCTCCCTGAGATTTCAAGGGTAGCTTTGCTTGTAAGCTATTTTGTCATCTAGGCTCGCTTCAGAACCTAACCCACACCTCAAGTCATACTCCATCCTCCCTCCCCCCACCCTATATAACTCCACTTCAAGACCAAATTAAAAACAAAATAAAACAAAAAAACGCAGTCCCAGTTACTCAGGAGGCTGAGACTGGAGGACTGCTTGAGCCTAGGAGTTCAAGGCCAGCCCGGGCAACATAAGGAGATACCCATTTCCCTTAAAAAAAAAAAAAAAAAAAAAAAAACTTTGCATTACAATAACCAGACAAGGCCAACTAAGATTTTTTTTTTTTTTTTTTTTGGCGCAGTGGCTCATGCCTGTAACCCTAGCACTCTGGGAGACTGAGGCAGGTGGATCACCTGAGGTCAGAAGTTCGAGACCAGCCTGACCAACATGGTGAAACTCCGTCTCTACTAAAAATATGAAAATTAGCCAGGCGTAGTAGCACATGCCTGTAATCCCAGCTACTCGGGAGGCTGAGGAAGGAGAGTTGCTTGAACCCGGGAGGCGGAGGTTGTAGTGAGCCGAGATCGCGCCACTGCACTCCAGCCTGCGCGAAGTGGGCGAGACTCCATCTCAAAGAAAAAAGATTTTTGAAGCAAATATTTACCGAGAACCTATTATGTGCAAGATACAATGCTATGTACTAAACAGGCAACTGAGGAACTTACACTCATTCAGTAAAAGACATAAGGTTGGCACACAGCAATTTAAGGAAAAGTAAAACTAGGTTACAGGCCATAAGAGGCACTAAGCAGTTCAGAAAGGAAGACTAGAATAAGCATTGGGGAAGCTTAATTTTCATAATGGCTGTGACGATGCACAGTGAAAAGTGGTGGAAATTTTAGGTATATGAAGAATAACCATCTTTAACTTGGAAATCACACAAATTTCACATTCCAAATTTCAGAATACAGGGGGATTTTCATTTCTTGAAATAGTGGGCTAGGTAATTGAAACCAATTCTCCACCTCTGCACTAAATATGCTGGAAATTTGTCAAAAATAATTTTTTTTTTGAGATAGGGTCTCGCTCTGTCACACAGACTAGAGTGCAGTGGCATGATCTCAGCTCATTGCAACCTCCACCTCCCAGGTTCAAGCGATTCTCCTACCTCTGCCTCCCGAATAGCTGGGATTGCAGGTGCCCGCCACCATGACTGGCTAATTTTTGTATTTTTAGTAGAGACAGGGTTTCACCATGTTGGCCAGGCTGGTCTCAAACTCCTGACCTCAAGTGATCTGCCCACCTCGACCTACCAAAGTGCTGGGATTACAAGTGTAAGCTACCACGCCCAGCCAAAAATATTAATTCTTAAATAGAAAAGCTAACAAGATAGTAAAGAATTTGGACACAATCTAGAAGGTGAAAACCAGAAATTAAGCCCAATATTCAAAATGGATTTCATCCTGAGGACTTCTCTGACCTAAAAGCTAAAGTTTCAGTGCCTTTATGAGATAACAGAAACAAGTTCAAGCCAGGAGCCCATCCAGGGAGTGGAGTCTGACAACTACCTCCCTCTCCATCTTAATCTTGTGCCCAAAAGAACTACAGCTTCAAAGTAAAGGTGAACTGGGAAGTAAAACAGCAGGAATAATGGACAACAGAAACAGACTCCCCCAAAGGGAATTCAGACAGTGGAATTAAACATAGAGATTATAAAAACAACTATACTTTCCATGTTTAAAGAAATAAAATTAAGCCTCAAAATAGTAAGAAATAAAAAACTGTAAAAGTGTCACAAACCAAACAGAACTTCAGAAACTAAAAATTGCAATATATGATTTAAGATTTCAGAGGCCGAGTTTAATAACAATGGAAATAACTTGAGAATAAATTATCCAGAATGTACTACGAAAGAACAGAGTAAAAGACATAGAGAAAAGAGTGAAAAGGTTTAGTTAAATCGATAAAAAAAAAAAGAGAAACAATGGGAAGAAGCAATATATGCATATAAAATGGCTGAGAATTTTACAGAATTAATGAAAGACACTAATCCACAGATTCAAGAAGTCTAATAAATACCAAACAAATTGAACAAAAACAAACCCATAGTTCCATAGAGCATAGTGGAAATACAGAAAACCAAACACAAAACAATCTTTTTTTTAAACTTGTCGATACTTGATTTTAGACAAAACAATCTTAACAACATATTCTATAGTAAAGAGTGAAACATAATATTTAAGAATGAAGACAAAGTATGTTCAAAAGGTGACTAATGGTGAACACGTTGAAAATGCTTAATTTAGCTGCCATAAAGGCATAATTACACTATGACTGACCCTGTACGTACATCGCACTTGTTACTTGATTTACCACATACGTGGTTTTCAATAGCTAAAGCAGCAGCTTGATTCTAACCAAGCATCACCATTCTTGGAAGATGAAAGTGAAGACTGATAATCAACTAAATGGTTTTGACACAATTATTCCTTTCTTATATCATGAAGCACTTCCCCACAGGGTAAGGACATGAAGACTTCAGTTGAGAAAGATAATCGGGCAGCCTCTACTTTCAGATCCTTACAAATTGTTCGCAGGTCATCTAACTAAAAGACTGTAAAAGCTGCTGTCGGCTCAATACTTTGTATCAAAAAGGAGTCTACCCACTGATTCCCTTCAAATATTTCAGAAGGGTGCCTTCCATTTTATGGTGTCCCTGTGGACACATGAATACACCAAATAACTGATGAATCGACAAATCTTATGTCACAGGTGGTAGGCAAGAGGTCATCGGGAATTCCGATCACCAGGCTCGCATCTGGCTTCTTGGGTCCCACTCCTGAACTAACCAGTCGGGCTACCCGAGCGTGCGGGAGTCTGAGAAACTGCATTTTAAAAGGGCCCCAGGAGATCTTGTTTTCCACTAACATTAAAGAACCACGACTACGAACAAACAGGTCTCCCCCTTTCCTCTGTGTGGACTGACAGTCACAAGGACCACCAACTCTCAAGCATGACGCTTCAACTCTCTTTGTTTCTTAAGTTTTCTGCAAAACGGGCCAGCTGGCTTGTTTTCCGTAATAGAAAATTCGCTTGGCACAGCAACTGGTACATGGCACACAATAAATGTGCTTCCCATCCTGCACTGCCATTCTGGGATTCAACCATTTCCAACCAGACGCCGCACATCCGAGTGAGTAACCTGGACCTGTTCCAAGACCTCTGGAACGGAGCCTGCTACTCACTTGAAACCTGGGTGGCCCTACCTAGCAGAAAATTGGGGAAACCCCATTAAACGCCCGGCAGTGTTGGGCCCGCCTGAAAGGGTCCTCGCCGCGACCCAGATGCCTTCCCGCGGGCACCCTCAGCTCCCCTCAGGCTGGGCCCGCAAGCCCCAGGCTTCGGCTACTCCGGACAAGGAGCGGGTGCGCGGACTGAGAACAGGCCTGGCCCTAACCCTAACAGCAGCCGCAGCTCATCTCTTCCGTAAGGAAGCTGGAACCCAGGTGTCGCCGCCAGGCCAGGACCGAGGCCGCACTCACCTACCGGCGCGCGGGAGGCGAGACGACCTCACCTCGGCGGCGCCCACCCCAAACCGCCACCGCAGAGCCGCTCGCTCTTAAAAAAGAAAAAAAAATGAAAGGAAGAAAGAAAGAAACAGAGGAAGGAATGAATGAAAGAAAGAAAAAAAAAAAGAAAATAGCCTTTGCTTTTGTATTTCTTTTGACCCTTCAGGGCTTCCTGTTCCTCACCGCCACAATAGAGTCCCGCCCCACTTCCGGCGACGTAACCCAATCCGCGGAGCTCTTCCTCCCCGGGAGCCCGATGGAAATCCGGTACCCTGAAAACGAGCCGGAGAGACTTGATTGGGCCATTCACGCCTCAGGATGAGGACTGGCCAGTCTGCGCCTGGAGGGCGGGCCGGTCCCGCTGATCACGTGACACGATTTTTGAAAGGTGATTGGCTGTCAAGGAGAGGGCTTGCCACCGAGGAAGGGGCGTTTCCTAGGGGACTGAGGGAGGGCTGGGGCGGTACGAAGCGGGGGTGGGCTCTGCGCGTAATGGCAGCGCCGTGGCCTCGCGTCCATCTTTGCCGTTCTCTCGGACCTGTCACAAAGGAGTCGCGCCGCCGCCGCCGCCCCCTCCCTCCGGTGGGCCCGGGAGGTAGAGAAAGTCAGTGCCACAGCCCGACCGCGCTGCTCTGAGCCCTGGGCACGCGGAACGGGAGGGAGTCTGAGGGTTGGGGACGTCTGTGAGGGAGGGGAACAGCCGCTCGAGCCTGGGGCGGGCGGACCGGACTGGGGCCGGGGTAGGCTCTGGAAAGGGCCCGGGAGAGAGGTGGCGTTGGTCAGAACCTGAGAAACAGCCGAGAGGTTTTCCACCGAGGCCCGCGCTTGAGGGATCTGAAGAGGTTCCTAGAAGAGGGTGTTCCCTCTTTCGGGGGTCCTCACCAGAAGAGGTTCTTGGGGGTCGCCCTTCTGAGGAGGCTGCGGCTAACAGGGCCCAGGTGAGAGGCAGCTATCTATCTCCTGGGGTGGCTCCTGGTACCGATGGGGTCCTGACCTACTCAGGGGTGCCCGGGATAGAAAGGGTAGATGAAGGGACGCTTTAGGAGGGTTCTTTTTGTGGAGTTTACGGTCTAGGTGGCACGGATGAGGCATACCTCCCCGGGGAGATTTAGAAACGCCTTGGGATAGAGAGAGAATGGGGCTAGGAAGCAGGAGCTAGAACTAGCGGAATGTCCTACTACGGAAGCCGGAGCTGAAAATTGGGTAAGGACCTTGGGGAGAGGGGATTTCTGGGCGGTGATGGGAAGAAGACACCTCCATCCACAGGAAAGCCAGAGTGGGGAGTAGTGAAAGGGAAACGGGAATTATTCCCTCTCTCTGTAGATCGACCAGGTGTCCCAGACACAGGATCCAACTGCTTCCGGGCTTATTGCCCGAGTGGGGTGGGGAGAGTCTATCCCACCAACACCCCTTGCGTGAGTCCAAATTAGGCATTTGTCTCTCCTGCTGCCTCACTTTCCCCGTCTTTGGGGAGGGAAACCGACTGAGACCGAGGCGGTCGGCTGAGACTCCGAGGTCCTGTCTTGTATAGTTCTCTGAGAGAGGTTGCTCCCCCTGGAGTGTTGTACTTTGAACTTTGAAGGGTTAGAAGTGTCTGTTATCGACTGAGTAGAATCCCGCAGTTTTCCAGGCCCTTTACCTACCATCTGTTCTTGCTTAGTGGAGTGACTTAACCTCCTTAAGTCTCTACTGTAAAATAACCAGCGCAGTATGTGAAAGTACAAATTACAAGCTGCGTGAACGTAAGTTAGTGTGATTCTACCACCAAACGGGTTGCTGTTGAGGAATAAAAGTGAAGGCACTTTCTAAAATGTAAAGTAGTATGTAGAGGTAAGGGGTGGGATTAATACAGTCGTTGTCTGTCACCTGCGGAGTGCTGGGAGCCATATTGTACTGAAAGCTTCAAGGTTCACAGCTTCTTAGGTCATATTAAGATCTAAACCCATGGTTTCAAACCCTGCTTAGATGGGGATGGTGGGATTTCCAGCTTTTGCTCTCAGAGTTTTCATTTACTTTGAACTTCTTATGGTGCTGGCAGGAGTTACCACTGTAATATCTTTTCCTTCAGGAATTATTTTCCCCTAACAGCTGAAATTTTCCTCTAAGTAATTTGATCTCAACATTGTAAACCTCCTCCCCCTTTTGCATATATATATGCATGGCTTTTGGATGTCTACAGGCAGTGAATATCATACTTTCTCCCTCAGTTGTGATTTGTAAAGACTGCCTTTTTTCCTCCACGAATACTATGCGTTGTTGTGGTAGCCCTAGACTATAGATTATGAGGCATGTTGGAAGTTGCTTTTAAATTTCTCTTGCACAGTGGTTCTCTTTATTTTTCCCCTTATGTGGACTTTGCATTTCCTGGGATGGTATCTTGCTTTGTAGATCCCTCTATGAGATTGTAAGAGACTTGTGTCCCTGTATGACATTTTACTAGTGTTTGGTTCGTCGTACTTGTTAGAGATGGTTTTCCAAATATCGGGCAATCATTTCCTGGGATGGTATCTTGCTTTGTAGATCCCTCTATGAGATTGTAAGAGACTTGTGTCCCTGTATGACATTTTACTAGTGTTTGGTTCGTCGTACTTGTTAGAGATGGTTTTCCAAATATCGGGCAATTTATATGGGATTTTTTCCGAAGTAATTTAGTTGTGTTTTTGGTTTTTTTGTTTGTTTGTTTTTTGAGACGGAGTTTCGTTCTTGTTGCCCAGGCTGGAGTGCAGTGGCGCTATCTCGGCTCACTGCAACCTCCGCCTCCTGGGTTCAAGCGATTCTCCTGCCTCAGCCTCCGGAGTAGCTGGGATTACAGGCATGTACCACCACGCCCAGCTAATTTTGTATTTTTAGTAGAGACGAGGTTTCTCCGTGTTGGTCAGGCTGGTGTCGAACTCCCGACGTCCTGTAATCCGCCTGCCTCGGCCTCCCAAAGTGCCGGGATTACAGGCGTGAGCCACTGTGTCTGCCTTTCGAAGTAATTTTTGTACTGCTCTGAATTTTCTGTTTTTGTGATCCTATATTCTGTGGATCTTTTTAAAAACTATAACTGGTGATTGTGAGTTATTTGATCTCCCAGGATGCATGTTGCCCTAACCTACTATTTAATGTCTTTCTATGTTATGCTTTTTTCTGTACTCAGTGACTTTTTTTTTTTTTTTTTTTTGAGACCGAGATTCCCTCTTGTTCCTCAGGCTGGAGTGCAATGGCGCGATCTCAGCTCACTGCAACCTCTGCCTCCCGGGTTCAAGCAATTCTTCTGCCTCAGCCTCCCAAGTAACTGGGATTACAGGCAAGCACCACCCGTGCCTGGCTAATTTTTGTATTTTTAGTAGAGAGGGAGTTTCACCGTGTTGGTCAGGCTGGTCTTGAACTCCTGAGCTCAAAGTGATCTGCCCACCTTGGCCTCCCAAAGTGCTGGGATTACAGGCATGAGCTACTGTGCCTGGCCCTCAGTGATTATTTTCAAGTTATTGATTATAGGAGGTATACCAGCATACTCTATGTGGGCTTCTGCTTTTGTCAGCAAAATAACTTTTCATTTAGTAAGTATCAAAGGGAAATAAAAACTTAGCATTTTGTATAATAGTGTGTTAATCTGTAGTGAATCAGGTAAAAACAACAAATCTGAGTTATGTAGCACTGTGGGGCCTGGAGGCTAAAAAAAAAAAAAGTGTGTTTTGTCAAGAGTTTAACAAACAATTATTCTGTATTTCTTTTTTTCTGTTTTTTCTTTTTCTTTTCTTTTCTTTTTTTTTTTTTTTTGAGACAGGGTCTCATGCTGTCTCTCAGGCTAGAGTGCAGTGGTGCAATCACGGCTCACAGAAGCCTCTACCTCCCAGGCTCAGGTGATCCTCCCACATCAGCCTCCCAAGTAACTGGGACTACAGGTGCGAGCCACCACACCTGGCCAATTTTTGCACTTTTTTTAAGACAGGGTTACGCCATGTTGCCCAGGCTGGTCTCAAACTCCTGGGCACAAGCCATCCACCCACCTTGGCCTCCCAAGGTGCTAGGATTACAGGTGTGAGCCACCATGCCTGGCCTCGTGAGCTTAATTTAGTCTGTTGAGAATTGTATATGCTTTCCTTAACAATGAAGTAATTTGTTCTAATGAAGTGGGAAATCCCTTTGCATCTTTTTAAATACAGCTTTCTTTCACACTCTATATAGTTTGGAGAAAATGTTAGGAATTCTTGAAGGTAGTAATCACTATTACACTACTTAAGATTGGAAGTTATGGCTGGGCATGGTGGCTCACACCTATAATCACAACACTTTGGGCGGCCAAGGCGGGAGGATCACTTGAGCCCAGGAGTTCAAGACCAGCCTGGGCAACATGGCAAAACCCCATCTCTACAAAAAAATACAAAAATTAGCCCAGCGTGGTGGCACATGCAGATAGTCCCAGCTACTTGGGAGGCTGAGGTGGTAGAATCTCTTGAGCCTGGGAGGTTGAAGATGCAGTGAGCCACTGCATTCCAGCCTGGGTGACAGAGCAACACCCTGTCTCAAATAAATAAATAGGAAATGTTCTGTATTTTTTAGTAGGATACTTGTAAAGTGGGGTGTGATAGTCTCAGGATTGCAAAATAAGTGGAAAGTCAGTAGTCACCACAAATGGGAAACACAGTGGAACCAGCAATCTATTTCAAAAGAATTATTTGGGGATAATAAACTATGGATTTAGCTTCTCTTCAAGCTTTTGGCATTTTCAAGGCAGTTATCATTGAATTTGGGTAGTTTTTTCCCTGATATTCAAATTAGAAAATTGAAAAGCAGAATAATCACGAAGTAGTAAATGCCGTAACTTGGGCAACAGCCTTTTGGAGGGGACTTTTACAACTTTTAGAAGTGCAAAGGAGTGAATATTTCCCTTTGGTTTATCATTCAGTAAGTCAGCTTTTGAAATCCTTTTCTTGCCAACCTTTGTGAGTAGAGAAAACATACAAATGTGTCCATTCCAAAAGGGAGTGGTTGCTGGTTAAATATGTAAAAGTAGTAACTTTAGATAAATGTGTGGTATATACAAGGTTAAATCAGGAAAAGTTATCTTATAAATAGTGGTGGCCTCTTAGAGAACATTCCGCTTTGTTTCTGAGCTTTTGAAAA
The DNA here is from genome assembly GCF_000001405.40 of Homo sapiens. Classification (NCBI taxonomy): domain Eukaryota; kingdom Metazoa; phylum Chordata; class Mammalia; order Primates; family Hominidae; genus Homo; species Homo sapiens. The sequence continues at coordinate 57,190,957 of NC_000016.10, forward strand.
CTGAGAATACATTTGAAATAGTAAGGAATTTATGTACTCCTTAAATTTGTTAAGGAATGAACTCTGCACATAGCTTTCTTGTTGCTTGAAATTATAGTTTCCAGGCGTAATTTCATAGGTCCTATGTACCTCAAATAGAAGGTTTGAAATACCTTACTCAGCAAGTATATTACCTCATAGTTTAATGTTCAGTGTTAGTTTTTTCTTACCCCTCTACCTCCTGAAGAATTGTTTTCGCTCTTGTGTTCCCTTAATGCAGTGATTCTCAAGATGTGGTTTCTGCCCAGTCCCTCCACATGGGAAATATAGCACTGTTTGTTTGTTTTTTTAAGTTTTTATTGCTTCATAGTTGTTCATACTTAGGTATGCCTAAGGGCTACTTATTAATAACCTACCAAGTGAATTACTAAGGATTACTAAAACATGGTATTCATAACCTAAAACTAGAACAATATTGGAGTTTACTGTGGTCTCTTAATACTTTTTTCGCCCAGGAAGTCTGTCCTGGGAAACCTGGCACCAATACAAGCTTCTCACATGTCATATGCAGAATGGGGATTCCTGCAGTATTCAGGAAGTATGCTTAGTTTGGGGTGCATCATCTGAATTGTCTCAAAATAATGTCAGTTTTCATCATGATTCCTCTTTTTTTATTAGAATTTTTATTTAACTTCATCTTTATCAATTTAATTTATAGGTTTTTTTGTTTACTTTTCATTGTGTGGGCAGGAATATTTATACCAACAATATTTTGGCTTATAATGTAAGACATAAATGTGTTACAATGCAAAGATAGATTCTCTAGTCCCCTTTTGCTATTGCTGATTTGTATAGTCACCTAAAAACTTGCTCACACAGAGGTACTTCAGTGTTACCAAAGTTCCTTTTACACTGGAAAACTGATGGAACAAGAGGCCTCCTTCTAGTAGATGCTTTATCTGTAGTCTTTGGGTAGGGAGCTAAGTTTGTCCCTAACCCCAGCTCCCTTTGTCAGGAGCATGAGGGACCTTTTTCCGTCTTTCCTCACTGCCTGCCATATAAGCATTGGATATATAGTTATTGAATGGTGTTGTCTCAGTTTTTCAAAATGGTAAATATTTTGGAGAGACTTTATGTTACAGATTTTAGAATAAATTCACCTAAGATATTTATTGAATACATATTAGGGTCTAATAAGTATCCAAATGAGTATGCAGTATGAGTGTTTTAGACATCATTTAAAGTAGACATCATTAAGGAAAATGTTGATATTCATGCTGCTTATATATTTTATTTGCTTTTCTTAAGAGCAGAGAGTTTTCTGTAATAGAAAAATCCTTTTCCTTCAGATTTGTGTATATTTGAATAACACATGATCTCCTATTATTTGGCCTCCTGGGGGGAAAACCACAAGTACTACGGAATATTACATTTGTTTTTCTTCCCTGTACTGCAACCGTCATAAGCATTTACCTCAATTCTTCCTTAGTATTTTTTGGGAGTCCAAGGCAAATTTTTCAATCCTTAAGATTTCAGGCAGGGATTATTTACTTCCCCTTTTTTACTATTATTTGCTTCCGGAAATTCCTTACTCTATCCTAGGCCTAAATTTTATTTTTTAGTAAATTATTTGAATGCTGAAAGGATTTGTCTTTTCTCCTTTGTACCATTTTAGGTCAGGACTATATTCTGTAATTCTTTCTGACCACAGATGCACTGCTACTAGGTTAAAAAAGCTCTCAACTTTTTAGAGGAAGGTTTTTCCAGAGACTCTTTTTTTTTTTTTTTTTTTTAAGGTCTCACTCTGTCTCCTAGGCTGAAGTGCAGTGGTGCGATCATGGTTTACTGCAGCCTCGACCTCCCCAGCTCAGGCGATCCTCCCACCCCTCACTCCCACTGCCCTTCCCAGTAGCTGGACTATAGGGTCCAAGCCGCCACTCTGGCTAATTTGTGTATTTTTTGTAGAAACAGGGTTTCGCCATGTTGCCCAGGCTGGTCTCAAATTCTTGGGCTCAAGCTGTCTGCCTGCCTTGGCCTCCCAGAGTGTTGGGATTACAGGTGTGAGCCACCATGCCCTGCTCAGATAGTCTTTCAACCAGAAAAAAATACCTACTTTCAAAGGTGTGCTTTCTTAAAGATCCTCAGTGCATAAGGGAAATGTCAGAATCATCCAGTGCTTTTCCCAGACTTCTTGACAGTTACAGTTCAGGAGTTAATGGTACTCTGTGTGACCTAAACCTACGGTTAGATAGCTTTGGACATCTGGGAGGCAAGTAAAAACGCCTCATCAAGACAACCTTTCTTTTTGTGGGAAAAGTAAAATTCCAACCAAATATTTCACAATCTACCCCCTTCTTACCTTCCCCAATGAAATACCAGAGGCTTTAGAGTCTAAAGACAGAAACACTCTTGTTGAAACATCTTTAGGTAGTTTCTGTTTCAGCTGGCAAGTGTAATCTTCATGCATTACCAAATCAGTATTGTTGACTTGAGATTTTCCCTATTTAAACACAATCTTCAGTAAGAAGATTGTGGTCTTTGGGGTGTTCTGCAGGCTTTTTTTTTTTTTTCTTTGGAGACAGAGTCTTGCTCTGTCACCCAGGCTTGAGGGTAGTGGGATGATCTCGGCTCACTGCAACCTCCACCTTCTGGATTCAAGTGATCTTCCCACCTCAGCCTCCCAAGTAGCTGGAATTACAGGCACACGCCACTGTGCCTGGCTAATTTTTGTATTTTTTTAAGCAAATATGTTTCTAGATAATGTTCTCTATCTTGATAGGGTTTGAGTCACAGGTATATGCATTTGATAAAACTCAGCACGTTACTGTGCTTAAGATTTGCACATTTCAGCCGGGTGCGGTGGCTCACGCCTGTAATCCCAGCACTTTGGGAGGCCGAGGTGGACAGATCATTTGAGGTCAGGAGTTTGAGACCAGCCTAGCCCACATGGTGAAACCCCATCTCTACTGAAAACACAAACATTAGCTGGGTGTGGTGGCATGTGCCAATAATCCCAGCTACTCAGGAGGCTGAGGCAGGAGAATTACTTGAACCCGGGAGACAGAGTTTGTGGTAAACTGGGATCACACCAGTGCACTCCATCCTGGGCAACAGAATGAGATTCCGTTTAAAAAAAAAAAAGATTTGCACATTTCAGTGTATGTAAATTCGACTCCTAAAAACTTGAAGTTTATTGAAGTCTAATTAGTGATATGCATGCTGAATTATTTAAGAGAAAGTATACTGATGCCTATAGTTTACTTTGAAATATGTAAAAAAAACTGAATGGATTAATGATGGATAAGAGATGGATAGCGATAAAGCAAGTTTAGTAAAATGTTAGTAGTAGAGTCTAGGTGGTGGGGATAAAGCAAGTTTAGTAAAATGTTAGTAGTAGAATCTAGGTGGTGGGTATATAGTTCACAGTTTACAGTGAACTCTAATTCAATTTTCTGTATGTTTGGAAAATTTCATAATAAAATATTGGGAGTGGGGAGTAAATGTGATGATAGAAGCTATCTCTTTAACACACTTAGGGAAAAATCCGAAAACATTTTCTAATGAGAGAACATCATTAAAATTTTCAGGATGTTACACATTTTGCTATTCATGCTATTTGACTTAGCCTTTGTGGGGGAGGGTTGGAAAAAAAGTCACATCCTCTAACACTATTTTGGAATGATAAGGTGAAGATTATAACAATAGTAATTTAGTGCCCAAAGTCTGGTTTTTCTTCTTTATGGTCACTCTTGTAATCAGCTTTTCCTTCCTAGGCAGTGTAATTCTGCAGTCCTATTTTCAAAGAAAAGAAAGTGTTCTTTCTCACTGATCTGTACTATGGCTGAATGCAAGCAAATATTTGAAGAGATGAATCATTGATTCCTGGACCATTTGTCAGAGAGGGTTAGACTAGTTGGCCAGATGTCTCCATGGTGAGCTGTTTATGATGGTAGAGGTCTGTGTTTTATAAAGACAGTGAGTACCAGAACCTTACTGCTTTAACACCAAGCTTACCAAGACCCTAAGTTTGATTATTTTTTTTTGTCTCAGAGCAGCTTTAAAAAAATATAAAGCGTTAGGTGCTTCATTTACCCCCAAGAAAAATGAAAAAACATGTAAAATGTAAAAATCTAATAAATAATATAGAAATGGAGAGAATAGTCTTTAGTTTCTTTTTTAAAAAGGCAAGAATCAAAATTAATAATACCACACTTCAGAGAAATAGATTTGCAAAGGAAATATTCGATCATAATTATGCTCTTGCAGCAAAATTGTTATCGAGAGTATAATATTAGGCTGGGCATGGTGGCTCACACCTGTAATCCCAGCACTTTGGGAGGCCGAGGTGGGCAGATCACCTGAGATCAGGAGTTCAAGACCAGCCTGGTGAACATGGTGAAACCCCATCTCTACTAAATGTACAAAAATGAGCCAGGCGTGGTGGCAGGCACCTGTAATCCCAGCTATTCGGGTGGCCGAGGCAGGAGAATCGCCTGAACCGGGGAGATGGAGGTTGCAGTGAGCCAAGATCACACCATTACACTCCAGTCTGGGCAATGAGAGTGGAACTCCGTCTGAAAAAATAAAAATAAAAAAGTATAATCATATTAAAAGTATTGCCACTTAGGTGGTAAGAAGAGTCCTTCTACTAAGCACTGGCATCCAGTGATAAAAATTATTAAATCAGTTGATGTTTGTCACAGATGTGTATTTAAATTGTGTGACTAGCTTTTTTTTTTTTTGTCTCAAAGTTGACTTCACCAGCTAATGTTGTCTTTGAAGTTAAGGTAAAGAATATAGGTATTGGCCAGGCACGGTGGCTCACACCTGTAATCCCAGCACTTTGGGAGGCTGAAGTGGGTGGATCATGAGGTCAGGAGTTCAAGACCAGCCTGGCCAACATATTGAAACCCCGTCTTTACTAAAAATACAAAAAATTAGCTGAGCGTGGTGGCACGCACCTGTAGTCCTGGCTACTCGGGAGGCTGAGGTAGGCGAATCACTTGAACCCAGGAGATAGAGGTTGCAGTGAGCCGAGATCTCACCACTGGACTCCAGCCTGGCGACAGAGTGAGACTTCATCTCAAAAAAAAAAAAAAATATATATATATATATATAGGTATTACAGATGTGTTGCCTTTATATAATCTCATCTTACTCATTTTCTATTCCGTTCAGTCTCTTAACCCTTGATGATATCCTTAAGCAGCGTATCATTTAGGTTCATTTTGATGCTTCGTAAGATGGACCTCATGGGAAATATATGGAGCCATTTTTTCCTTTGTGTTGATATGTACTGTACATGTCACTTATGGATATAACCATTCTAATGGCTTTTTAGGCTGACCTCTCCAAAAGACTGCATTCAAAGATAGTCTCAGTTCATTTTACTGGACAAGGAAATTAACATTTTTGACCCAAGAAGAAATGCCCTTTAGTATTTCAGTTTGCCCCCTAGTTCAGTCGGTGTGTCCTTCCTGCTGTGCCAGGTTCTGTGGTAGGTTCTATACACAGTGATTTCCAAATGTGGCTGCCATCAGAGTCACTTGGGGAGCTTTTAAGAAAACACAAGCTTGGGCCGGCATCCCAGAAATTCTGATTCTGGCTATTCGTAGTGGGACCAGGGATTTGCATTTTAATAAGTACTCTAAGTGATTCTAATGCCGTCTATGGGATGATCAAGCTACAATCCCTCCCAAGATTCTCTGTCTGAAAATATAGGTAAGTATAGGTTATAGAAAAGTAAAAATTACTTCAGTACGGGGTAGTTCTGTAAAAGATAAATTCTTTACTTTTCTTAGTGCTTTTAACTCAAGTTTTACTCCAGAATCCCTCTCCCCCAGGTAATTTAGTTATTTCTGATTAGATATGTGCTCATTTTGTAACATCTTGCATTTTTTTGATCCAGTTTAAATGTTAGGCACTGTGCCATGCGTATTACATGCATTATTTCATTTAATCCCCACAGTGGTACTGTGAGATAAGAACTGTTACTATGTCTGTTTTTTAACATGTGTCAAGAGTCAGGTTAATTAGGACGTGTATCAGTAAATATTGCAGGGCTGGGACTTTCACCTAGTCTGACAACAGAGTGTGTACTGTGCTATGGTGGCTTCTGGTATTGTGTGTAAAATCTGTAAGCTCAGTTTTATTGTCTTAAAGCAGTGGTCCTTGGAAAGTGGGCCACGTAAAGCTTTTTTTGAATGGATGAAACAAAAAATTGTCTAAAGTGTAATTGATTAGCTTTCACCCAGTCTTTTGCCTGCAGTCCATCACTTCTCTGTAAAAAAAAAATACCATGAATGACAGCCATTTCCAGTTTAAAACCTATAGGTTTTCAGTGCCAGATAAATCTGAAAGATCATCTACTTTGTTCATTTATGTGCCCTGTCTGTGGCTGTAGCCCTCAAGAGTACTCTGTGTAGTCATCTCAGAAAGTATTTAGAGGTAACAGCTCTTGATTTTTCCTTGTACGTTTCATAGGCTTGCCTTTATAAAATGCCTTCCAGCTTCTTCCACCTGATTAACCTCTTCTTTACACTTGGTTTTCACAGATGGTCCTTTTTATTTAAAAAAAAAAAGTCTGGCTTTAAAGTATTTACAGTTTTTTTAAAAGCCTCATTTTCTTCTCTGACAAATTTTATAGTTGACATTTTCTGGGTCATTTAAGGAAAATTGCTCTTTTGGAAGAAACTGACTCAAAACACACTTTAGTTCAATTTGGAAAAAAACTTAATTTTTGTCTTCTTACCTTCGTATTTAGTCAGTTTTTGTTTTTTGTTTTTGTTTTTGTTTTTGTTTTCCCAAAGACAGGGTCTAGCTCTGTCACATAGGCTGGAATGCAATGACACCATTAGGGCTCACTGCAGCCTCGACCTCCCAGGCTCAAGTGATCTTCCCACCTCAACCTCCTGAGTATCTGGGACCACAGGTGTGCACTACCATGCCCAGCTAATTTCTTAATTTTTTCTGTAGAAATGGGGTCTTGCTACATTACCCAAGCTGGTCTCAGCCTCCTGGGCTCAAGCAATCCTCCCAACTCAGCCTCCCAAAGTGCTGGGATTACAGGCATGAGCCACCATGCCCATCCTATCAGATTTAGTCAGATTTTAAAAAAAAATCTGCGTGTATTGGATATCATCCAATCACCTTAAAATTGTACTAAATGGGCCGGGCACGGTGGCTCACACCTGTAATCCCAGCATTTTGGGAGGCCGAGGCAGGCGGATCACGAGGTCAGGAGATCGAGACTATCCTGACTAACACAGTGAAACTCTGTCTCTACTAAAAATACAAAAATTAGCTGGGCGTGGTGGTGGGTGCCTGTAGTCCCAGCTACTCGGGAGGCTGAGGCAGGAGAATGGCATGAACCTGGGAGGCGGAGCTTGCAGTGAGCTGAGATCACGCCACTGCACTCCAGCCTGGGCGACAGAGCAAGACTCCGTCTCAAAAAAAAAAAATTGTACTAAATGGAAATCTGCATAGATTATTCTGTATTCAGTGTATAAAAACCTTAGGAAAAAATGATAAAGTTTAAGAATTTAAGATCCAACAAACCTCTTTTTAACTTCTTTCCTCACAGGCACCCCCAAGATGTTTTCTTCTTAATTATTCCTAAATACTTTTATGTGTTGGCATTAAATTGTAACTTTATAGGCTCCCCTATTCTTTTTGCTTTTTTTTCCCCCTGAAATTACTGAGCAACAAGATTCCTGTTCTCTCCCCTTCAAGGCTTTGTTTTCTGGAACTTGACATTCTCAAATCATTGCCAGTTATTTTTAGTACGTGATTAGTCTCCCTTCCTCAGGTATGTTTTCCCCAATTTGGATTGAATCTACTGTTTGCATCTTGTTTCCCATCCCACCTTCATACAGATTGTATGGAAAGGCTGTGGGGTATTAGAGCAGCCAGTGGAGTTCCCCTCTGCTGTGGCAATGTTGACACCACAGATCATAGTCCTAGGACCCTTACCACTGTGAGGAAGGAGTTTGGAGTTAGCACTTCCCCAGGGGATGACACATTTCCCCAGAAGAGGTCCCATGTCTCTAATCCTGGACTACTCCCTTCTACCATCCCCAAAGTGTTAGTTGGGTTAGCCACAAGTTTTTATAGCATAGTGGTCAAGAAATTATGATAATACAGAGTATGAATTTCTGTACAGCCTTTAAATGCATGAGGTAGTTACATATATACTGATATAGAAGGTTGTGGTATTAAAAAGAGCAAATCATAGAGCAATATTTATGGCTTCATTCTAGTTAGATTTAAAGAAAAAGCGGCTGGGCGCGGCGGTTGATGCCTGTAATCCCAGCACTTTGGTAGGCCGAGGCGGGCGGATCACGAAGTCAAGAGTTTGAGACCAGCCTGACCAACATGGTGAAGATCTGTCTCTACTAAAAATACAAAATTAGCCAGGCATGGTGGCGTGCGCCTGTAATCCCAGCTACTCAGGAGGCTGAGGCAGGAGAATCACTTGAACGTGGGAGGCAGAGGTTGCAGTGAGCCAAGATCGTACCATTGCACTCCAGCCTGGGTGACAGAGTGAGACTCCATCTCAAAAAAAAGAAAAAGCTAGTTTGAAAGTATATAATAATAGATATGGAGGCAAACATATGAAGCTTTTAAGAGGTTAGTTATCTCTGGGAAAGGCATGGGCTAGGTAGAGCAGAAGAGGAACTTTCACATTCCATAGGCCTGTGCAGCATTTAGGTTTTAGAAATGAATGTGTATATTTTAAGGTTTCTAGATAAAGATTTTTTTTTAATAAAATACAATTTCAAGTAAATATTCCAGTGGCACAATCATCTGACCTACTGGCCCAGAGCCAGACCTGTCCAAAAACCTTGAATTGTTTACCTCTTTTCACCTGAAATATTCTAACAGCGCCTTATCAGTGAAATTTCTTTTTTTTTTTTTTCCCACTCCAAACCTCAGTTTACTCATTTTGTTTTTTTTGTTTGTTTTTTTTTTTCTTTTTCTTTTTTTTTTTTTTTATTGATCATTCTTGGGTGTTTCTCGCAGAGGGGGATTTGGCAGGGTCACAGGACAATAGTGGAGGGAAGGTCAGCAGATAAGTGAACAAAGGTCTCTGGTTTTCCTAGGCAGAGGACCCTGCGGCCTTCCACAGTGTTTGTGTCCCTGGGTACTTGAGATTAGGGAGTGGTGATGACTCTTAACGAGCATGCTGCCTTCAAGCATCTGTTTAACAAAGCACATCTTGCACCACCCTTAATCCATTCAACCCTGAGTGGACACAGCACATGTTTCAGAGAGCACAGGGTTGGGGGTAAGGTCACAGATCAACAGGATCCCAAGGCAGAAGAATTTTTCTTAGTACAGAACAAAATGAAAAGTCTCCCATGTCTACCTCTTTCTACACAGACATGGCAACCATCCGATTTCTCAATCTTTTCCCCACCTTTCCCCCCTTTCTATTCCACAAAACCGCCATTGTCATCATAGCCCATTCTCAATGAGCTGTTGAGTACATCTCCCAGACGGGGTGGTGGCCGGGCAGAGGGGCTCCTCACTTCCCAGTAGGGGCGGCAGGGCAGAGGCGCCCCTCACCTCCCAGACGGGGTGGCTGGCCGGGCGGGGGGCTGACCTCCCTGCCTCCCTCCCGGATGGGGCGGCTGGCCGGGCAGAGGGGCTCCTCTCTTCCCAGTAGGGGCGGCCGGGCAGAGGCGCCCCTCACCTCCCGGACGGGGCGGCTGGCCGGGCGGGGGGCTGACCCCCCCACCTCCCTCCCGGACGGGGCGGCTGGCCGGGCAGAGGGGCTCCTCTCTTCCCAGTAGGGGCGGCCGGGCAGAGGCGCCCCTCACCTCCCGGATGGGGCGGCTGGCCGGGCTGGGGGCTGGCCCCCCCCACATCCTTCCCGGACGGGGCGGCTGGCTGGGCAGAGGCGCCCCTCACCTCCCGGACGGGGCGGCTGGCCGGGCAGAGGGGCTCCTTACTTCCCAGTAGGGGCGGCCAGGCAGAGGCGCCCCTCACCTCCCAGACGGGGCGGCTGGCCGGGGGGGGGGGGGGCTGACCCCCCCACCTCCCTCCCGGACGGGCGGCTGGCCGGGCGGGGGGCTGACCCCCCCACCTCCCTCCCGGATGGGCGGCTGGCCGGGCGGGGGGCTGACCCCCACCTCCCTCCCAGACGGGGTGGCTGCCGGGCGGAGACGCTCCTCACTTCCCAGGCGGAGTGGCTGCCGGGCGGAGGGGCTCCTCACTTCTCAGACGGTGTGGCTGCCAGGTGGAGGGGCTCCTCACTTCTCAGACGGTGTGGCTGCCGGGCGGAGGGGCTCCTCACTTCTCAGACGGTGTGGCTGCCAGGTGGAGGGGCTCCTCACTTCTCAGACGGGGCGGTTGCCAGGCAGAGGGTCTCCTCACTTCTCAGACGGGGCGGCCGGGCAGAGACGCTCCTCACATCCCAGACGGGGCGGCAGGGCAGAGGCACTCCCCACATCTCAGACGATGGGCGGCCTGGCAGAGACGCTCCTCACTTCCTAGATGGGATGGCGGCCGGGCAGAGACGCTCCTCACTTTCCAGACTGGGCAGCCAGGCAGAGAGGCTCCTCACATCCCAGACGATGGGCGGCCAGGCAGAGACACTCCTCACTTCCCAGACGGGGTGGCGGCCGGGCAGAGGCTGCAATCTCGGCACTTTGGGGGGCCAAGGCAGGCAGCTGGGGAGGTGGAGGTTGTATCGAGCCGAGATCACGCCACTGCACTCCAGCCTGGGCACCATTGAGCACTGAGTGAACGCGACTCCGTCTGCCATCCCGGCACCTCGGGAGGCCAAGGCTGGCGGATCACTCGCGGTTAGGAGCTGGAGACCAGCCCGGCCAACACAGCGAAACCCCGTCTCCACCAAAAAAATACGAAAACCAGTCAGGCGTGGCGGTGCGCGCCTGCAATCGCAGGCACTCGGCAGGCTGAGGCAGGAGAATCAGGCAGGGAGTTTGCAGTGAGCCGAGATGGCAGCAGTACAGTCCAGCTTTGGCTTGGCATCAGGGGGAGACCGTGGAAAGAGAGAGAGAGGGAGAGGGAGAGGAGGGAGAGGGAGAGGAGCAGTTTACTCATTTTGAAATAGGAATATTAAAGCTTATCTCAGAGGGGCCGAGCAGGATAGCTCACACCCGTAATCCCAATACTTGGGAGGCCAAGATGAGAGGATTATTTGAGGCTAGGAGTTCAAAACCAGTCTGGGGAACATAGCAAGACCCCATCTCTAAAAAAATAAAAAATAAAAAATCTTGTCTCAGAGGGAAACTATGAACACCAAATAAAGTAAGTGCAATTGTTACGGGGGGTGGGTGGCGGGGGTCCTTGTTCTTAGAACTCCCAAGATGGTGGCAGGCCACTTCCAAGATGGCGGCAAGCCTCTTGTTCTCTATCAGTGAAATTTCTGTGAGAGGACCCAGAGCATAGCTTCTTAAATGTTGCTTTTTCATCTTTCTCAGAAACCAGCATAATTTATAAGATCTGTAGAAATTCATTTCAGGGACCCTTTAAAGAATTATTCCTATTTCTGATTTCTGTTTCCTCTATTCTCTTAAGCATTGAAATCTCTTAGTTATCTACCCTCTAAAGCGAATCATACTCTGATCCCCACAGTAATGGCAATGTTGTTACTTCGACTCTGCTGGTTTAGAATGTGTTCTTTTAAAAAGCTATTTCCAGCTGGTCCTTGCATCATACTCCTACCTATATACTTCAGTCACATCCTTTTCAGTACAACCTCCAAATTTTGAAGACAGCCCGAGTGGTTTGGGGGAACCAAGAACATCTGTGGTATCACTTGGCCCAGCCATTGCTGTCTTAATAGTGAAAACGTCTGTTGCCTCTCATTTCCTTTATCCTTTTCTTTCTCCTGTCTTGTTCCATCCCATTCCATTCTTTTCTCTCCCTTCCCTTTGCCTCCTCCCTCTTTATATATATTTTATTACATATGATTATATATATATATATATATATATATATATCTGAAGACTTTCTGTCTCCATTTTTCTCTTTTTCTTCTATGTTTTCCCTGTAGCAGTAATCAAACTGGGAAAATAAAAAGAATTTTGCCATGAATCTGTCTAAAATAATGGAAATAGGCTGGGCACAGTGGCTCACACCTGTAATCCCAGCACTTTGGGAGGCCGAGGTGGGCAGATAGCCTGAGGTCAGGAGTTTGTGGCCAACATGGTGAAACCCCGTCTCTACTAAAAATATAAAAACTGGCTGGGTGTGGTGGCAGCACCTGTAGTCCCAGTTACTCGAGAGGCTGAGGTAGGAGAATTGCTTGAACCCAGGAGGTGGAGGTTGCAGTGAGCTAAGATCATACCACTGCACTCCAGCCTGGGTGATAGAGCGAGACTCCTCAAAAATAAGTAAATAAATAAACAAATAAAATAATGGGAGTAATATTTCTCTTCTAATTCCACTGAATTATAAATTTTGTTTATATTATTCCTGGTCAGTGCTCAAGGTATGAGGAATTAATTGTAACTAGCCAGATGTTGTGTAGAGACTACACACTAGCATAGTCTATTCCTTATGTGGCCTGTTCTCCAGCTGTCAGCCTGTTTTGTTTGTTTGTTTGTTTTTTTACTTTTTGCTACCAGCCCATGTAAGTCTCCTATTTCTAAATCTTTACTTCCTTCCAGAATCTAACCAGATTTTACCAGCTTCTTGAAGAGCTGGTTCTTTCATTAGGTTTTTAATGATAAACATACTTTGTGGGATGAGAATGGCCATCCATGAATTCCTGGAGGGCAGGAACTATTCCTTACTCATCTTTATTCTCCTAGTCCAGCGTGGTACCTGGCACAAGGTCCTTAGTCAGTATTTTCAGGCAAAGATAAATTGGTGCATCTTATTCTGAACTTTGTAATAGACATGTGCAACAAACTGATCATTGTGAAAATACAACTTTTGTGATATCAGTTTTCCTTTCCCAAAACAAAGCCTTGCTTACATAACAGAAACACTTTGCAACAACTTGTATGAATTCTGTCAGTTCTTGAGTGAGCTTCCAATGGGAAACTCTATCCTTTTATTCTCCTTGATATCAAATGGTGCTATCATATTTGTATCATAACTTTTTTTTAACAACAAACGTCTGTAATTATTTTATTTAAAACTTGTTAAATTATCCTATGGGTTTAAAGAAAGGAGTTAATTCATTTTTTTAAAGATTTTTCTCTTTTTAACACCTACCTCTTACACAGAAAGACAACTCTTTTTTTATGATAAAAGGAGCCCTTGAAAAAAAATGCACACATCCTTCTAATGTATTTCTATATAGACAGGAAAAACTATACATGTGGTTTTAAAAAAATCAATGATAACTCCTCTGGTCTATAAGAATATGGTTTGGCAATCAACTTTGTAACAGAATGATAAAAAGAAATTATTGATTGATTGCGAATTCTGTTATCCAAAGCTATCTCTTTGTATTGGAAACCTATAAAAATAACCAAAGATAATTCTTCATTAGAATCCTAATATCTATAAAATCAGACTAGGAAAATTTGAGTAATTAAGTGGTCAAGAATCTTTTATTCATTTTCCTTTTTCTCATTTTCTTTTAGAACTGCCATTGGATGTCCAGAATCCCCTGTAGTTGATAATGTTGGGAATAAGCTCTGCAACTTTCTTTGGCATTCAGTTGTTAAAAACAAATAGGATGCAAATTCCTCAACTCCAGGTTATGAAAACAGTACTTGGAAAACTGAAAACTACCTAAATGATCGTCTTTGGTTGGGCCGTGTTCTTAGCGAGCAGAAGCCTTGGCCAGGGTCTGTTGTTGACTCTCGAAGAGCACATAGCCCACTTCCTAGGGACTGGAGGTGCCGCTACTACCATGGGTAATTCCTGTATCTGCCGAGATGACAGTGGAACAGATGACAGTGTTGACACCCAACAGCAACAGGCCGAGAACAGTGCAGTACCCACTGCTGACACAAGGAGCCAACCACGGGACCCTGTTCGGCCACCAAGGAGGGGCCGAGGACCTCATGAGCCAAGGAGAAAGAAACAAAATGTGGATGGGCTAGTGTTGGACACACTGGCAGTAATACGGACTCTTGTAGATAAGTAAGTATCTGACTCACGGTCACCTCCAGTGGAATGAAAAGTGTTCTGCCCGGAACCATGACTTTAGGACTCCTTCAGTTCCTTTAGGACATACTCGCCAAGCCTTGTGCTCACAGGGCAAAGGAGAATATTTTAATGCTCCGCTGATGGCAGAGTAAATGATAAGATTTGATGTTTTTGCTTGCTGTCATCTACTTTGTCTGGAAATGTCTAAATGTTTCTGTAGCAGAAAACACGATAAAGCTATGATCTTTATTAGAGAATAGAGTAAATATGGAGTGAGTTTATGTTGCTAGCTACAATAGGAAATGGTTTCATGAAGGCTCACTGTTAATGGTACATGCCTGTCTATTCCACTGACCTCAGATTCAAGGTAAGTTGTTTTACCAAGAACATGGCTACAGGCAACTTCTCTTGGCAACATAAGGACTAAGGTCAAGGAGAGTTTTCATTATCCTTTATTTGATCCTTTATCCCTTATTTGACTATCTTTAATCCATTTAGGAAGCTTGTCAGTTGATACTGCAAGGCACACCTGTACCTGTTTTGTCTTTTCCTCTGCTTTGTCTACCTCTAAATACAAAATCATAGATTGAATAACAGTGAAATTAAAGGGCATCCAAGTAGAAAAAAACATTTAACTTAAGGTTGTATATTTCAGTAGTTAAGAGCACAAAGCTTAGAACCATGATGGGCCTAGCTCAAGTTCTGGCCCAGTGCCTTACTAACTGCATGACATTGGGTAAGTTACTTCTTGAAGCCTCAGATTCCTCATCTGTAAATGGGGGGATAATATTGTTCCCACAAGGATTATCATGAGATAATGTACATAAGGCATTCAGTGTGGAGCTTTGTACTTAACAGTTGCTCAGTAGATGGTAGTATTTTTTAAAAAGTTACTTATGTGTTCTTTTTGCTTCAGGCCCTGCTAGTAAATTTAAGTATATAAACATTTGATAATCGCATTTATAGAAACCCAGTTTCGTTTAGTTCCTCAAAAATTAAGCATAAAACAGAGTGTACCTGTGAATACAAACGAATTTTTAGAGCTGTATTAAACTTTTCCATAAAATACTGGAGCATTTGTTAGTCTTCGAGAAGAATAATTTTTTGGCCAGACACAATGGCTCATACCTGTAATTCCAACACTTTTGAGAGGCTGAGGTAGAAAGATAGCTGGAGGCCAGGAGTTCAAGACCAGCCTAGGCAACATAGGGAGATCCCATCTCTGCAAAAAAAATTTAAAAATTATCCAGGTACAGTGGCACTTGCCTGTGATCCCAGCTACTCAGGATTCTAAGACCGGAGTACTGCTAGAGTCCAGGAGTTTCCAGCTGCAGTGAGCTATGATCACACCACTGCACTCCAGCCTGGGCAATAGAGCAAGACCCTGTCTCAAAAATTAATTAATCAAAAAAAATTTTTTAAATCCCTTGTACCAAATTGTAATAAAAGTTATCCTTCCCAAATAAGGAAGTAAACCACAAACAATGTTAATTTAAGCTCATTGGAAAAATGGGTGCAGAATAGACTTTGAGAGAGAGAGTTTTTTTGTTTTGTTTTGTTTTTAAAGAGACAGGGTCTCACTTTGTCACCCAGGCTGGCGTACAGTGGCGTGATCATGACTCACTGCAGCCTCAGCCTCCTGGACTCAAACCATCCTCCCACCTCAGCCTCCTAAGTAGCTTGGACTACAGGCGTGTGCTACTGCACCTGGCTAATTTTTAAAAAAGTTTTTGTAGAGCCAGGTCTTGCCATGTTGCCCAGGCTGGTCTCAAATACCTGGACTCAAGCGATTGTCGAGCTTCAGCCTCCTTAAGTGCTGGGATTGCAGATGTGAGCCCCCACGCTTGGCCCCTTGCAATATTTTAAAAGAGAGTGACATAGTTATACAAACCTCTTTGTTTTTAACTTTTCTCAACATCGAAATCTGTGTTACTGTATATAAATCTACAACTGCTTCTGACTATTACAGAGTATTCCCTTGTATGCCTGAAAGTATTATATTTTGTTACATTTTCATCTGGTGATGGTCACTTAGGTTACTGCCAAATTTTTGTTCTTACAAACAGCACTGCAGTGAACAGCGCAAATATGCATTGATTTTTGGACCTGTGTAAAAATTTATCTACAACTGTTGGGTATATGCATACTTAATTTTATTATTGCCAGATCATTCTTCAGAAATACTTGCATCAGTCAATTATATTGTTTAAACAGGCAGCACCTAATGAGTACCTGAAATGACCATACTAATTCCCATATCACAAGGTTATTCTCTGGATTAAATGACTTAAGATGATAGTTTTTGGGGCTTTTTTTTTTTCCACACTAAAACAGAGACCCACAATATGTAAACAAATAAGTGGTGAGTTCTTAAGCAGTTAGAATTGTTTAATGGAAAACATCTCATTATTGAAGTTCCCCTGAAGGACTTTTTAAAGATTTCTGGGATCACACCACTGAATTAAGGTGTATAATGCCACTTTGGAGCAATGTCTAGAATGTTAAGTAGTTCCTTAAGTTTGGTTTTGTTTCTTGTAATACCATTTTATGAAGTCTAAGCATGTAGTGGTATTTCCAGAAGAAAACTTCAAAATGAAGATGCGTATATAGGCCCTTGCTTCCATAAGTCCTCAACCGGGATTGTCGTCTCTCTTCCTGGCATTTCTCTGAGGTAAGTATGAAGGTGATGTTGACCTTCCTGGCTTGTCTCAGTTGGCACTGGGCCTCTGAGTGTAAAGCTGAGAGTAGGCTGTGATCTCCAGTTTTACTCCTGTGCTTTTACCCCAGGACACATAGTAGTCTTTGTCTGTATCCACCTGCCCATTTTGTCTGTGGGTCATTGTGGACAGTGACTGGAAATGAGCACATATGGTATACATTCATCCTTACAGGTCATAGCTCAGGTTGTCTCTTCTATCTCTTTCCTTACATTTGTGTTCATTTCTTCTGTCCCTTTTTACCTCCACACCTCCAGTTTGAATTCTTATTTGGAATTGTCATTTATTATTTCCTCAGGTTTAATGCCTTGAATTTTTTTTTCCAGTGATCAGGAACCTCCCTATTCAATGATAACATTACACGAAATGGCAGAAACAGGTATTTTTAGTTTTGTTTTCATTACTTTATAATGAATATATAATAATGAAGAAAAGTAGCCACCTTTTGTTTTTTGTTTTGTTTTGTTTTGAGATAAAAGACTCCAAAAATACAGCATACATAACAATGAAAAAAGCCCTTACTGTATGGAAATTTCCCTGAATAGGTATAATAGGCAATGCATATTATACCTTTTTTTTTTTTTTTTTTTTTTTGGCATTGATGGATCTTTCACCATACTGTTCTGGAATGGAGAGGAGATTATTTATATATATATATATATATATATATTTTTTTTTTTTTTTGAGACAGAGTCTCACTCTGTTGCCCAGGCTGGAGTGCAGTGGCACGATCACAGCTCAACTACAGCCTCAACCTACCCTGGCCCAGGTGATCACCCCACCTCAGCTTCTCAAGTAGCTAGCACCACAGGCGCATGCCACAATACCCAGCAATTTTTCTGTTGTTTGTAGAGACAGAATTTCACCATGTTGGCCCAGCCTGGTCTTGTACTCCTGGGCTCAAGGGATCCTCCTGCCTCAGCCTCCCAAAGTGCTGGGATTACAGGTGTGAGCCACAGCCCCTGGCCAAAGATATTTTTTGTTCCTTAGTTTCCTAAGTATCATTCTGAAAACAAAGCCAACTGCTGAGTATACTTCATTTTCTCAGTTAACTCCTATGTAGTAAATAAGATGCTTAAAACTATTTTAATGTGAGAGCACAAGACCATAGCTTAACCTTTTTCCAAATAAAGGTACCCACAAATCACCAGACTCCTGTAACTTAAGATGTTTTTACTCCACCACGATGACTAGCAATTGATGATTATGTCCATGCCAAATATTAGCTGCTAAAAATCTATAGACCAAAAGTCTTTCTTTTAATGTGAATTGATCTCGTGTGACATATTTTCACATTTTAAAAATAGTGACTCCATCATATAATCTTCTTGATTTGCTCTTAGATGAAGGATGGTTGGATGTTGTCCAGTCTTTAATTAGAGTTATTCCACTGGAAGATCCACTGGGACCAGCTGTTATAACATTGTTACTAGATGAATGTCCATTGCCCACTAAAGTAAGTTAATACTTATCTTTTATGAAACTATCATTTGTGCTTAAGCACAAGATAAATGACCACAAAGAACATTTGATGTATTGTGTTTCATCTTTATACATTTGGGGTCTGTTTTATTCAGTATTGATTTTGTTATGTAAATTTATTTTGTATTATGAAGAATTATGTCCTCTTTTTTTTTCTTTTCCTCTTTGAGACAAGAGTCTCACTCTGTTGCCCAGGCTGGAGTGCAATGATGTGATCTTGGCTCACTGCAACCTCCGCCTCCCGGGTCCAAGCGATTCTCCTGCCTCAGCCTCCCAAGTAGCTGGGATTACAGGCACCCGCCACCACACCTGGCTGATTTTTGGATTTTTAGTAGAAACGGGATTTCACCATGTTGGCCAGGCTGGTCTTGAACTCCTGACCTCAGGTGATCCACCTGCCTCGGCCTCCTCCCAAAGTGCTGGGACTACAGGCATGAGCCACTGCACCCAGCCCTCTGTCTTTTTATTTATTTATTTTGAAACAGGGTCTCACTTTGTCACCCAGGCTGGCGTGCAGTAGAGCAATCACAGCTCACTGCAGCTGCAACCTCCCTAGGCTCAGGTGATCCTCCCACCTCAGCCTCCCATGTAGCTGGGACCATAGGTGCATGACCCCATGTCTGGCTAATTTTGTATTTTTTTTTAGAGATGGGGTTTCATCATGTTGCCCAGGCTGGTCTTGAAACTCCTGGGCTCAAGCAGTCAGCCCACCTCAGCCTCCCGAAGTGCTGGCATTGTAGGCGTTAGCCACTGTGCCCCGCCACATTCTCTATCAAGGCTTTATTTAATTGCTTTTTTTTCTTCTTTCTTTCTTTCCCTCCCTCCCTCCCTCCCTTCCTCCCTTCCTCCCTTCCTTCCTTCTTTCCTTCCCTTTCCTTCTTGCCTCCCTTCCTTCCCCGGCCCCGCCTAGGCTAGAGTGCAGTGGCACAGTCATGGCTCACTGTATCCTCAACCTCTCAGGTTCAAGTGATCCTCTTGCCTCAGCTTCCCATGTTGCTGGACTACAGGCATGCACCACCACACCTAGCTAAATTTTTTTTATTTTTTGTAGATAAAGGGTCTCACTATGTTGCCCAGGCTGATTTTGAACTCCTGGGCTCAAGGGATCCTCCCACCTTGGCTTCTCAAAGTGTTGGGATTATACGTGTAAGCCACTGTGCCCAGCCTAGGTTAAAATTTTTTAAATGTTAAAAATAGAAGCATTTAAGGCTGGGCGCGGTGGTTCACGCCTGTAATCCTAGCACTTTGGGAGGCTGAGGTGGGTGGATCACCTGAGGTCAGGAGTTCGAGACCAGCCTGAACAGCATGGTGAAACCCCGTCTCTACTAAAATACCCCGTCTCTACTAAAAATCAGCCGGGAGTGGTGGCAGGCACCTGTAATCCCAGTACTCAGGAGGCTGAGGCACGAGAATTGTTTGAACCTGGGAGGCAATGGTTGCAGTGAGCTGAGATTGTGCTACTGCACTCCAGCCTGGGCGACAAAGCGAAACTCTGTCTCAAAAAAAAAAAAAGAAGCATTTAGGTTGGGCGCAGTGGCTCACACTTGTAATCTCAACACTTTGGGAGGCCAAAGCAGGCAGATTGTTTGAGTCCAGGAGTTCAAGACCAGCCTGGCAACATG
Source organism: Homo sapiens (assembly GCF_000001405.40). Classification (NCBI taxonomy): domain Eukaryota; kingdom Metazoa; phylum Chordata; class Mammalia; order Primates; family Hominidae; genus Homo; species Homo sapiens. Next base: position 57,210,836 of record NC_000016.10, read on the forward strand.
GTGAAACCCTGTTTCTACAAAAAAATCCAAAAGTTAACAGGGTAACGTGGTGCATGCCTATAGTCCCAGCTGCTCAGGAGGCTGAGGTGGGAGGATCACTTGCAATCTGGAGGTCGAGATTGCAGTGAGACAAGATGGCGTTATTGCACTCCAGCCTGGTTAAAAAAAGAAGTATTTGTATCTCAGGTGGCGATCTTTATTCAGAAGCTAGAAGAGAATGTTGAGTTGCTTCGCTGATTTTCTTATCTTTCTCTAAGCAATTTCCTCATAACAAAAGTTTTAAGAATGTTTTTTATTAAGAGGAAAAACTGGGCTGAATGTACTGGCTCATGCCTGTGATCCCTGCACTTTGGGAGACCAAGGCAGGAGGATCAGTTAAGCTCAGGAGTTTGATACCAGCCTGAACAACATAGTGAGACCTTGTCTCTGTTAAAAAAAAAAAAAAAAAAGAAAGCCAGGCACGGTGGCTCATGCCTGTAATCCCAACACTTTGGGAGGCCAAGGCAGACAGATCACTTGAGGTCAGGAGTTCAAGACCAGCCTGGCCAACATGGTGAAACCTCATCTCTACTAAAAATACAAAAATTAGCCAGCACGATGGCGTGCACCTGTAATCCCAGCTACTTAGGAGGCTGAGGCAGGAGAATCACTTGAACTCGGAAGGTGGAGGCTGCAGTGAGCTGAGATTGCACCACTGCACTTCAGCCTGGGCGACAGAGTGAGACTCCATCTCAACAACAACAACAAAAAAAAGTTAAAACTGAAAGCACTTTTGAATCTTACTCAAATGTATTAATGATTAGTGTAACATTGGTTATCCTTTACATAGAACAAAAGCATCGAACTTTCATTGCTTTCCCATGTGTTTTACAGAGTCCTTTTTTTTTTTCTTTTTTTCTTCTTTTGGATTCTGGCATCTTTCATTTTTAAGATGGAGTCTTGCTATGTTGCCCAGACTGGTCTCAAACTCCTGGGCTCAAGCATCCTCCCACCTTGGCCTCCCAAAGTGCTGGGATTACAGGCATGAGCCACTGTGCCCAGCCTCAATTCTGGCATTTTCATTCATCTGTTTAAGCCCAGTGCAGAAAAACATTGTGGACGGAAGGGGAAAGTCTTTAGCGTAGTCACCAATGAATTGACCTTTGCCTAGGCTTATAAGAGCTGCCTGTTTCAATTTGCCTTCAACTCTGTTGGGGCAGGGTGCAGTGGTTCATGCCTATAATCCCAAAACTTTTGGGGGCTGAAGCAGGAGGATCACTTAAGGCCAGGAGTTCAAGACCAGCCTGGGCAACATAATGAGATTCCCATCTCTACAGAAAATTAAAATTATCTGGGCACTGTGACATGTGCCGGTAGTCCCAGCTACGAGGGAGGCTGAAGTGGGAGGATCACTTGAGCCCAGGAGGTAAAGGCTACAGTGAGCCATGATCACTTCACTGCACAGCAGCCTGGGAAACAGAGCAAGAGCAAAAAGAAAAGAAGAAAACTCTGCTGGGATTTGTTTTTGCTTAGTAAAACTTTTTTTAAAGTAACTTTTTACTTCAACATCACCAGCCTTTAATGTTTTCATAATGGCATCTGAGTGGGTTTAATCTGTTTAGTGATTCAAGAATATGTAGCATATATTTGATACAACTTAAGCATTCTGAATGAAGTGGAATCTAGTAAGTCATGTAAGGAGACTTTCAGGTTGATCAGATATTTCCCATCAATGATATCATTAGGGTACATTGCATAATTTTTATATGGTCATTCTGAGTTTATTTAACACCTGGTTATAGCTCCCCCCACCCCCCTGAGACGGAGCCTTGCTCTGTCGTCCAGGCTGGAGTGCAGTGGCACGATCTCGGCTCACTGCAACCTCTACCTCCCAGGTTCAAGTGATTCTCCTGCCTAAGCCTCCTGAGTAGCTGGGATTACAGGCGCGCACCACCACACCTGGCTAATTTTTGTATTCTTAGTAGAGATGGGGTTTCACCATGTTGGCCAGGCTGGTGTCGAACTCTTGACCTTGTGGTCCGCCCGCCTCGGCCTCCCAAAGTGCTGGTTATAGCTTTTGTCTCAAAAAAAAAATGAGCCTGGGAAAACAACCTGTGTAGTATATGGGTCAAACCCACTTGTACTTTTTTGTTTTAGGATGCACTCCAGAAATTGACTGAAATTCTCAATTTAAATGGAGAAGTAGCTTGCCAGGACTCAAGCCATCCTGCCAAACACAGGAACACATCTGCAGTCCTAGGCTGCTTGGCCGAGAAACTAGCAGGTAACTTTGGGACACTCCACAGTGGAAGATCTTAAGTTGTTTGACATTAAAGGGAAATTTGTACTGTATGTCTTTGATCAAACTGCTATACCAGAAAGAAATCTCTTAAAAATGATATTGAGAGACATAGACTAACTGGAAGAAAATTACTGAAAGGCTACAGAGGTGAATGCAATTTAATTTAGCTTTGTGGATTTTCAGGGGAAATTTTAAAAGAAAAAAGTTGTGCTTATTTGCTTTAAGAATAAGGAGCGAGGAAAAGAAAAAAGGGAGAAAAGCTAAATTCAGCATAACAAAGATATGTATGTGTGTATACAATATATAATTTGCATATATACACACTTTATAAAGTTTAGCTCGATTATGAAGACATACAAGGTAGAGGGAGAGGAAAAGGAACTTCTGGTTGGAGCAGTTCCTGAGAAGCAGGTATTTAATTTGTTTATGAATGTTACCCATTTTAAGAAAGTTAACAGCAAAGTACAGGGGCATAGCTCAGCTACTTACATCACGTAATGTGGAAGAAACAATGGATTAGAAATCAGAACATGTGGCTACTGGTTTGGACTCTCCCATGTGCTTGCCAAGTGCCCTGGAGTTAGTTGCTTAATTCTGTGGGCTCACTTGCTTAACTGTGAAATGGAGCTAGTACTATTTTCTACCTCAGAGCAGGAGGCTTTAATAAGATAATGTGCATGAAAGAGTTCTACCAAAACAATTTGATTGTTACCAGTGATTTAAAATAATCTGGCATTTTAATTATATCAAGTGTTTGTTGTATTTGTCTAGGTCCTGCAAGTATAGGTTTACTTAGCCCAGGAATACTGGAATACTTGCTACAGTGTCTGGTAAGTGAGACATCAAAACTATTTATTCTTAGTCATCTAGAAGTGGGCATCATCTAGAACTGTGCATTTTCTCAAATTGCTGGCATAGCCACTGGCACAGAGAATGGAATCAATTGTAAATTTTATTTGCAGGTGTTTCCCGAGTGCTTATTTATTCCCTCCTATGTTTAAAAAAGAGAGTGGGATTGGAATTTATCCCAACCAGCAAAAACAGCTGAGTTAGTCTGGTTTTAAATTTAGTCATAAGATAGCTGCTATGATTGGCTCTTTTGCATGTTCCTTGAGTTTGCCAAATGGTAATAGGGACCTCCACAGTAGAAACAATTACATGGCGTTCCAAGCCAGGAGGCCATCAAGTCAGATTCCCAGTATATATAAATCTCTACTCCTCCCTGCCCTCCCCCTCACTGCTACTCTTAAAACTGTTGTCACTGGAATATTTAATATATTGTCTATGAAGCTTCTGGTTTGCTGAGGCTGTGCCCTCAGATCTCTCATAGTTCTGGCCTGTGGTCTTGAATGGTCTGTATTTTTAAAAGTTATTTTTGTAGGCCTAGTGAGCATTGGCCCTTTTCAAAACTCTGGTCTGAAAACCCTTATTTGTCAATACCCACTGATACGTGCTTAAAACACTTACCTTACTCTCAATGAGCACTCTGGGGATACAACATGGCAGTCCTATGATTTCAAGAGGTTTATTGGTTAGTTGAGGAAACAAAACTACTCAGACAAGGTAATTAGCCTCCATTTTATCACAGGATGTGATCATGGGAGAAAGTACTTCATCAAGACTAAATGAGGGCCGGGCACGGTGGCTCATGCCTATAAGCCCGGCATTTTGGGAGGCTGAGGTGGGCTGGTCACCTGAGGTCAGGAGTTCAAGACCAGCCTGGCCAACATGGCGAAACCTGGTCCCTACTAAAAATACAAAAATTAGCTGGGCATGGTGGCATGTGTGTGTAGTCCCAGCTACTCAGGAGGCTGAGGCAGGAATTCACTTGAACCCAGAAGGCAGAGATTACAGTTAGCTGAGATCTCACCACTGCCCTCCAGCCTGGGCGACAGAGCGAGACTCCATCTCAAAAAAAAAAAAAGACTAAATGAGAAGGTGGGTGGTATGGGTAATGAGAGCCGGGGTGTCATGAAAGTCAGACTTCCTGATGAAGGTGGACCCTCAGCTGGGTCATGCTATAGATGAGGATTTTATTGTGCCCAGAGGAGGGAAAAAATTGGTTTCTTAGCTAAGGGAACATCACAGGCAGAAGTCCAGAGACAGAGAATTGTCTGATGAGAGAAGACAGTGTTCAGAGATAGGACACAGACTGAGTAGCCAGCTAGAAAGGGTTTAGGGCCTGAAAAGCCAGGCAGAGGGATTTAGATGGATATGAGAAGAAATAGAATGCTGAATAGGCTTTCCAGCAGCAGGGATGGTGGTTATGTGAGGTTTCCAGAACTTAGGAGGTACCAGGGAAGTCAGTGGGAATCATCTGATGTTCTGGAGCTCCTCTGGTGGCTCCCAATGTAGCAGTAGGGAAAGCACAGCTATGAGAAGGTGTCATGTTCAACAGATAGACCTTTCCTTAAAGGGGAACTCATGTGACATGAGCTTAAATGTAACTAAAAGAGTTCACTTGTTGCTTTCTCCTGTCTACCATCAGCATTTGTAGAATTCCTTTCAGGGAACAGCTTAAAAACTGAGCCATTAATTGTTAATTTAATTATTTATAATTTTGCAACTTGTTAGTGATAAGTGGTTCTTTTTAGGATTCTAAGTAAAATATCATTTTTAGTTTATAATTCTAGGTTTCTGTTTGGCTTGCATAAATGAATGTGAGAATGAATATTTTATTTAACAAAGCCCTAATGTAAGTTTTATTAAGTAAAATAACATAGTGTATTTAACAGGATACTTTTGAAATTTCCAAATCTATAAATTAACCTAGTGACTTTAAGAAAAAAATACAAGATTAAGAGAGCCTGTCCAGTTCATTACTAACATTATTAGCCAAATGGATAATTGAGAACTTGAATGAATGAAACTTTTCTGACCACTCGAAAAAACATCTAGCACATATTGGGCAAGGAAATGAAACTGATAACTTGCCACCTCTGCAGGGGAATGATTTTTTTTTTTTTTTTTTATCTTTTGTTGTTTTTCAGAAGTTACAGTCCCACCCCACAGTCATGCTTTTTGCACTTATCGCACTGGAAAAGTTTGCACAGACAAGTAGGTATAGTGACTTCTTGCACTAATGATCTTCTGTATTGGTTGTTAAAAATTTTATTTTTCTTAGTTACTGGATAAGCCTACACTTTGAACCCCATCAGATGGGCATACATTCTGTTTTCATCTGGATAGACACGTTAAAGCCAATGAAGTATAACAGGGACAAAGGCAAGGATTTTCTCACCTAAGAATCAAAACTTGGTAACCATGTTTACTCACTTTTTATAGCCAAAAATTTAGTGATGTGATTGCTAGTTTCTAGAAAAAAGTATGGTGGCTCTTGCCCATAATCCCAGCACTTTGGGAAGCTAAGGCCAGAGCATTGCTTCAGGCCAGGAATTCGAGACCAGGGTGGGCAGCATAGCAAGACTCAATCTCTACAAAAAATTTTAAAAAATCAGCCAGGCATGGTGGCATGCACCTATGTTCCTAGCTACTTGGGATGCTGAGGCGGGGGGATCACTTGAGCCCAGTAGTTCAAGGTTACAGTGATCCATAGTTGTGCCACTGCACTCCAGCCTAGGCAACAGAGTGAGACCCTGTGACTAAAAAAAAGGAAAACAAAATAGTCAAAGCTCTTTGGCTATGTTTTCCCTAGAAATTTTAATTGAAGTCTAATCTAGTCTCCAATTCTTTAATTGCCTCTTCCCCCTCCTTAGCAATACTAATTTGCTGAGCAAATCATTCTACCCTTTCATTGTTAATTCAAGGATTATGTCTTTCCAAACAGGTGAAAATAAATTGACTATTTCTGAATCCAGTATTAGTGACCGGCTTGTCACATTGGAGTCCTGGGCTAATGATCCTGATTATCTGAAACGTCAAGTTGGTTTCTGTGCCCAGTGGAGCTTAGACAATCTCTGTAAGTGGGAGTTGTCCTTTATTAAAATGTCCGTTTCCATTTCCAGACTCATTTCTTTCATAGGCTCACTGGTCTTCCTTTTGCAATGGTAAGTATGAGTCCTCATAAGGACCTCTACTGGCAGGTTGGATATATTCTAGCAGAAAAGTATCCTAGAGACCCTTTAGACAAGAATTACATGGTATGCTTCTAATTTCAGCATTTTCCTGTTCAAAAACCTTTACTGGCACCCAGTTTCCTGCTGCATCAAAGCCCTTAATTATATGGCACTGTCTAACCAGCTCTTTCCAACACAAATCATCCCACTGTCCTACAAACAGGTCCTGATGATTCCTACCTCTGGACCTATTCCCCTCACTTGGAATTCCCTCTTTACTTCTCTCCCTTTCCCAACTTTGCTCTTCAAAACCCAAGTCATGTCTTACCTACATCATGAGAATTGTTCCTGATTTTTCTCTTTTCCTCCTCCAAGGGCTGCTGGGACAAAAACTACTATAGGTTGAGTTTCTCTTTTAGGTAGAATTTATCTGAAATGCTTGGGACTGAAAGTATTTCAGATTTCACATTTTTTCAGATTTTGGAGTATTTGCAGATACCAGGTTAAGCATCCTTAATCAAAAAATCTGAAATCCTCCATTGAGCATTTCCTTTGAGCCTCATGTCTGCACTCAAAAAGTATTGGATTTTGGAGCATTTTGGATTTTCAGATTAAGAGTGATCAACCTGTATACTTCTGTACCCTCACTCCCCCATCCATGGTTAATACTACGCTAAAGCATAACTGGACATGTAAATCCACCCCCACTGTTACCCCAATATTGTGGGGAGGAGCTTCATGCACAGCCTGTGAAGTGCCAGTTAAAGAATAATTCTGAAAGAGTGCAATTTGGATTTTGTTCATACAAAATTATATTCTAGGGAATGGAAGCATAAATCTAGCAGTGCTGCCTTTCCTAGCATTTGTTTGATTGATCTTCAAATGGCAGTGCAGCAGGAAACCTCTGGCTATGTCTCCTCACCTATTCTGCCATTTACGAGCATCTCTACTCCTTGACTAGGGTAGCACTAACTTATTTGTTTGTTTATTTTTAATGTATGAAAAATCAGTGTGTTTTACCTTCCAGGGGGATTATTTTTAATGGATATATAGTAATACATATTTTTGGAGCACATGAGATATTTTGATACAGTCATACAATGAGTAATTACCACATCAGAGTAAATGGGATATCTGTCCCCTCAAGCATTTATCATTTATTTGTGTTAGAAACATTCCAATTATACTCTTTTGGTGTTTTAAAATTTCTTTGTTTTGCACTTTTCTTTTAGTTATTTTTAAATATACTATAAATTATTGTTGACTGTAGTCACCCTGTTATGCTGTCAAATACTAGGTGTTCTTCATTCTATCTAGCTATATTCCCATTAACCAACCCCATTTCTCCCCCACCCCCACTACCCTTCCCAGCCTCTGGTAACCATCCTTCTATTTTCTATCTTCATGAGTTCAGTTGTTTTTAGCTCCCACAAAAATTAGTGAGAACACACGAAGTTTGTCTTTCTGTGCCTGACTTATTTCACTTAACATCATATCCTACAGTTCCATCCATGTTATTGTAAATGACAGGATCTCATTCTTTTTTGTGGCTGAACAGTACTCCATTTTGTATATGTGCCACATTTTCTTTTTTTTTTTTTTTTTTTTTTTTTTTTTTTTTGAGACGGAGTCTCGCTCTGTCGCCCAGGCTGGAGTGCAGTGGCGGGATCTCGGCTCACTGCAAGCTCTGCCTCCCGGGTTCACGCCATTCTCCTGCCTCAGCCTCCCAAGTAGCTGGGACTACAGGCGCCCGCCACTACGCCCGGCTAATTTTTTTGTATTTTTAGTAGAGACGGGGTTTCACCGTTTTAGCCGGGATGGTCTCGATCTCCTGACCTCGTGATCCGCCCGCCTCGGCCTCCCAAAGTGCTGGGATTACAGGCGTGAGCCACCGCGCCCGGCCACATTTTCTTTATTCATTTGTCTCTCGATGGACACTTAGGTTGATTCCAAATCTTGGCTATTGTGAATAATGCTGCAATAAACATGCGATTGCAGATATTTCTTTGACATACTAATTTCCTTTCTTTTTGGTGTATACCTAGCAGCAGAATTGCCGGATCATATGGTAGTTCTGTTTTTAGTGTTTTGAGGAACCTCCATACTGTTCTCCATAGTGGCCATACTAATTTGCATTCCTACTACCAGTGTACAAGGGTTACCTTTTCTCCATATCCTCACCAGCATTCATTGTTGCCTGTTTTTTAGATAAATGCCATTTTTACTGGGGTGAGATGATAGCTCATTGTAGTTTTGATTTGGATTTCTCTGATGATCAATAATGTTGAGTACCTTTTCATATATCTGTTTGCCATTTGTATGTCTTCCTTTGAGAAATGTCTATTCGGATGTTTTGCCCACTTTTTAATCAGATTATTGAATGTTTTCCTATTGACTTATATGACCTCCTTATATATTCTGGTTATTAATCCTTTGTCGAATGGATAGTTTGCAAATAGTTTCTCCCATTCTGTGGGATGTCTCTTTACTTCGTTGATCATTTCCTTTGCTGTAAGAAACTTTTTAGCTTAATATGATCCCATTTGTCCATTTTTGCTTTGGTGCCTGTGCTTTTGGGGTATTCAAGAAATCTTTGCCCAGATCAGTGTCCTGGAGAGTTTCCCCAATGTTTTATTTTAGTAGCTTCATAGTTTGAGGTCTTAGATTTAAATCTTTAATCCATTTTTATTTGATTTTTGTAGGCAATGAGAGATAGGGGTCTAGTTTTATTCTTTTGCTTATGGATATGTAGTTTTTCCAGCACCATTTATTGAAGACACTGTCCTTTCCCCCAATGTATGTTCTTGGCACCTTTGTTGAAAATGAGTTCACTGTAGATGTATGGATTTCTGGATTCTCTCTTCTGTTCCATTGGTCCATGTGTCTGTTTTTATGCCAGTACCATGCAGTTTTGGTTCCTATGACTCCATAGTATAATTTGAAGTCAAGTAATGTGATTCCTCCAGTTTCGTTTTCTTGCTGAGGGTCAGGTTTTTTGCTATTCTGGGTCTTTTGTAGTTCTGTATAAATTTTAGGATTATTTTTTACTATTTCTGTGAAGAATGTCATTGGTATTTTGATAGGGATTGCATGTAATCTGTAGATTGCTTTGAGTAGTATGGACATTTTAACAATATTGAGTCTTCCAATCCATGACCATGGTATATCTTTGTGTCCTCTTTGATTTCTTGCATTAGTGTTTTATAGTTTTCATTGTAGAGATCTTTCACTTCTTTGATTAAGTTATTCCTAGGTATCTTATTTTATTTATAGCTTTTGTAAATACAATTACTTTCTTGATTTCTTCTTCAGATTGTTTGCTATTGGCATATAGAAATGCTATTGATTTTTGTCTGTTAATTTTATATCCTGCAACTTTACTGAATTTGCTTTTTAGTTCTAATAGTTTTTGGCAGATTTTTTTAGGTTTTCCTAAATATAAGATCATATTATCCACAAACATGGATAATTTGACTTCTTCCTTTCCATTTTGGATGCCCTTTATTTCTTCCTCTTGTCTGATTGCTGTAGCTGGCACTAGCTTCTTCTTTTCTCCACAGCAGCCTGCCTTAGAAACATGAACACTCTTTCTTTTGCAGTTTTAAAAGAAGGTAGACAGCTGACCTATGAGAAAGTGAACTTGAGTAGCATTAGGGCCATGCTGAATAGCAATGATGTCAGCGAGTACCTGAAGATCTCACCTCATGGCTTAGAGGTAGGTAATGCTTCTACAGTTGGACCCTTTGGGGGATGAGAGGGTAATTATTTTAATCCTTGCATAGCCAGTTGTCTTAGGGCTGGTGCTTCCCACTCTCCCTGTATTTTGGAAATGTTGCTGACTTCAGGGGGAAGTCTCAAAGAGCTGCTTATGAACAGAAGGTACCATAAGGCACTAGATGTGTCAGGATTAAAGAACTGTTTGAAGAATGGCTGCAAACAATTCTTTGATTCTGTATGTTGCCAAATGCCTTATGTAGTTTGGTTTTGTACTTTTTGTCACTGAGGATGGACAGAGGAGGAAGCAATAGTCCACCAGAAGTTTTAATAAGGAAAAATACACTCAACCTTCCCAGTAGTCAGTTATCTTTGGTGGTCTTCAGGCCCTCATAGTTGATTGACACATTTTTTGGTTTTGCCAGGCTCGCTGTGATGCCTCCTCTTTTGAAAGTGTGCGTTGCACCTTTTGTGTGGATGCCGGGGTATGGTACTATGAAGTAACAGTGGTCACTTCTGGCGTCATGCAGATTGGCTGGGCCACTCGAGACAGCAAATTCCTCAATCATGTGAGTACCCTAGAGAACTGTGAAAATGGGAGCAGTGGCAGTTTGCTTTTTCCCCCTAGTTGGTGGGTGGAAAATACTTATTTTTCAAATAGATTTGCTCAATAATCTTTTCTTGGGCAGAGCCACATGGTACCAGGTCCCTAACAATGATCTACTAAACTGATAGAGAAATAGGAAAACAAGTGAAATTGCCCCTCGGCCTTTTCTTTTTCTTGAATCTTAAGTTCACGCTAATTTTTCACCTAGAGGCTGGATGTGTCCTTTGTCTTTGTAGGCTCTGCTTCCACCCCAGCCACGTACTTGGCTCATTTCTTATACAGGAAGTAGTGCTGATTATTACCTTGAATTGAAGCTCTTAAGAGCTTTGTAGGGATTCTTTTCCTTTCAAAAAATAGAGTGTTGGCTTGACTTCTTTCACTTGACTTTTACCTAGTAATTAGTTGGCATATTTTTCTCAATATTTAGTTATTTATCTTTTGTTATAGAAAGCTATAATATAAAAGGGAAACAAATCCTAGAGTAAGTAGCATTGAAGGTGTTGGAGTTCCTCCCTTTCCTACAGATGTATGATTTCTTGCCACTTTATACCCTTCTAACACCCAGGCCAATTGGCTTTCTTCTGATGATCAAATTATAAGCTGTTTGGAATTAATCCAGTTTTGATCAGGAATATTTTGTTTTCATATGGTTTCTACCATTTGAGGTGGGAAAAGCCCCTTGGATTATTTTGTTAATCTAAATAATAGCCCCCCCCTCCAATATGTAAGATCCTGGAATGGGTTTTAGAAGTGATCCAACAAAATCAAGCTAAACTTGCCGGCCATAAGTATGGTGAGGTTTTCTGATTTTCTGCTTTGCTTTTAGAGACAGGTCTCACTGTGTTGCTCAGGCTGGCCTCAAACTCCTGGGCTCAAGCCATCCTCTTACCTCAGCCTCCTGAATAGCTGAGACTACAGGCACATCCCATGGTGACCTACTTATAAGCATAATTTTTAAAGGCCTATTTCAGCAAGGCTGTATTTCACCCTGGAATTGTTGATGGTGTATTATTAAAACTCCTAGGCTGGAGAGAGACAAATTGGAGGAAAAGGGCCAGTGGAGAGGTCAAGTCTGTACTCCTGTCTGGGGTGGAGAACTAGACCCCAGTCTGCCAATCATCTGATTCCCACAATAGCTTTTACTGTTACAATTTCCATTTCACAGATGAGAAAACTGAGACAGAGTAGGAAGAAACTCATACCAGAATTCAGTGGCCTTCCTATTCTACAACAGTTGTTTTCTTTGTATTCAAAAATGGGGAAAATCTCAGAGAATTAGCTAGTTTCCTCATTTGGAAGTGAAAAATTGTTCTAGAACTAGAAGTAATAGGGGATTCTTCCAGGGAGGAAGCTTCGATATAAAACTTGTCTCTCCTGATTTGGCAGCAAACACACTACAGATCTAGGTCTGGCACTGAATGTTACAAATGTGTTTTTTTAATGACCAGTGAAGCTGGATCATTTCATCTGCTCGATGAAATTATAACTTTTGCCATGTAGTTGCAGACCTTTGGCTTGTCAAGTTAAAGACTTAAATACTGTTTTTTTATCCTCCAGATCACTTGACAGGCTGTTGGTTTCTTTAAAAACAAACACTCTTCCCTGATCCAAGCATTAGGTGATTCCCTATTAGAAATTGATAAAGTCTGATACGATGTCTTTTCCCAAATACAGGATTTTAATGATGTTGCCATATTTAAAACTTTGCTTTAAATGTACATTGTTCTGGTGATTCTGAATCTTTTTGCCTATTCAGACAGGGTGTGATTCTATGGAGTAAGTCATTCCTAGGATACACCCAGTTTCAAAAGATTCTAAGTCTCTGCATAGTGCCTCTTACTTGAATTCTTGCTGCTTAGGTTTCCATTTTAAAAGGCTGGCCACTGGGCTCAATGTTAGGTCATTAAAATAAGCTTAAGGATAGTTCTGTTCAGGTAACCTACAGAACAGTTTGTCTTGTTGTATTGTATATTTTTATGGAGGCTTAGGAGGAGCAACTCTCCAAGGGTGTACTCTGATTTATCTAAAATATCTTTTGCCTTTTGGCCAGGCGCAGTGGCTCACACCTGTAATCCCAGCACTTTGGGAGGCTGAGGTGGGTGGATCACTTAAGGTCAGGAGTTTGACTGGCCAACATGGTGAAACCCCGTCTCTACTGAATATAAAAAATTAGCTGGGCGTGGTGGCGGGCGCCTGTAATCCCAGCTACTCGGGAGGCTGAGGCAGGAGAATTGCTGGAATATGGGAGGCAGAGGTTGCACTGAGCCCAGATAGTGCCACTGCACTCTAGCCTGGGCGATAGAGTGAGACTCTGTCTCAAAAATAAATAAATAAATAAATATCTTTTGCTTTTTTGTGAGTGTCTGTCATGTGACACTTTTGTGAGGTCTTTCACATATTTATCTTTAATCTTTTTGAGAGTTTGGAAAGGTATTATCCTGCCATTTAAAGATGAGGAAAATCAAGTTGAGAGAAATTAAGAAACTTCCCCAAAGCCATGTAGTCTCCAGCTGCTAGAGATTTCAGGCCAGGATAGCCCATGCTCCTTCCCCTGTTGAAGCATCTGCCTTCGAGAAAATGACTCTGGCTATCTCAGACAGAAAAGGAATGATTTAGAAGCCTTTCCGGAGCCTCCAGATTATGGAGAAGTTTTGGAACTAGACAGGCTCCAAGGCTGTCAGGGCCAAGAAACAGGAAGTACAATAGCCGGTGTTTTAGGGAAACGATCTGGCCAGCATGCAGCCACCATTGCTGCTGGAAATCCATCCTAACTATCCCTCTGTTTGGGGTCACTTGCACCATACTGAGTGTTTGATGGGAAGGTCCAGCTGGCCAAGCCTAGGTCATATCTTACCTTTCCACTTCCAAAGGAGGAGGCAGAACACTGTCTTCATACATTTCCCTTAACAGGAAACGGTTGGGATGCCCTACAGCAGGAAAAAGGAGAGTGTCCACCACGTGGGAAAGAGACTCAAACTATTCCCTGAATGACAAGCTGTGGATAAACTTTCTTTTGTTTGTATTTGGTAATGTTTCCATTGCTAAAATATGCATGACCAAAAAACAGGTAGTTCAAGATAAATACCAAGCTAACCACTCTATTCTCTCATTTATCTGTCCTAGCCAATGGAAACCAAAATTAATCCTGCTGGGAACATTTTGAGCTGAGAGAGGGTGTAGGACATCTAGGTTGTTCTCTGAGATGTAAGCTTAAGAGATTTTTAAAGTGCATCTCTGCTAGGCAGAGGCATCTTCTCCTTAAATCTGTAGATGCTGCTCTGTAGTTAAAGTTATTAGAGTTCCTTCTTTGTGCTACAGTGCCACTCTGTTGTGGAACTTATCCAGTCATCAAAGACATTGCATGGTAAAGAATGTGTAATGAGTCTGCTCTTTACCAACTCATGGTGGCTAGCTTCTAGGAATTTCTTTCAAGTGTTCTGTCAAGGACTTCTCAGGACATTAGAAGGTGAAGATAGAAAAGAATTGCTTGCCTTTTACTTATGCCACAATGCCTACATTTTAGTGGTTTTTAAGTTTTTTACTTACTGACTTGTTCAGCGTTTGAAAGGTGTGGCAAGGCATTCTTTCTAGCAAGTAGTGAATTTCTTTTGTTTTGTTTTGTTTTGAGACAGTCTCGCTCTGTCACCCAGGCCAGGGTGCAGTGGCACGTGATCTCTGCTCACTGCAACCTCTGCCTCCCAGGTTCAGGCGATTCTTGTGCCTCAGCCACCAGAGTAACTGGGATTATAGGTGTGCGCCACCACACCTGGATAATTTTTGTATTTTTAGTAGAGACAGGGTTTCGCCATGTTGGCCAGGCTGGTCTCAAATGCCTGGCCTCAAGTGATCTGCCCCCCAAAGTGCTGAAATTACAGGCATGAGCCACTGCTCTTGGCAGCCTTGGGTGGTGAATTTCTAAGGCAATTAGATGCAAGCTCATTTAACTCTTGAGTAGTCTGAATAGTGAATATCAATAGCTATTTCAGAAGAGTCACTTTGGAGAGCGTTCCTCCAAATTCAGTATGTTGTAATCCAAAAATCCAGTACAAAATCATTGTTGCATTCATCAGAACTTTTTTTCCAATCTCTCTCCTCACTGTATTGTTTGCCCCATAGAAGAAGCAGGCCATCAGGACCTGATCTTACTTGGATTTGGCCATTTTCAATTTCTTTCTCTAGTAAAACTTTTCACCATTGTTCCTTAAAGATAGCAGTTGTCTGATTTGCATGCTGCTTCTATTTTTTATAAGCACTCAAAATAATTTCTTAAGATCTCAGCCACCCTTTTATTTTAACAGTTCTGTGAAATAATTGAAAGGCAGTAAGTAACAAAAAGAAGAAACTGCCAGGCGCGGTGGCTCACGCCTGTAATCCCAGCACTTTGGGAGGCCGAGGCGGGCAGATCACCTGAGGTCTAGAGTTCGAGACCAGCCTGACCAACATGGAGAAACCCCGTCCCTACTAAAAATACAAAATTAGCTGGGCCTGGTGGCGCATGCCTATAATCCCAGCTACTCAGGAGGCTGAGGCAGGAGAATCGCTTAAACCCGGGAGGCAGAGGTTGTGGTGAGCCAAGATCGCGCCATTGCACTCCAGCCTAGGCAACAAGAGTGAAACTCCATCTCAAAGAAAAAAAAAGAAGAAACTGCCAAGGACCTGTACAATCCTCAAATCAAGCTGATTTCAGAATAGCTTTTAGCTGAGTGTCCACTATAACCTTTCTCTTATCTCCAGTTTTGAAATCTCTGAATATTTGGGTATTTTGAAGTCTGCTACATGCAAGAAAGGTATTTGCCTGATCTGATCTTGTTACTGGAAAGGGTCTGGATCCAGATCCCAAGAGAGGGTTTTTGGACCTCGCGCAAGAAAGAATTTGGGGCGAATCCATAGAATAAAGTGTTTTCACAAGTTTATTAAAGAAACAGAAGAATGGCTACTCTATAGGCAGAGCAGTGGCGTGGGCTGCTCAACTGAGTATACTTAGTTATTTCTCGATTATATGCTAAACAGGGATGGATTATTCATGAGTTTTCTGGGAAAGGGACAGGCAATTCCTGGAACCAAGGGTTCCTCTCCTTTTTAGACTATATAGGGTAACTTCCAAACTGCCATGACATTGTAAAGTGTCATGGCACCTGTTAGAGTGTCTTTTAGCATGCTAATGCATTATAATTAGCATATAATGAACAGTGAAGATGACCAGAGGTCACTTTTGTTGCCATCTTGGTTTTGGTGGGTTTTGGCCAGCTTCTGGCTGGCTTCTTTATTGCATCCTGTTTTATCAGCAGGGTCTTTGTGACCTGTATCTTGTGCTGACCTCCTGTCTCATCCTGTGACTAAGAATGCCTAACCTCTTGGGAATGCAGCTGAGCAGCCCAGCAAGTCTAAGCCTCATTTTACCCTGCCCCTATTCAAGATGGAGTCTCTCTGGTTTGAATGCCTCTGACAATCTTGTGCTGATATACAAGTGTACTGACTGATCTTGGAATCAGAAGAATTTAGGTTCAAACCTGGCTCTGTTTCTTGGGCAAGTAATATATGCTTGGGCAAGCTGGTTGACCTCTTTGAGCCTTTGTTTCCTCTTAAAATGGAGTCTGATGCCACCAGCCTCATGATAATGTTAGTGAGAATTAAATGAACTAACAAATGTGAAAGTGCCTGAACAAAGGAGGCACTGGGAAAATATTTGTTGGTGAAGTCATTATCTATTCACTTGGAACCAGCCCTCTAAGTCATAATTTTAGTATTTTCAAAAAACCATGAGCTCTCTCATCATCCAGAAAGCTTAGAATCCCAGCCATTAGGTCAGTGGTCGTAAAAGACACACTCTCTGTTCCCAGGTCAGAGCAGGCAGACTTGCTAATCTTCTGGGCCTTGTCTCTCTCCAGGAAGGCTACGGCATTGGGGATGATGAATACTCCTGTGCGTATGATGGCTGCCGGCAGCTGATTTGGTACAATGCCAGAAGTAAGCCTCACATACACCCATGCTGGAAAGAAGGTATTCATTCCCTCCATTATAAATTTATCAAGTGGGTTAAGACATCTGGTTATTATGAGGCATTTATTACATTAAGCCTTAAAATGTCTTAGGAGAAGATCAAATGTGAAAAGGGATATTAACTTTTGTGTCACTGCCAAGGATATAAATGGTATTCCTCTGATAAATTTACCTCTGGTGGAGTTCTTCCTGTAGCAAAAACATTTCAGAAAATAAATTTTTTACATTTGTCAGAAAATGATACTCAAGATTAGTATGAATTCTATTTTCCTCTTTGGATCTGTTTTGAATTAAAGCAGCCATGGCAATATCAGGGACACTGGAATTGTAATGCCACTAAAATGAGGATTTTTCAGGGACAAGATGGCTATGGAACAGGTCCTATCCAGTGGCCACGCTCTAAGGAAGTAGGGTCATATGGTAGAGGATATAACCTCTGGAAGGATTTGATTCCTAGCATCAGAGCTAGATAGAGGATATAACCCAACTCTTTCTCCAAGCATCCCTCTCTCATTTTGCTACCCCAATCAGCATTATGGATATAAACTGAATTTTTAGGCATGCTAAGAAAGCAGAAATTTAGGCTGAGGCAGGTGGATTGCTTGAAGTCAGGAGTTCAAGACCAGCCTGGCCAACATGGTGAAACCTCATCTCTACTAAAATACAAAAATTAACCAGGTGTGGTGGCACCCACCTGCGGTCCCGGCTACTTGGGAGGCTGAGGCAGGAGAATCAGTTGAACCCAGGAGGCAGAGGTTGCAATGAGCCGAGGTTGCGCCACTGCACTCCAGCCTGAGCAACAGAGTGAGACTCCATCTCAAAAAAAAAAAAAAAAAAAAAGGAAAGCAGGAATTTGCCCACCCCCATATGGAAACAGCTCCACTTGATTAAATTGGTGGTGTGGGAAAAAAATCAGAAAAGCCAACAGGAACACTCATTTTAATGGCTTGCAGGTTCTTGAAGGAACATAAAACTTCTTCATTTAATGGAGCATATGATAAAGGCCCTGTTTTCAAAAACTAGCTTGTTTTTTAATAAGAATTTTTTAAAGGATTATTCGAGTAATATGTTTATTATAAAAATTTGAAAAATAGAAAAAAAATGAATAAACTAAAAATCCCCTGTAATTTCTCCAGAGATTTTTTAAAAACACTTAAATTTTATATATATGTATATTTTTGTTGTTGTTATACTTAATACCTTGAACAGCTTTCCAGGTTATTAAATAACATTACTTTTTATTGTTGCTGTTTTTGAGACAGGGTCTCATCTATCGATAGCCCAGGCTTGCGTGCAGTGGTGTGATCATAGCTCATACAGCCTTGACCTCCCAGGCACAATCCATCCTCCCACCTCAGCCTCTCCAGTAGCTGGGACTACAGGGACACACCACCACGCCCGGCTAATTTTTGTATTTTTTTGGTAGAGACAGGATTTTGCCATGTTGCCCTGGCTAGTCTCAAACTTCTGGGCTCAAGTGATCCACCCAACTCTGGCCTCCCAAAGTGTTGGGATTACAGGCCTGAGCCCCCATGGCCCAGCCAATAACATTACTTTTAATGGCTTCTCAGTATTCCATTATATAGTTGTACTATGATATACTAATTAATGCCTCATTGTTGGACACTGACATTTTTGCCTTTTAAAATTATCATTATAGACCATTCTGGATTTTCTCAAGACAAAACCCTTAGAAGTGAAACTTCTCTGGCAAGGGGGATATAGAATTTCAAAGCTTTTGCTGTATATTGCCAGATTTTCCTCCACCAGCATTGAGTGTCCATTTTTCTTGTCATTGCTGTGTAATTTCATTTGTTTATCTTTGACAGACAAATTTGTTTATCTCATCTTTCAAAACCAAAATTGGGCCAGACGTGGTGGCTCATACTTTTAATCCCAGCACTTTTGGAGATCAAAGTGTGAGGATCCTTTGAGAGGATCACTTGGGGCCAGGAGTTTGAGATTAGCCTGGGCAACATAATGAGACCCCCCATCTCTATAAAAAAATTTTAAAAATTTGCCAGGGGTGGTGGCACGTGCCTGTAGTCCTAGTTACTCAGGAGGCTGAAGCAGGAGGATCACTTGAGCCCAGGAGTTTGAGGCTGCAGTGAGCTAGGATTGTACCACTGCACTCCAGCCTGGGTAATGGAGCAAGACCCTGTCTTAACAACAAAAATAACAAAACCAAAAACTGAAACCTTAGAGTTTTACTTTATCTGATAAGTGAAGATAAATGCTTTTTTTTTTTTTTTTTTTTTTTTTTTTTTTTTGAGATGCAGTCTCACTCTGTCACCCAGGCTGGAGTGCAGTGGCGCGATCTCAGCTCACTGCAACCTCCACCTCCAGGGTTCAAGCGATTTTCCTGCCTCAGCCTCCCAAGTAGCTGGGATTACAGGCACCTGCCATTAACACCCGGGTAATTTTTGTATATTTAGTAGAGATGGGGTTTCACCATGTTGGCTGTGCTGGTCTCAAACTGACCTCAAGATGATCTGCCCACCTCGGCCTCCCAAAGTGCTGGGATTATAGGCATGAACCACCACGCCCTGCCCTTTTTTTTTTTTTTTTTTTTTTTGAGATGGATTTTTGCCCCGTCACCCAGGCTGGAGTGCAATGGCATGATGTCGTCTCACTGCAACCTCCGCCTCCCGGATTCAAGTGATTCTCCTGCTTCAGCCTCCCGAGTAGCTGGGATTACAGGTGCCCACCACCACACCCAGCTAATTTTTGTATTTTTAGTAGAGACGGGGTTTCACCATGTTGGCCAGGCTGGTCTTCAAACTCCTGACCTCAGGTGATCCGCCCGCCTTGGCCTCCCAAAGTGCTGGGATTACAGGCGTGAGCCACCTCGCCCAGCCTGCCTTGCCTTTTTTTAAAGAAAGGCATATTTTGGGGTAGTTATCTAGGGAATTATAAATCTCACCAGAGAGGCAAGTGACCACATGATTTTTTGATCTTACCATATTTCATTGAGCCCAAAATGCGTATTTTTCCCCACATTTTAACATCTTTGAAATTGGGATGCATCTTAAGATTGGCTTGTCATAATTTAATTGGCAGTATTTTTTTCTTATTGTTACATTAAAATATTGGTGTATAGGGGTCAGATCAGTTACAGAAGAAACAAAAATTAACATGTTGAATGCATAGCTAAAGATGCAGACTTAATACAGTGCCATTGAAACACTTGAGATGCTTAGCAAAGAATCCTGGTAGTACACATCATTATCCTAACAGTGTTTCTCTTTATCCTCTAGGAGATACAGTAGGATTTCTGTTAGACTTGAATGAAAAGCAAATGATCTTCTTTTTAAATGGCAACCAGCTGCCTCCTGAAAAGCAAGTCTTTTCATCTACTGTGTAAGTAGCTCTTCTCAGTCAAAAATTCGAGTAGATGCACGGAATGCCCTTTTCTCTAGGAAAAAAAAAGTCTTTGTCCATTTATATATGCAATTGTGATGAGAAATTGATTAATTTCAAGTGATTGGGAACCCATTTGATCAGACCTAAAACTATCCCAAAGTTTGATACAGGAAGATAAGGCAGAATATTCTCTAGTCACAGACCTGTGTGGGTTATAAACACAGTCTGTCACTCTTCCTTTCTGCCAGGGTAGGATTGACTCACCCTGCCTTTCTGAAAACTGTTCTATCTATTAACTCTATTTTGATTTTTATTAATTCTATTGGCCTCTGTACTCATTTTATTTGTAGATCTGGATTTTTTGCTGCAGCTAGTTTCATGTCATATCAACAATGTGAGTTCAATTTTGGAGCAAAACCATTCAAATACCCACCATCTATGAAATTTAGCACTTTTAATGACTACGCCTTCCTAACAGCTGAAGAAAAAATCATTTTGCCAAGGTAAGGAATCTGCCCAGGCTATCTCCAGACTTTCACATGAATCTTATGAGAAATTAAACAATTTATAATCAACGTTAAAAGAATATAACAAATAAATTTTGAAAACCTGAGTAAAATGGATGACTTTTCAGGAAATATAAATTTCTAAGATCGCAGAAGAAATATACACAAACCAATTATTGTATATATCTGTCCCTAGAAAGCACCAGACCCAGGTGGTTTCACAGGGGATCTCTACCAAATCTTTAGGTAACAGATAACCTTATTGTTATTTAAAATGTTACCAAACCCAGAAAGACGGAACACTTTCAAATTTTTTTTGTGAGATAAATAAGATTGGTATAAAAATCAGAAAAATATGACACATGCACACAAACTGCAAACTAACTTCACGTGAATGTCAGTGTCAAAATCCTAAATATTAGGAAATCTAGTACATCTTTTAGCAGACTCGGCTTTATTGAAACAGACTTTTTATGTGGTTTCAACTGTGTGGCAAAGATGACAACACTGTTCCACAACCATCAGTGAATACCATCTTGCATAAAATTTTACAGCCCTTATTTGACAAAAACTGTGATTGGCATTAATTTATCAGATGAATGCCTGCTTTACTTCCTTGTGAGATGAATGTAGTCTATTCCTTAGGCTGGGGAAAGACTCCAGCTGCTTCCTGGTAATTACTTCAAGTTGAAGCTTGTTTCACAATGTGAGCTAAAGTTTATCATTTTAAACAGAGCAGCTGCCTGTTTAAAGGGTATTCCTGTTACTAATACCACATATCTTATATCAGTAAGAGAGTCTCTCTCAGCAGCCAAGGCCAGCATACTGGCCATGACATAGCTAATGTCGGACTGGTATGCCCCTGAAGATATCTGTAACGTAATCCTAGCTCTTGTTTTGGCTCAAAAAGCAGATCTGCAAGCAGTGCTCTGGGCTGTGCTTCACCTTGGAATCACTGTCTCAGTGGTTCAATAGTTTCCAGATGAACTAGAAAATGGGACGATGATGGTAGTGTTGTCTGCAGATGGTAACACTGGCAGCAGAGCCTCAGTAATAGCCCAAGAACATAAGGGTTGCATATGTTCCCGCTCAGGGTTCTGAGGTTAATTCCTAGAACTTTTCATTCAGGCTCATCCTTGGTGCCTGACAGAGATTCTGAACTTTAAATTCCTCTTGGCCAAAGTCTGAGGGGACACCTCTCCCTTATCTATCATACCCCGTTCTTTTTCATCTAGCCTGCCTTTTCCTTGGATGAAGCCCACAAATAAGTCTTCTCACATATACCCTAAAAGGGACAATTGATCCATCTAAGTTCCCATGGGGACTGGACATAGTTAAAATGCTTCAGCATTTAGTTAACTGCTCCTGCAGAATTAAACCTTCCCAAACTCAGATGGCAATGGGCATCAACTATCAGAAAGTCTCATTTTATGGGCAGCTTATACATACTCTCTTGGTAACCATGTATATAAATTTGGTACCCAAAGTTCGTCTTGTCTTGAATAAGAACAGCTGAATTCCAAGCTAGGTCAATCCTATGCTGTCTCTAGACTGTTTTCTCTGATAGTAACAAGAAGATATAGTTGTCAGGAGCCTAACTGAGTGGCCACCTTAGTGCCAACCTCCTTCTTGCACCTTGCTGCCCTTAACATTCCAGTTGTGCTTAATTATAAATTGTGGCATTAAGTATGAACTTACTTGAGACCATTTTCTGTGCCATTAATATTTTCATCCTGTGTTCCAAAAATGTATATTCAGTGATACTTTATATTCATTGGAATATTACTCCTTTCTGGCATCAGGGTAGGAGCTCATGGCCCTGTTACTACTAACTGGGATTTTATAAATTGTTCTGTGTTGTATATACTCTCTGTCTGTAATTCTTCCATTCATTCTTTTTTTCTTTAACCTTTTTATTATGGAAAATTTCAAATACATACAGAAGAAAAAAATAATAGTACAGTGAAGCACCACATACCCACTCTCAGCTACAAGTCATCCACTCACAGCCACTGCTTCTCCCTCAGTCTTCTCTCATCTCTGTTTTTTTAATTTTTATTTTTTATTTTTTGAGACAGGGTCTCACTCTGTTGCCCAGGAGTGTGGTGGCACAATCTCAGGTCATTGCAACCTCCATCTCCCAGGCTCAAGCGATCCTCCCACCTCAGCCTCCTGAGTAGCTGGGACTACAGGCATGCCAACACACCCAGCTAATTTTTGTATTATTTGTAGAGACTGGGTTTCGCCATGTTGCCCAGGCTGGTCTCGAACTCTTGGGTTCAAGCCATCTGCCTGCCTCGGCCTCCCAAAGTGCTGGGATTACAGGCGTGAGCCACTGTGCCTGGCCCCTCGTCTGTTAATAACTCCTTTATCATCCCAGTTTCCCTGGCCATAACCGTAGAGTATCCTTGACACCTTACTTTCTGCTATTTCCACATTCAATCCCTCAGCAAATCCAGTAGGCTGTGCCTTCAGAATATATCCAAAATCCAACTACTCATCACCCTCACTGCTGCTACCATGGTCCAAGCCTCCACCATTTCCTACCTATATTATTTTTGTCTTGCCCTCTACCTTGTTCCTCCCCAGATCCCCTTCAGTCTATTCAACACAGCCTCCAGAATGATTTGTTACAACGTAAGTCAGATCACACACTTCTCTGCTCAAAAGATGCCAGTGCGTGGCTTCTTATTCACTGAACGGAAAAGCCAAAACCTTTCCGGTGACCTCCCAGGCCCCGTACAATTTGTCCTCTCCCTTCCCTATGTTACTTTTCTGACCTATTTCCTACCCTCTCCCGTTTTCTCATGCTCCTTCAGCCACCCTGGCCTCCTTGCTGCTCCTGAAACACACCAGGCCTATGATAGCTTCAGGGCACTTGCTGTTCCTGCTACCCGAAACGGTTTCTCCAAACAACCACAAAACTTACTTCCTCACTCCCTTTACCTCAATATTACCTTAGTGAGACCTTTCCTGGCTGCCATATTTAAAATTGTTTTAATAACACCCCACCTCTGATGTGTACACTCCTTGTCCTTCCCATTTTCCCTTTTCTTCATAGTATTTATCAGCATTTAACACTGTATTTTACTTATCTTGTTTATTTCTGTCTTCCCCTACTGGAGCATAAGCTCTCCAAAGGCAGGGATACTTTTTTAGTCCTCTGTTCACTGCTGAATCTCTAGGGCTTGGAACAGTGCCTGGCACACAGTAAGCCCGTAAGTGAACTGAATACATGCTTCATGCTTCCCTTGCCCATATATTAGGGCTGTACCTTCAGCAGAACAGTTTTGCCTGTCTGCTTCCATTCCATGCTGAGTGAAAGTATAATGGAAGGGTTCTAACTTGAGGTGTTTGGACTTGCAGGGAGTCTAAAATGAACTGTTATAAACCCCTTGAAATTGTATAAAAACTTGTATATGTGTGTTTTTCTTGAGAAAGCCTCTATGCTTGTGAGCAGACTCTCACATATGTGATTTAAAAGGTTGAAATTTGCTGGTAACATAAAAAGAGCACTGGACTTAGAACTAAAGGATTTTAATTTGATTCCTGACTGCATACCTTATACAAGTCATTTCCTTGAACTTTGTCTATAAAATGGGAATGGTTATACCTCCTTCATTCTCTACTTTAGAAAATGATTGTAGGATTGAAAGGAGATGGCATGTATGAAAACCTTACTGAACAAAGTTTAAGGAATATATGTCACAGGTGCAGAGCATTTTCAAAACATTTCATATGCATCACTGCTAACAGGACCCCTGTTGACAAAATGTATTTCAAATTGCTTTTTCTACTCAGGCACAGGCGTCTTGCTCTGTTGAAGCAAGTCAGTATCCGAGAAAACTGCTGTTCCCTTTGTTGTGATGAGGTAGCAGACACACAATTGAAGCCATGTGGACACAGGTAAGAGGATTTATATTAGGCAAAGTTTCATACTGTTCTTAAATTGCTAGTTCCATGGCTGTTCGTCAGGGTTTATTGTATCTAAAGCAGGCTGAATGAGGAACTAGAGTTTAAGTAGAACCTGGCTGTCTTCCAGAAAGTACCTGAAATAGAAGCAGCTGCTTGATGTGGAAGGCTGTTTTGTTTACTCAGTACTGTATTTTTGATACAATTTTGGCTTCACAAAATGTAACAGGTTTAATGCTATTTATGAGCTTCCTAGGCACTCTTTTAGTTTTAGAGCTTCCTCATTTACTTCTTATTTACAGTCAACCATTGAGAAGTTAGCAGCCTCCATGTCATCTTACTAAATTTCAGTTGTATGAGATGAACTCAGAGGGCAGCCTGGACCCTATAGAACAGAGTGAGCATCAGCAAGAGAAGCAAGTAAGATGGTCCCCAGGAAGGCTAGCCCAACTAAGTTTAGAAAGGAGAAGAGCAGTTGGGCAATGTGGCGTCCTGGCCAGTCAATGTGTGCCGATTGTTTATGAGCAACACTCAAGTTGATGTTACAAGCCAGCTACCTGTAATTCATCATATCCCATACCCTGCCTTGGTCTTATTTTTGACATAGCTTTAGTCACGTGGCTCCACAGGGGTCCAGAGCCTGGAGTGATGAACCCAGTTTGTCATCCCCAGGAATGACTCAGCCTGGGCCCCTGACTCTGCCTCTCTACGTTTGTTGTCTTTTGAAACGGGTTATCTAATTGGCTGTGCACTTAAGGGAAGTAGAGTGTGTCTCATTTCACCCTTAGCTATACCAGCCTCTCTTCTGAAAGAAAGGCACAGTGATTCCAGCTGTGATTAATCCTCCCTATTACTTCTACAGCCCAGAATTTCTCAGTTTGAGCATATTTGGAGGGTTTAGTTATCAGGGCCTCACAGACAGATGCAGAGTTTAAAGGTTGGATATCTTCATGCCCTTTTTGATCTTTGTTTCTGTAAGAATGTTAAGATCTCAAACAGCTGGATCTGGTCTTAATCATCTTTGAGCTCTCTGGTCCTGTGGTCTTGCACATAATACAAGGGGTCATTAATGAGTGCTGAAATATAAAACTTTAGAACTAGGTATCTTAAGTATGATCATAGTCTCCATAGTAGATATATATCCAAAATAGAGTTGGAAGAGGACATTAAAAGAATTATAAGAAAATTTAGCTAAACTTTGAGCAGCAACAACAATTTTAAAAGGGATATAGGGACAAAGAAAGGAAACCTGGATAAAATGAATTACAAGAGTCAATCCCCAGAGGAGACTGAAAATCTAAGCATTCCTGTTACCATAAAAGAAGTTAAAATGGTTATCAAAGCTACCTTTGCCTTCTCTTCCACAAGTACTAAGGCTAGTTTCACAGGTGAACTCTTTACAACTTTCAGGGAATAGGTAGCCCAATTCTATTTAAACTTGGCCAAACCATAGAGAAAGTAGGAAAACCACAATGTTATTTTTAGTAATCATACCAAAAGCTGATAAAACTCATAAAAAGAAAAAACTATTTTTTTATGAATATAAATCTAAAACTCCCAAATAAAATATTAGAAAGTAAGACCTAGCAACGCAACTGGCAGGGGGAGTTATCTTAGGAATGCAAGGATGGTACAATTACAGAAATCTTAGGCTGGGCACGGTGGCTCACACCTGTAATCCCAGCACTTTGGGAGGCCAAGGCGGGTGGATCACAAGGCCAGGAGTTTGAGACCAGCCTGGCCAAGACAGTGAAACCCCGTCTCTACTACAAATACAAAAAAAATTACCCGGGCGTGGTGGTGGGCGCCTGTAATCCCAGCTACTCAGGAGGCTGAGACAAAGAATTGCTTAAACCTGGGAGGTGGAGGTTGCAGTGAGCAGAGATCGTGCCACTGCACTCCAGCCCAGGCAAAGGCAGGTTTTTTTGAGATGGAGTCTTGCTCTGTCGTCCAGGCTGGAGTACAGTGGTGTGATCTCAGCTCACTGCAGCCTCTGCCTCCTGGGTTCATGCAATTCTCCTGCCTCAGCCTCCCGAGTAGCTTGGATTACAGGCGCATGCCACCAGGCCCAGCTAATTTTTGTATTTTTAGTAGAGACGGGGTTTCACCATGTTGGCCAGGCTGGCTCGAACTCCTGACCTAAAGTAATCCACCTGCCTTGGCCTCCGAAAAGTTCTGGGATTACAGGCATGAGTCACCATGCCCAGCCTACAATATAGAAATCTTTAATATAATTACTCAAATAGGCCAGAGGCAGGAGAGGGGCAGTTATCACTTCAAGAATGCTGAGAAAGCATTTGTTAAAATTCAATATCCATTCCTAATGGATGAAATACTACAAAACAGAAATGAATGGACTAAAACAATATAAAATAGGAATGGATGGATACTTCCATAACAATACAAAAAACACATATATTTCAGCCAAATGCTAGTATCTCTTTATTTTTTTATTTTTATTTATTTATTTATTTTTATTTATTTATTTATTTTTTGAGACGGAGTCTCGCTCTGTCACCCAGGCTTGAGTGCAGTGGCGTGATCTCAGCTCACTGCAACCTCCGCCTCCCGAGCTCAAGTGATTTCTCCTGCCTCAGCCTCCCAAGTAGCTGGGATTACCAGTGCCCGCCACCATGCCCAGCTAATTTTTGTATTTTTAGTAGAGACGGGGTTTCACCAGCTAGCATCTTTTTAATGGTGACACATAGGAAGCATTTCAAGAGATGTTGGGAATAAGATAAGGATGCCTACTGTCACCACTATGACTTACAAAATACACAAAAATCAGTAGCTCTTCTAGCTATATGTATAATAGCAGCCAGTTAGAACATATAATTGAAGATCCCTTTTACCATGGTTAAAAAAAAAAGTGCTATCTAAGAATACATAGCAAGAAATATGTAGAGCGTATATGAAGAAAACTTTTAAACTACCAAAGAGTATAACAGAAGACTTAAATAAATGAGTCTCTTCTTGGATAGGAGGACCTCTCAGTATTGTAAAGGTGACAGTTTTCTCTAAACTCTAAGTTTAATTTGCTCAACATAAAAAGAGCAACATGATTTTTTTCTGGAACTTGACATGCTGATTTAAAAGTTTAAGGCAAGAAAATTCTGAAAGTTAGGGAGATGACAACCATACCACATCTTAAAATACATTAAAATAAATGTTAATAGTTTGGTCCCATTACTATATGACAAGAATGGCAGAATAATGGAATACAATAAAAGCCCAGAAATAGAACTAACTAAAAATGAAAATTTACCATATGACAAAGGCATTGTGTCAAAACTGTGGTGAAAGATGGACTGTTTGGTAAATGATTCTGGGATAAATGGCTAGCTTTCTGGGGAGAAATATTATATCCCTACCTATAAGTGCACATCTGTAAGTATATGCTGTGCACATATAGAGTGTCTGAAAGAATGCATATGAACTTTTTACTTGTTCCACAGACTAAGACAATTGAGGATCAGAAATGTAAGATTTACTTTTTATTTACATATTCATTTTTTTTAAACCATGTATAATTAGTAACCCTTTCAATGAACAAACTTGTTAACATTTTTGATTTAGTTGGCAGGCAGTTGGAGTTTGACCTTTTGAAGCATTAACTTGACTGACTTTTCTGTGTTTCTCCCCAGTGACCTGTGCATGGATTGTGCCTTGCAGCTGGAGACCTGCCCATTGTGTCGTAAAGAAATAGTATCTAGAATCAGACAGATTTCTCATATTTCATGACACATGTGAAGAGGCATCGTGGACTTTTTTCTACTCAATTCCAGCCAATGTTGAAAAGAAAAAGAAAAAAAAAACTCTCTAATCAGTTGTACACACATTGAAACTTATAGCCATGGCCAGATTTTATGCTAAAAATGGTAGTTTGTCAAAGACAAAATTCTCTTAGAATCTAATCCAACTTGCCAGCCCTGAGAAAATCCCTTTTAAGGCCAAGGAAAGCTGAATGCTAGCAGCCAGGCCTGTGGTACTTCCATGAGAAACCATAGCAGACAATGCCCTCCCAAGTACTGAAATCACACTGGAATCCCCCTTGTTGGGTTCATTTGATTGTTTAACACAGGATGTGTTGTGTCATTCTGAAGTTTTTATTTGGGGCAGAAGTCTTTATGGAGATGTAAATGACAGCGTTTCTGGGTTATGCATAACTTCTCACTGGTCAGAGACACCGGTGTGTCAAGCATGGATATTGCATTGCAAGACTTGAATCTATAAAAATTAGAATCACACAGTCAGTACTACAAGCAAAACAGAGAACCTGAAAGAAGGTGCACAGACTGTAAGAAAAAACCCAAGTTTGTGATATTTCAGTGATTCCAAAGAACATTCTAGGTTTTTTGTTTGTTTTTTTGTTTTTTGGGTTTTTTTTTTTTACTGCAGAAAATTGGTGGTATTTTCACATTCATAGTGTTTCTATCCAATTTCAGTACCCACATTTAATGAGGAAAAAATGTTTTACCAATGAAGGAGGAATTCTTAAATTAGCTGTAATGTTAGGTTGGAGAAAATTTGGTATTTAGGGTATTTTCAAGGTACCATCAAATCAGATTTCTGTTTTTTTGTTAAAAAAAATTTTTTTAATCAGTATTGTTTTTACAAGTAATATACTTTGAAACTCTTGAACTAATAGTCTCAAAAACTCTAGAGGACAGTCTGAGAACACGTATTTCTATTGTTCTAAATAAATACATGTTTTTGAATAGTTCAATCATGAATTATTGACTATGTCTTCATCAAAAGTGTTAATCCCTCTCAGGGTCTCTGGTGAAGACCTTCAAGAGTTTGGTTTTTTCTCCCAGGAAATTGGAAGGTAGAATTGTAAATTCATAGAACTTCTTTTATAATGGTGTACCTCAGCAGCTGCCTTTCAATTTATGCCAAGTCCTTACAGAGTTTATACTTGAATAGTAAATATGTCTTCTGAGTTTTACAGTGTCTTAAACTCAATGCACATTTTTTTTTCTTCTTTTTCCACCCCTTCTTGTTTGTAGTTCATTATACCTGTCC
The DNA here is from genome assembly GCF_000001405.40 of Homo sapiens. NCBI lineage: Eukaryota > Metazoa > Chordata > Mammalia > Primates > Hominidae > Homo > Homo sapiens. The sequence goes on from NC_000016.10 coordinate 57,240,260, forward strand.
TATTACAGAACTGATTTCCTTCCTGGCTGTACATGTTGGGGTGCTGGATTTTTTTCCGTGTCTTTAGTCTTCCATAAATCCACACACACACACACACACAAAAAATATATATATATATAAATATATATGTAGGATACATGTTCTCTTCTTTAGCTTGTGGTGAATACAGTAATTTGCATTGAAGAATAAAACATCTGTTGCCTTTTTTGACTAAGATTTCACAACTTTCATTGGTGTATACTGCTAAGGTTCCAAGACATTATACTCTCAGACTTTAAGGGCTACTTTTGGGAGTAGGAGAGAATCAAGTATTAGAATTAAGAATAAGGCCACTTACTCATCCAGCAGATTGTTATTGAGCACCTAATATGTGCTGGGCACTGTGCCTATGTGGCATACAAAATATGCTTGTAGAGCTTATGTCTAATAAGCTTGTCTAATTATTGTCTATTATTATGTCTAACAGTAATTTGGAAGTGGTCCAGCTGAGACTAAAGGTAGTCTGTACATTTAGTAGAGAGAGGGAAAAATAGATGGAATTAATAGATAATTTGCGAGGCAAAGGAATGCAGGAGCCTAACAGCTTTCTAAAAATCTACCCTTGAAGTTTGTTCCTAAGGTGGGGAGAAGACAATATATTTGTGTTTATTGTAACAGATTTTTAGTGGAAAAGAATAGGGTCCTAGAGAGAATGAGGGGGACCTAATTTAGATGGTGGTGGGAGTGTCAGAAGAAACCTCACTGGGGAAGTAACATTAGTGAAACTTAAAGGAGGAAGTAGGACATAGCCTGGCAGAGACTGAGGACTAGCTTCTAGGACTGGGTAGCTAGGCGAACACAACATTTTAGGCAAAGGCACTAACTGAGGAAGAATGGGTCTCAGTGGGTTTGGGGATCCGATGGAAGGCCCCTGTAACTGGAAAAATAGGAAGCAAGTAGGTAGAATAGGTAATGCTACAGTGTTGGAGAGGCCAGGGAACTGCTCATGAAGGCTATGTGAAGGATTTTCTGTTTTATACTAAGTGCAGTAGAAGGCAAAGGTGTTTAAGCATGGAAGTGCCTTGATAATTCTAACAGATGGCTCTGGCTTCTATTTGGAGAATGGAATGGAGGAGTGGGGTGGGCTGGGGGTAAAGGACAAGCAAAAAAATGGAAATAGACCAGTAAAGAAATGTGTGGTCCAGCTGAAACTAAAGGTAGTCTGTACATTTAGTGGAGAGAAGGAAAAATAGATGGAATTAATAATTTGCCAGGCAAAGGAATGCAGGAGTGTAACAGCTTTCTAAAAATCTACCCTTGAACTTTGTTCCTAGGGTGGTTTACGTTTCCTGTTCTTAAGTTCTAGATCATAAAACAAAAGGGCTTCAATATTAAATTGATCAAATCATCCAGGATGGAAGCTAAATTGTAAACTTGGAGCCACCTCAAAGGGAAAGACAGGAACTCCCTATCAAAGAAAAAACTAGGGGTTAGCAAGCTATGTGGAAGCGTAAAGTCGTACATCCATATTCTGAACTGAATGTAAGCATTTAAGAGAAATTAAAAGCTAGACTTTTACTACTGATAAATTGTTACCAGGGAGAAAAACAAAAAATTATGGTATTTTGTCAGGTGATTCACTGGGGAAATCCAGCATTTCAGCCAAAAAAGTTTTTTAATGAATTTGCCCCTTTTTAAAATAACATAGAGCAGAAGAAAGTCATGGTGCCATTTGCAGAGTGCCAGGAAACTGATTCAGTCACAAAACTGACACAATTTCACTGGCAGAAAATGACTTTTGCACAAGTTTCAACCATCTTGAATGTGTATCCATGAAAACAAACCATCCACCTAAGATCAGCTCTTTCCAATATTGCCCATCATTTACCTTTTGCTATTTATTCACTCAGAAGAATTCCTAGTGCCAACCCCCAATCAAAGGATTTTAAAAATGAGTATTAATGGAAAAACATTTAGTGTATTCAAGTCAATTTTTAGTTTTGCTACAAGTGGAAAAAGGCCATTCTGTATTCAGGAGAAAACGTTCTGATTTCCAAGAATATGGTTTAACAACCCAGGGATTAGGGGCTATATAGCATGATGGTTGAAATAGGCCCTTTGGAGTGGGACTGGACCCAGGTCCCACTAATGCTTGGTTTCCCAGTCTGTAAAATGGAGATACTACCCACCTCATACCGGTTTTTTGTTTTTGTAAGGTCTCAAATATTTCAAAAGGAGACAATGTATTTATAAATGTTTAGCACACTATCTGATACATCCTTGAGTGGGTACTTTTTATCTTTATCCCCATTTGTTCCTAGAGTCAGTAAGGTTGGTGAAATGGATTAAAAGATGGCCACAAATTATTTGACATCCCTCCCGTCAAGAAATGAGGTTTATGTCTACTTTCCTTAAATTTGGGTGGCTCTGGGTCTGCTTGATCAGTGGAACACAGTGGAAGGGCTATTGTGCCAGTTTCCAGTACCAGGTCTTTAAGTGACTGCCAGCTTACATTTCAGTGTCTTGAAACACTTGCTCTTGGACCCAGCACCATGGTGTGAGAAAACCCAAGAATCCCCTGAATCCTATAGATGGAGAGGAACTGAAACCCCCCAAACCCCGGCCCCAGTTCTCTGGCCAATGTCCACAACTGAGAGCCAAGAGCCAACACTAATTTGCCAGCCATGTGAGTAAACTCCTTGGAGGAAGCTCCTCTAGTCCATTCCAGCTGCCCCCAGCCGACACCAACTGGAATAGAGACTAGCTGGCCCTGCCCAAATTACAGATTAGTGAGCAAAATGGTGGTTTTAAGCCACTAAATTTTCAGGTGGTTTGTAACAGCAATAGATAACCAGAACAGATTAAATCAAGGTGTGTTCCTCCTCCACTCCATCAATGACTTAGGAAGGGTAGGCAAATTCATTTTGTCCAGAAATGTGTGGTATATAGAGAAAGTAGGTCATGAAGAAACTCTCTGAGTTTGCTGTAAGCTGTGTGACCAGGGCTTGACTAAACAACTCAGTCCAGTAATTCAGCAAATCTTTTTAAATGCCTATCTTCCACTTGGTGCTAAACAGAGTAACTCATAATTGATGTCACCTGACCGGGTGCGGTGGCTCACGCCTGTAATCCCAACACTTTGGGAGGCCGAGGCGGGCAGACCACCAGAGGTCAGGAGTTCGAGACCACGCTGGCCAACATGGTGAAGCCCTGTCTCTACTAAAAATACAAAAATTAGCCGGGTGTGGTGGCACGCGCCTGTAATCCCAGCTACTTAGGAGGCTGAGGCAGGAGAATCCCTTAAACCCGGGAGGCAGAGATTGCAGTGAGCCGAGATTGCGCCACTGCACTCCAGCCTGGGCAACAGAGCAAGACTCCCTCTCAAAAAATAAATAGGCCGAGCGCAGTGGCTCACGCCTGTAATCCCAGCACTTTGGGAGGCCAAGGCGGGCGGATCACCTGAGGTCGGGAGTTCAAGACCAGCCTGACCAACATAGAGAAACCCCATCTCTACTAAAAACACAAAAAAATTAGGCATGGTGGCGCATGACTGTAATCCTAGCTACGCGGGAGGCTGAGGCAGGAGAATCGCTTGAAACCGGTAGGCGGAGGTTGTGTTGAGCCGAGATTGCACCATTGCACTCTAGCCCGGGCAGTAAGAGCGAAACTCCATCTCAATAAATAAATAAATTAGTAATAATTTATGTCACCTTGGTCACAGCTGTCACACCCGACTGTGTCTTTGTAACCATCTTTGTTTCAGATCCCACGGATATCTATTTTAAGTCCATTCAAAGATGTCTGCTAGGCCGGTTGTGGTGGCTCACACCTGTAATCCTAGCCCTTTTGGAGGCCAAGGTAGGTGGATCATCTGAGGTCAGGAGTTCGAGACCAGCCTGGCCAACATGGTGAAACCCTGTCTCTACTAAAAATTCAAAAATAGCCGGGCATAGTGGCACGTACTTGTAATCCTAGCTACTCGGGAGGCTGAGGCACGAGAATCGCTTGAACCTGGGAGGCGGAAGTTGTAGCCAGCCGAGATCGTGCCACTGCCCTCCAGCCTGGGCGACAGAGCAAGACTCCGTCTCAAAAAAATAAAAAATGTCTGCTAACCCATTCTGACTGGCCACCTGACCCTCAGTTCATACCTTAAACCCCTCTAGTTCCTCTAGTCATATACCACACTTTGGCCATAAGGTATCATGCAACTAAAGAGACACAATGCTTAGTTGTCCAATCAAGAGAAATCAGCTCAAACGAATCCTTTTTCAAAGTTTGGCAGTTTTGAAGAGGCCTTTTCCTGAAAGGTATCTGATTCCTGATTGCGTGGCTCAAAATAGTTCTTCAATTCTCATCTTGTATAATTAGTCAAGAAACCAATTACTGCCGAGTAATCTTTATGATGCGAAGATTATAACGTAAATTACAGGACATCGACTTCTTGCGATGGGGCTTTCCTTCCACGAGGGGTAGGAACTGTCTTGAAATCAGACGTCAGCATCACCTGGTTCAAGGGATAAGGGACTGGCTCTCCAGCGACTTGGCAACTTACAAGCGCTCTTTAAACACGCCTTAAACTACTTATTTAATCCTCCACACTCAGGGAGGCGCAATTTATTCTCGAGTTGCGAGTGAGGAAATTCTGGCTCGTGGCTTCGATTCCTTCATCCGTACAATGGGGGCGACTTGAGACGGAGTTCCCACACAACGGGTGCTCGCCGAAGCGCCGCATCCCTCCGCACTCCCTTCCGGGACTTCCTCTCCCTGTCTTGCCCCGCCCCGGCATCGGTAACGCTCGCCTGTGATTGGATGCCGGCCGGCCGTGAGGCGGTGGAAGGGGTTGCGGTGGCCATGGTGACAGGAGGCGGGGCGCCGCGCCCCTCCGGCAGTCACCGAGGCCCGGACCTGCGGCGTCGGCGGCGCGCGCAGAGGGCCAGGCGGGCGTAGAGGCCGGACCGACGCGTGGCGGCAGAGGGTATCCAAGGCCGGACCTGGCGCGCAGGCGCTGACCCGACCTGGCAGTGAGCTGGCCGCGGCCTTGGCTGAGAGGCCTTAACCCCGCCGGGCGGCCGCGCCCTGCATGCGAGTTGGGCCGCGGGCGGGGTTGGAGCCTACTCGGGGCGACTGCGATGGACGCCTTAGAAGGAGAGAGCTTTGCGCTGTCTTTGTGAGTAGCTCCTCCAGGGCGCAGGCGACTTGGGGCCGGAGGCAGCGGGCGTTCGCCCCGGGGCCTGACCCTATAAAACAGGTGTCCTTAGGGGCCGGGCCGGGCCGGGCCGGGCAGGGTGGGGGCCGCCAAGGCGCCGTCCCAGCTCCAGGCCTTCCTTTTGTAGAGTACTAAGGCTGCAGGTTTCAGGCCCCGCAGGACAGGAGTGCGAGGCGGGTGTCACCGTTGATCAGCGCCTCCATCACAATCCCCAGCCGCCAACCCTCAGCTGTCAGCAAAGCCTGGAGGGGTTGAGCGCCCGAGGCCCCTCCACCCCTCCCTGGCCCCCGCCTCCCGGACTCCTGACCAAATGACCCCCCCCGGCAGGTGTTTCGCCCGTGCCGGGTTCATGCTCACAAGCAGACAGGTATGGGGTGATAGCTAAGAGCCTGGAGAACAAGTTTTTATTAAAGTGGAGTCATGACATTGAACGTTCATGTCACAAACGTGCCGAGTGTGTTTTCTTCTGTTTGGACTTACTAGATCAGTCAGTCATTCTTAATCGTTGAAGATGGGTGATGGGAAGTTCGTTTTGCTACTCTTTTTTCTCTTGTGCATGTTTGAAAACGTCCATACTAAAAACATTTTTTTAATGCATTATTTGAAATAGCACCTAATCCAGGCATGTTTTTCAGCTCCTCCGCCTCTGATGCAGAATTTGATGCTGTGGTTGGATATTTAGAGGACATTATCATGGGTAAGCTTTTAAGATACTGTTTTTAAGGACTTGCTTGTTTCTTTAAGGACATTGAAATCAATTTGGAGAGTTAATTTTAAAAAGAGAAAACATCAAGCTGCCTGCAATTTTTAATGTAGCACAATGTAATACTTAAGTAAAGGCTTACTGCAGTTTGTCTTAGAAACAAACAGCCCAGTACTCCTGAAAACATCTAATAAGCATAGATTCAGAGGCTGGAAGGGACTGACTCAGGCTAATAGGGCACCAGCAGTGTGGCGTTCTTCGCAAAACTATAGGAAATAATGATCTACTCTATTTCTTATGTAGGGTAAGAGCAATTTCAATTTTAGATAGTTTTGAGTTTTAACATTTTCATGCCATAAAACACATAAAACCAGGCCAGGTGCGGTGGCTAACGCCTGTAATCCCAGCACTTTGGGAGGCCGAGGTGGGCGGATCACGAGGTCAGGAGATCAAGACCATCCTGGCTAACACGGTGAAACCCTGTCTCTACTAAAAATACAAAAAAAATTAGCCGGGCGTGGTAGCGGGCGCCTGTAGTCCCAGCTACTCAGGAGGCTGAGGCAGGAAAATGGCGTGAACCTGGGAGGTGGAGCTTGCAGTGATCCGAGATCGTGCCACTTCACTCCAGCCTGGGCGACAGAGCGAGACTCCGTCTGGAAAAAATAAAAATGAAAATAAACACATAAAACCATAACCATAAGCACACATGGCCATAAAGAAAACAAGGTATTAAGCTTCAGCTGGTTCTGTATTTTCCTAGGTTTTGAGTTCCTACTTGTGGATGTATTTGGGCATCCATGAAACCTGCTAAGTAACAGAGAAGCAGTAACAGTCCCCAGAGGTTTAAGACAAGTATGTAGGAGGGGAAAACTTACATTTGAGAAAATTCTGTTGACTTTAAGTTTTATGAGAATTGAGAAAAGAACACTGTTATTTGGTGTTATTGGCTGTATGGCTTAATCCATTTAGAATGAAAATTACTGACCAAGTTTTTATACCTTCAGGTATAAAGGTTCATGCCCTTAACTCCTGAATATAGATGTTTCATCATTAAGCTCGTTTCCCATGTGGACTTGGGGATTTCTGGGGAATACTGAAGAATCCATTCAGTTCTCTTGCCTATTATACCCTATATGCTATGGGAAAATGAGCCTTCTGTGAGCCTACGGTATTTATCCCAAAGTCTGGGTCCTTTCTGAAACTTTCCTTTTATTTTTAGAAATAATCTATTCAGTTGTTAAAATTCCTTATTCCGGGATGGGTACGGTGGCTCACACCTATAACCCCAACACTTTGGGAGGCCAGCGCAGGTGGATTGCTTGAGTCTAGGAGTTCGAGACCAGCCTAGGCACCATAGGGAGAACCCTGTCTCAATTAAAAAAAAAAAATTCCCTATTCCCTATCATTTATTAAGTGTTCACTATGAACTAATCTATTTACATGAATTCTCATCTAAATTCCACTTCCAATCCTATATGATAACTACCATAAACCATTCTTATTTTCCAGATAAATGTGTTTATATGGGGGTTAGAGAAATTAAGTAACTTACCCAAGGTCACACAATTAGTAAGTAGCTGAGATGCGATTCGAACCCAGACGGGCTAGCCTCTTTCAGACCCCATAATTTTAATCACTACACTGTTTCCACAACTGCTGTGGAAGTTATATCAAAATAAGAGAGAACCAATTCATTCCTTTTCAGAAAAGTAATGTCAGGGAGTTCCCAAGCCACCCTGTGTGGATATGGTTAAAATGGACTGAAGGATGGTGGTGATCATTGCACAACAATGTAAACATACTTAAAGCCACTGAGCTGTGTGCTTAAACATTAAAATGATAAAAAAAAATTGTATATCTCACCACAATTTAAAAAGAAAACAGGGCTGGGTGCGGTGGCTCACACCTGTAATCCCAGCACTTTGGGAGGCGGAGGCAGGCAGATCACCTGAGGTCGGGAGTTCGAGATCAGCCTAGCCAACATGATGAAACCCTGTCTCTACTAAAAATACAAAATTAGGCTGGCGAGGTGGCACACACCTGTAATCCCAGCTACTCAGGAGGCTAAGGCAGTAGAATCTTTTGAACCCTGGAGGTGGAGGTTGCAGTGAACCGAGATCGCACCATTGCACTCCAGCCTGGGCAACAAGAGAAACTCCAGCTCAAAAAAAAAAAAAAAAAAAAAAAAAGAAAGAAAGAAAAAGAAAACAGGAGGATTGGGCTATTTCCACATCAGGGTCCCATTTAATACCCCCTTAAAACATCAGCTTTCCTTCCAGAGACTGATCATTGAGAAAGCAGTACTGCTGACATAGATCCTGCCTACTTATAAATCATAATGGTTGGTAATCTCCATTAAAAAGAATAAATTTTCCCCACTGTGGTTCAGATGACGAGTTCCAGTTATTACAGAGAAATTTCATGGACAAGTACTACCTGGAGTTTGAAGACACAGAAGAGAATAAACTCATCTACACACCTATTTTTAATGAATACGTAAGTAGATTTCTATGTCTCCTACCAGGAGGTCAGAGTTTTTAAAAATTTAAATTTAGATTCAAAAGACATTGAAATTTGCTGCCTTTTAAAATATGCCACCAGTACACTTCCAGGAATCCTCATTAGCATCTGGTTTAAGTTCATTTTCCTCTGCACAGCCTTTGGGGCTATTTTCCAAAAGGCTTTCAGGCAAATATTTGATTAACTCATCAGCTTCTTATTTAAAAGAAGTTTGACCTGGGCTTGGTAGCACACCTGTAGTGCCAGCTATTTGGGAGGTTGAGGTGGAAGAATCACTTGAGCTTAGGAGTTTGAGACCAGCCTGGGCAACACAGCAAGATCTCTGTCTCTAAAAAAAAAATGATAATAATAAAGATAATAAATAAAAGACGTTTGGCTTATCATAATCCTGCTTTTAATCACAGTACATGAGTTCTTCATACCTTGCATTTGCATGCTTTTGACAAACCTTTCTGCTTTCACATACTCTTTCTTTCTTCTATATAATCCAGTCATATATGCATGACTATTAAGTAAAAGTGAAAACTGAGACCAAGATCACTAACTATTTGGTGGAAAAACCAAGACTGGAACCCAGGAACCTCAGCTCGTCACCCTTGGGTCTCTACACTTTACCCTGAGGCCTCTTAACAGCCCCCTGGGATTCTGTCATCTAAGAATCCATTTTGGCCTCCAGGACTTTATTTTCTTAACACAGAAGCATGGCATAAACAAACCTGCCCAGAAGGAACCTGTGACTGCCTCCATGTCCGTATGTTCTGTTACACAGATGCCCTCTACCCAGGAGGCAAAGCCCCCACTTACTGCATCCTGCACTGGGTTGTGGGTGTGGGTACCGTGCTACTCACTGTCTCCACCTGTGTCAGAGCATCCACCCTGTTACAGCACCATTATCAGCTAAGGCTTCTCTTCCACACCAGGCTGAGTACTTCTCCAGGACAGGAGCTGTGTTTTGGTCCTCTTTGGTATCCTTGGCACTCAGTGTAGATTGTGGCACACAGACCTCAGGAAATGTTTAGAAAGGGCTGGGCAGGCTTTCTGAAAAGAAGTCTTGTTTTCCCAAAGTATGGTCTCACCAAAATCCTTTCCACTGTTGCAGATTTCTTTGGTAGAAAAATACATTGAAGAACAGCTGCTGCAGCGGATTCCTGAGTTCAACATGGCAGCCTTCACCACAACATTACAGTGAGTTGAGCTTGACTGATTTTTGTGTTTTGTTTTGTTTTCTCACTTTCTTCCTTCCCTAGGCTGACCAAAAGACGCTCCTTGTTTGTTTTCCTGTGCATGCCGTTGGTGGTTAGGTCCTATGGAGGAAGCCCTCAAACCTTTTAATGAAATCTTGAAAAGATCAGGCATTGGCTCACGCTTGTGTTCTCAGTGCTTTGGGAGGCCAAGGGAGGAGGATCACTTGAGCCCAGGAGTTCAAGACCAGCCTGGGTGACATAGTGAGGCCCCGACCCTACAAAAAATAAATTAGTCAGGTGTGGTGTTGCATACCTGTGGGCCTAGCTACTCAGGAGGCTGAGGCTGGAGAATCCCTTGAGCCCAGCAGTTCAAGGCTACAGTGAGCTATAATTGCACCCCTGCACTCCTGCCTGGGTGACAGAGCAAGACCCAGTCTCTAAAAAAACAAAACAAAAATAATGCGGGGGGTGGGGCTGGGGTGGTGGAAAGAAAAACGAAAGCAATCTTGAGGACTGTCTCATCATTCATTCACGAAACAGCCATCTGTTCCGTTTGCAGGCACCATAAGGATGAAGTGGCTGGTGACATATTCGACATGCTGCTCACCTTCACAGATTTTCTGGCTTTTAAAGAAATGTTTTTGGACTACAGAGCAGTAAGTTACTACTCCTATTTATTTAGCCACTTTGAGCCACTTAGAAAATTCCAGGTAGAAATACCGAACATGAACCTCCCACGCTTCCCCCATCATTCTCCCTTCAAACTGGCCGATGAGGCATCAGAAGAGTGAGCTGCTATTCTGTTGTGGCTGGGACCTTCTCATGTTTTCATGAAACAAGCCCAGGTACCAACTTAGAGTTCCTAATCAGAAGGACAAAACCGAAAAAGCAGGTCTCAGGTCTCATTCTGCCTTGCCTTTCTTTTATTTATTTTTTTTTTTGAGACAGAGTTTTGCTCTTGTCACCCAGGCTGGAGTGCAGTGGCACCATCTTGGCTCACTGGAACCTCTGCCTTCCAGGTTCAAGCAATACTCCTGCCTCAGCCTCCCGAGTAGCTGATACTACAGGCACCTGCCACCACGCCCAGCTAATTCTTGTATTTTTAGTAGAGACAGGGTTTCACCATGTTGGCCAGGCTGGTCTCAAACTCCTGAAGCATGGTCCGCCTCGGCCTCCCAAAGTGTTGGGATTACAGGCGTGAGCCACCGCACCTGGCCCTGCCTTGCTTTTCATATAATGCAAGCTCTTTATAAGAAAAATAGGAGACTGGGCATGGTAACTCACACCTATAATCCCAGCACTTTGGGAGGCCGAGGCAGGCAGATGGCTTGAGCTCAGGAGTTTGAGACCAGCCAAGGCAACATGGCAAAACCCTGTCTCTATGAAAAATACAAAAATTAGCTTGGTGTGCTGGTGTGCATCTGTAGTCCCAGTCAGCTACTTTGGGGGCTGGGTGGGAGGACCGCTTGAGCCCAGAAGGTTGAGATTGCTGTGAGCTGTGATTGTACTGCTACAGTCCAGCCTGGGTGACAGAGTCAGACCCTGTGTCAAAAAAAAAAAAAGAAAAGAAAAAGAAATGGTGTTGGGTGTGGTTGTGCATGCCTGTAGTCCCAGCTACTTCGAAGGCTGAGGCAGGAGAATCACTTGAGCCTAGGAGTTTGGGGCTGTATTACACAGCAGTGGTGCCTGTGAATAGCCACTGCACTCCAGCCTGGGCAACATAGCAAGACCCCTATCTCAAAAAAAAAAAAAAAGAAAGAAAGAAAAATGTTTTCCAGTGAAGGGAGGTACATTTTAAGAGTGCATTTTAAGAATGACCAGGGCCAGGCTGGACACAGTGGCTCATACTTACAATTCCAGCGCTTTGGGAGGCCAAGGCAGGAGAATCACTTGAGCCCAGGAGTTCAAGACCAGCCTAAGTGACATATCAAGACCCTGTCTCTACAAAAATAAAAATAAAAAAGTTAGTCAGCTGTAGTGGTGCACACCTGTAGTCCTAGCTACTCAGGAGGCTGAGGCAGGAGGACCACTTGAGCCCAGGAATTCCAGGCAGCAGTTAGCTGTGATCAAGCCACTATACTCCAGCCTGGGTGACAGAGCAAGACCCTACCTCTTTAAAAATAATATTAAAAAAAATTAAGACTAGGGCAGGCCAGTATTGAGCAGAAATGCAGAATAACCAATAACCTGTGTTCCCTTCCTATGTACTCTGGAGGTCCACGTTCCCACCTTCAGCTCTGCCTTCCCCATGTCAGAGGCAAGATTCCAAGCCAGGGCTCTTTCTAGTCCTTCCTTTGGTTGTTTTCTCATATAGGAAAAAGAAGGCCGAGGACTGGACTTAAGCAGTGGCTTAGTGGTGACTTCATTGTGCAAATCATCTTCTCTGCCAGCTTCCCAGAACAATCTGCGGCACTAGGTCCTACCTCCAGCCAATGAATGGGATCATTCTGGATGTCACCAGCCCAATAGGCTCAGCTCATGATGACAGAACACATCTTGGAAAGACTGACTCTGTTATGTAACTCTTCATTTATGTTAAGTATTAATAGGTCAAAACCAAAATGACCTAACCCTCCTGGACCTATTTATCCTGAAACACCTTCTTGTATTCATTAACCATAGTACTCCTCCCCACCTCAAGTAGACACCTCTCTCAGGAGCTTCTGAGTCAGACGCCTCTGGAGCGAGCCCTATGTCAGGCACTCCACCTGGGGGGCCCTTCCCCAGCATACCTGCTGGTGTGTAAGTGTGGACTAACCCGCCGCCACCACCCTCTGTTCCAGCAGGCTCTGCATGAATCTTTGTGCACTTGCACCTCTTTTTCACATGGGCCACAGTTTCAGTACTTCAGCCTCAGTGGGGTTCCTGATGTTTATCTAGGGTGTTACTCAAGCCCAGTTTGAGATTTTGGAGTCTCCTGTGATCACATCTTGTCTCGGCTGTAGGAATCAACAGAAGGAGACGTCCTCTACATAAAAGCTCCATGTGAAAAGCTACTCCTAGTCTTAACATTTGCAGTCCTTGTGTCACTGTCTTCTGGTCCTGATGTAGTCCCACTGTTTCTAGAAGTCTCTTTTAAGCATTATTTTTGAAAAAAAAAATATTTTTATAGATGAATACTCAGGCTAACCTAGTGGATGTGATCTTGGAACTTCCATGATTATCCACTTAAAGATCAAAGTATTATATGCTGTGTGCTTTTTAGGTGTTTGTTAGTACTGTGAAGGCAAAAATGCTTTCTACATTGACATTCATTCCTATTTTACTGGGCACCTATGAATGTATGCTGTGTGCTAGAAATAGACTAAAACATATTCCTATAGCATGTTAGTGTGTTTGCATGTTTGCTGAAAATCCTTTGTGTATAAACCAGTTTGTAAGGTTCTCTGGGTTAGGTAGGGACTCTGCAGTTTCTTCCTGTCAAAATCTCTCCTACCAAGATGGTGTTCCACTGTCCAGCCCAGCATGAGTAGCAGGTAGAGCACAGCTTTACTGGCTGTTTGTATGCTTTGGTTTAGTGCAATGTGTGGTAGATTACTTATCAGAAAACATATATGTCATCTCTAGAACGAAGAAAAAGCATAGTAGTTCAATTCCCAGTGTGTCCCTTTGATTTTTTTTTTTTAATAGTAAAAATAAGAATCTGTACTGACTTTTCACTTGGCCATTCTGGTTTTAAAGGACAAGCTACAAGCTCTGTGTTTCTGTACTGATGTGTCACTTATTAAATACTTTTGTACCATGAGTAAAACTTCAGGTGTTTCGCAAGAACCACCATTCTCAATGAGTTGTATTCTTTCTTTAATGTAGCCACTGCCATAAGGTTATTAATTATTGCTTTGGTCTTTTTTTTTTTTTTTTAAATGCCACCTCTCCTGGGCTTGCTTTCCCTTGCTTTGTCTATAAATGGGAGGTCCACCACAGCCCAGGCATGCTGGGAGCACTTGCTAAGACCTGTGGACCAGCCTGCCTACTTGAGAAAAGGCCAGTGGACAAGTCCAGAGATTAAATGATGAAAAAACGATGATAAAGGCAAATTGGTTTTTCACCCTTTTTTTTTTCTTTTTTTTTTGGGAATGGAGTTTTGCTTTTGTTGCCCAGGCTGGAGTGCAATGGCACGATCTCGGCACACTGCAACCTCCACCTCCCGAGTTCCAGTGATTCTGCTGCCTCAGCCTCCCAAGCAGCCGGGATTATAGGTGTCCACAAACACGCCCAGCTAATTTTTGTATTTTTAGTAGAGACAGGGTTTCACCATGTTGGTCAGGCTGGTCTTGAACTCCTGACTTCAGGTGATCACCCACCTCCCAAAGTGCTGGGATCACAGGTGTGAGCCACCATGCCTGGCTGGTTTTTTCACCCTTTCTGCTCAGCAAAAAGGAGGCAAGTCTGTTGTCACTTAATATTATAAGTAGACATTCTGATTTCTTTTAAAATAAACTAGCAGCCTGTCTCTCCATCCTCAGACACTTAGACTGTGATGTCAGGTGCCACCTTTGATGGGGCTCCCACCTGCCCTGGGGTGAGGAAGCCCCAGTCCTCTTGCTTAGGACTCCTCCCCAGTGGGAAGCAGTAGTCACACAAACTGCTGAGCCTTAGCATTGACTGAATGCCTTTAATGTCCCCCCTGAAACAGGCTTTTGATTCATGTTGGAAACATAAGAGGGGTGAGCTCTCTAACTTGCCTGGGATTTTGTTTTACATTTAAGTGTATTGCCCTTCCTTAAAACCAAACTCTTATAACTTACTCCTGGAAGGACTAATTTATTATTCAAACTCCGAGACTTTAGAGTAAAAAGTGATGCTATTAATATTTATACCAGGGCCAAGTGTGGTGGTTCATGCCGATAATCTCAGCGCTTTGGGAGGCTGAGATGGGAGGATCACTTGAAGCTGGGAGTTTAAGACCAGCCTAAGCAATATAGCGAGACCCAATGTCTACAAAAAATTTAAAAATCAGCCGGGCACAGTGGCTCACGCTGGTAATCCCAGCACTTTGGGAGGCCGAGACGGGCGGATCACGAGGTCAGGAGATCGAGACCATCCTGGCTAACACGGTGAAACCCCGTCTCTACTAAAAATACAAAACATTAGCCAGGCATGGTGGCACGCACCTGTAGTCCGTTACTCGGGAGGCTGAGGCAGGAGAATCGCTTGAATCTGGGAGGCAGAGGTTGCAGTGAGCCGAGATCACGCCACTGCAGTCCAGCCTGGGTGACAAAGTGAGACTCCATCTCAAAAAAAAAAAAAAACAAAAATTAGCTGGGCATGGTGGCCTGCACTTGTAGTCCAAGCTACTGAGGAAGCTGAGGTGGGAGGATTGCTTGAGCCTGGGCAGTCAAGGCTGCAGTGAGCTGTAGTTGTGGCACTGTACTCCAACCTGGGCAAGAGAGCAAGACCCTGTCTCTTAAAAAAAAAAAAAATCGGCCAGGTGTGGTGGCTCACACCTGTAATCCCAGCACTTTGGGAGGCTAAGGCAGGCGGATCATGAAGTCAGGAGATCAAGACCATCCTGGCTAACATGGTGAAACCCCATCTCTACTAAAAATACAAAAAATCAGCTGGGCGTGGTGGCGCTCACCTGTAGTCTCAGCTACTCAGGAGGCTGAGGCAGGAGAATTGCTTGAACCCAGAAGGCGGAGATTGCAGTGAGCCAAGATTGCGCCATTGCACTCCAGCCTGGGCACTAGAGCAAGACTCGGTCTCCAAAAAATAAAAATAAAAAATAACAAAAGGGTACAGAGGGTACCTAGAAATGCTTTTACCTTATTGTTCAGAGAACGTTGTTCTGTGGTGTTGGAAAAATAAGCTCAGGAGTACTCAGCTGCTTTCCTCTGCTGTCTCTACCAGCTCTGAGCAGGCAGCATGGCCAGCCACCTTGATTATATGACCTCCAAGCTTCACAGACTTTCAAGGTAGATGATATTGTTGAAATCTTTGATTCAGTAAGCTCACCTAACCTGCCCAAAGCAAGGGTGACTAAGTTATTGTCAAACTGAGTCACTTGTGAGAATAAAAGGCCGTGCTATTCTATTTATGCCAGCACAAACAGCATAAACCAGGACTGTTCCAGACCCAGCAAGCAGGAAGTATAGGCAGCCTTCCTCCGGTCAAAGAGTTCGCAGGTGGTGCTGAACGACTCCAGAACGTGAACTGCCCTACAGCAGGCATCTTCTACAGTCAAGCTGAGGTCTCCTGGAGGTTACAAGCACCTGTAAAAGTGATTTGCCAACATCTTGTCCAAATAATTTCTCTCATCTTTATTTTTATTAAAAAAAATAAAACAGTCACCACCAACCACATGACAACTCGCCAGGCAAGGCCTTGCTTCCCTCCCTCCTTTGCGTCCCATGTGCCTAGTCAGCAAGGTCGGGGAGGCACCGATGTTAGCTTCGCCCAAAGGGAGTATTACAGAGAGAGGCTTGGGAAAGGGAAGGAAACCTGGACAGGCTTTTCAGCACTGAGAAATCACTTAAAACTGATTTGCTTTCAGTAACTGGTATGTCTGAAATGCAGGGAGGGAAGACCATGCTGTCAGCAATCAACCCACTTTTTACAGGTTGGCTCCAGGGAGAGGTTGGTTGAAACGGTGTTTAAAGGAAGGAGAGTGGTTTCACCAGCTTGCTCAGCTCTCCTGGAACAAAGACTAAGGTGCTACGTGTTGCTTGTTAGGCTTATACTACGGCGGGTCTGGGGCTGCAGGTCTGGAGTCCTTGTTAGTGCATTTAGTGCTGGTGAGAAGGGTGGGCCCCAGTCTTGGACGCTGAAGTCCTCTAAAGACAAGGCAGAGACACAGCCTCAGATCCCCCGTCATCTTCCACTGAATAAGGGGGATGGAGAAGAGGTCTCAGCAGTTGGCCTCCTGCAAGCCGAGATGCCTGCCAGCCTGGGCCTGCTTCCTTAGCGCTGTGAGAGCTTATGTCTGACGGGCAGAGAGGAGCAAATGCAGTCCCTGTTGGGCTGACTCCACGCAGGGCTCCCCAGCTTCAGGCTTGCAGGGTGACCCTGCTCTGTGACCCAGCGGCGGCTTCAGCCCCAGAGGGGGCCGTGGCACAGGTGGTTTAGGCATAGCCGCCAGCCATCTGACTGGTGGCCGCATTGCTGCCTACTCCTCGCCAGGCCTGGTAGCTGAAGAAGGCACTCACTCCATAGGCGATCATCACCAAACACGCAAAGAACTGAAAGAGAGGTGAGAAGGGCTTAAGGACCGAGAGGGTGACAGTGACACAAGCTCCAACCAGATCTCAGGCCAGGCAGGAGGGGTTGTGGCAGCCGCACCATCTCACACTTAGCCAGATGCATTTCACAGCTGTTTATCATGGGGCTGATGAGCACCAGGGTCCTGGGATACCAACATTACCTTCTAACCATGGGAAACAGCTAAGAACCACAGGCAGGGCCTGTCAGATTGTGATAAGGGCAATGAAGGAGAAGATAAGAGTGACAGAGGGGACACCTAGCAAGGATTTAGTTCTAAAAAGACAACATTCAAAGGACACCCTAGGAATCTCCTAGAACCAGTTCAAGCCTCTATACTAACACCTGCAGCCACATTCAGAAGCTCCCCGTCTCTGTCCCCATCACTGAATTTGCTGATTTCAAAACTGCCCTCATCAGGAAGAGTAAGGAACCAAATGCGTGCCCATTGAGGCCCTGCCCTCCCCTGGGCTTGGCCGTGGCTCCAGGCCTGGCGTCCAACTTCTCTGAGCAGGAGCCTCCTGTCTGTCAAAAGGAACTGGTAGTCCCTTCCTCTCCCTCACTGTGGGTGTCGCAGGATCCTGGGAGGAGATGGTGTGCAGGGCCTGGTGGTGTGAAGGGTGACAGGCGTGGAGGGGACTACTGCCACTTCACTGGCCACCTGACGTGGGCCCAGAGTTTGGGTTTCATGGGAGAGCCTATGAATCTCCCAGAATGGTTTAAACCAAAAGGTTTTTGCACGTGCACTTGTCAGTGGGAGAGCATGTTTTTCACATTCTCCAAGGGGGCACGTGACCCTAAGGCAGTGTGGCACAGCTGATTTACAACAAGGTTCAATAGTCAGCCCAGGCCGCGTGTGGCAGCTCACACCTGTAATCTCAGCACTTTAACAGGCCAAGGCGAGTGGATCACCTGAGGTCAGGAGTTCAAAAGACCAGCCTGGCCAACATGGTGAAACTCCGTCTCTACTAAAAATACAAAAATTAGCCAGGCGTGAGACTCCATCTCCAAAAAAAATACAAAATACAAAAAAATTAGCGGGTGTGGCAGCACACACCTCTAGTCCCAGCTACTTGGGAGGCTGAGTCAGGAGAATCACTTAAACCCAAGAGGCAGAGGTTGCAGTGAGCTGAGATCACGTCACCGCACTCCAGCCTGGGCAACAGAGCAAGATTCCATCTCAAAAAAAAGAAAAAATAGTTAACCCAAAACTTCCATTGCCCACCACACACCACTCTCCACTGTTAATTATGGAAGCCTGGAGGCGGCCCGGCTCCCCTCTAAGACCCACTGAGTGTTCAGGTGACAACCCCTCAGGAGGTGGCAGGTGCCTGGCCTCAGACCAAGCGAGCAGCCTGAGTCCTGGGGCTGAGACCCTGCAGACCACCAAGGGAGCCTGGGAAGCAGACTCACCGAGGCAGCCGCGCGCTGGTTATAAGGCCGGGTGCCCCTCAGGGATGTCAGGTCAACTGCCGCAGAGCAGGCGATGAAGGCGGTGATGTAGAGAACGGTGGCGCTGATGTTAAAGATCATTAACTGCAGGACATGGGGGTAGGGAGTGGGGAGAGAAAAGGCTTAAGACACAAAGAGAGGCCAGACACGGTGGTTCACACCTGTAATCCCAGCACTTTGCGGGGCTGAAGTGGAAGGATCGCTTGAGCCCAGGAGTTAGAGACCAGCCTGGGGAACATAGGTAGGCCCCATCTCTACAAAAATAAAAAAGTTAGCCAGGCATGGTGGCGCATGCCTGTGATCTCAGCTACTTGGGAGGCTGAGATGGGAAGATCACCTGGAGCCGGGAGGTTGAGGCTGCAGTGAGTCATGATCACACCACTGCACTCCAGCCTGGGTGACACAGTGAGATCCTGTCTCAAAAAAAAAAAAAAAAAAAAAAAAAAAGACAAGACCAACGGTTGGGGCTTCTTGGTTCCCACTGGCACACTCCTTGAATAGCCATTGGATGGTGATGCAAACACCTGGGTCTTTCCCACCAACAGGGCCTCAAGAGGCCACAGTTTCCAGGGAGTCAGCCCATGAGGCCCTGGTCCCCAGGAGGCCTGCTGAGCAGGGAGCATGAACACACCTGAGGCTGGAGGAGGGGAATGACAGGAGGGCCTCAGTGATGGGGTAGTGGCAGTGCCAGACCCATTCCTCACAGAAAGAGCCCAATCCATGACCCATCTCTTTGTACCAGCTAAAGAAACACAGGCTACTCCTCCAAGTGTGGTCCAGGGCCAAGCCCAGGCCATCCCTGGTACCACTGCAAGGTTTGGCTCTGTGGCCAGTCCTGGGCTGGGCCTCACATCCCTCTCTGCCTTCAGGGGGAAGAATTTTTGTCTCCCTCTTGGCCACATCCTAAGCTCAAGGCTCTAAGCAAATGCCAGGGTCAGGACCAAGAGGACCAGATATTTCAAGCTGGATATGGAACCAGACTGGCAGGAAGGGGCCCTCTGCTGACAACCAGGGACCAGTCCCTCATCCCAAACGCTTGGCCCCAGGAGCCCATTCACCGTCTTCAAACGCCTGGTCCTCAAACATTCATTCAGTTCGTCCAATATACTTTTAAAAAATTACCAACATTATAAAATTAGATTTCATGAAAACCTGAAGACTTCATGTAAAAATTTTATATTAAAAAAATCTTGGCCGGGTGCAGTGTGGCTCATGCCTGTAATCCCAGCACTTTGGGATGCCGAGGCAGGCAGATCACTTGAGGTCAGAAGTTAGAGACCAGCCTGGCCAACATGGTGAAACCTCGTCTCCAATAAAAATACAAAAATTAGCCAAGAGTGATGGTGCCCACCGGTAATCCCAGCTACACAGGAGGCTGAGGCGGAAGAATCACTTGAACCTGGGAGGCAGGGGTTGCAATGAGCTAAGATCGTGCCACTGCACTCCAGCCTGGGCAACAGAGCGGGACTTTGTCTAAAAAAAAAAAAAAAAAAACTTAGGATATCAAAAGATTTCGCTCCAAAGGGGCTGCATTCCCACTAGGAACAGATGAAGTGAGTATAGAGGCAGCTTGCGATGGGCAGATGGATGCTGGCTTCTCCAGGGTCCCTCCTGACCCAATTTACTCACATATCTTGCCTGGATCCTGTAGGGGTCTGTAGCCCCCAT
Source organism: Homo sapiens (assembly GCF_000001405.40). Lineage (NCBI taxonomy): Eukaryota > Metazoa > Chordata > Mammalia > Primates > Hominidae > Homo > Homo sapiens. The sequence continues at coordinate 57,260,169 of NC_000016.10, forward strand.
GCCAGAAAATCCCAAATTGGCCATGCTAATCCAGCCTTCTCTAGATGCAGTTAAGCCCTCTCTGCCCCATTCGTTGAGGGTCCAGAAGCACAAGAAGCAATGTCCTGCCACTGTGGCAGAAGGGAGCCTCCTTCCATTAACAGCCACGGCTGGAGCCCCAAATCTGCACCTAAGAGACACACAGGCTTTTATCTCTGGAGATTTCTCTCTTAGAGGTCCCTGGGACGTGAGGGAGGGGGTGGACCCTGAGCCCGGAAGTCAAGGCACCGCCTCCTCGCCCCAAAATCTTCCCTGCAAGCCCAGCGACCCCTGCAAACGCTGCCTGTTTCTGCCAGGGATGTCGAGATCTAACAAACCCATTCTGTCTTGAGGATGACTCACGTTTCCTCGGTTTAAAAAGTCATTGAATTCCAAACAATGCCGCCTAGTCCCAGCCTTGCTTGTCTTACAATCATGTGCCTTTCTCGCCTCTCTTCTCACTGAAAGCCTCAGACCCCAGCTGCAGGGGTTTTCCGGGTCAGAGGAAAAAAAAAACCAGCAGCTTTCTGTGTGTCTGGCCGGGGTACTTCCCATGTCCGCTCTCAGCCCTGTGTCCTGGGGAGACTGTCCTGGGGCAAACCTGGGGAGCCCAGCCTCTCCCAGGCCTCAGGGCCTCACCTGCAGGCAGCCAGGTGCCCGAGCTTGTCCTGCACACTTGAGGCCCTGGCCTGGGCAACTTCTGACAGCTTGCCACAGCCTCCAGCCACAGGGCTGCCTACCTGGGCCAAGCTACAATCTCACAAACTCACACAACACAGGCACAAATTCTGACCACCCCCAGAGGGAAATTTTTTTTTTGAGGTGGAGTCTTGCTCTGTCACCCAGGCTGGAGTATAATGGTGTGATCTCGGCTCACTGCAATCTCCGCCTCCTGGGTTCAAGCAATTCTCCTGTCTCAGCCTCCCAAGTAGCTGGGACTAGAGGCGCGCGCCACCACACCTGGCTAATTGTTGTATTTTGCTAATTGTTGTATTTTTTGTAGAGACAGGGTTTCACCATATTGGTCAGGCTGGTCTCAAACTCCTGACCTCAGGTGATCCACTCACCTCAGCCTCCCAAAGTGCTGGGATTACAGGCGTGAGCCACCACACCCGGCCGGGAAAAATATTTTTAAGATTCCAAATGGCCTCTTACAAATCCACTCAACAGCCCCTCACTTCTACTCCCCTCCTGGGACAAAGTCAAGCCTGTGTCCTTCCTGGCTCATGGTTCCCCAAAAAACCGTGCACCTAGGCATGGTGGCTCACTCCTGTACTCCCAGAATTTTGGGAGGCCAAAGTGAGAGAACTGCTTGAGCCCAGGAGTTCAAGACCAGCCTGGGAAATAAAGTGAGACTCCTCTTCTACAAAAAATAAAAATAAAAATTAGCAGGGCATGGTGGCACGTGCCTGTAGTCCTAGCTACTGGGGAGGCTGAGATGGGAGGATCACATGAGCCCAGGGGTTCAAGGCTGCAGTGAGCCATTATTGAGCCACTGCACTCCAGCCTGCACATAGTGAGACACTGTCTTGAAGGAAAAATAGAAAAACTGGACCTCTGAACCATCAATCCTCACCTCCACCCCTGGCTCTGCAGATCAGCTTAGGTCAGTGAGGATGTCAGGCCACCCCCCCACACCCTGCCACTTCTTCTAGGGAAAGTCACAGTGGTCCTGTCATAGCCACTTCCAGTACCCCCACCCAGACTCACCACCAGTGGCCAGGGAACCATGTACAACTTCATGTGCAGCTGAAACAGGTAGAGGTTGAAGAGGACGATTGTCACCAGCCAGAGGAAGACAGCGACGAACATCACCCAGCCATAGGCCGGATACAGGTGGTACGGGGTGTCCGCAATCAGCGCCCACACCAGCAGCCCCAGCACCTAGGAGGGTCAGACAAGGCAGGATTGGCCAGAGATGCGGTTTCATTTCTTATCTAGCTAAGAAATACTGGCCAGGCACAGTGGCTCATGCCTGTAATGTCAGCACTTTGGGAGCCCAAGGTGTAATAATCGCTGGAGGCCAGGAGTTCAAGACCAGCCTGGGCAACAGAGCAAGTCCCCATCTCTACAGAAAAATTAAGGCCGGGCGCAGTGGCTCACGTCTGTAATCCCAGCACTTTGGGAGGCTGAGGTAGGCAGATCACCTGAGGTCAGGAGTTCGAGACCAGCCTGGCCAACATGGTGAAACCCTGTCTCCACTAAAAATACAAAAATTAGCCAGGCATGGTGGCGTGTGCCTGTAATCCCAGCTACTTGGGAGGCTGAGGCAGGAGAATTGCTTGAATCTGGGAGGCAGAGGTTGCAGTGAGCTGAGATCACGCCACTGCACTCCAGCCTGGGAGACAAAAGTGAAAATCCGTCTCAAAAAGCAAAAATAATAATAATAATAATAATAGTTAGCCAGGTATGGTGGTGCGCACCTGTGGTCCCAGCTACTCATGAGGCTGAAGCAGGAGGATCACATGGGCCCAGGAGTTAAAAGCTGCAGTGAGCTATGATCATGCCACTGCATGCCAACCTCAGAGACAGAGTGAAATTGTCTCAAAAAATAGAAAAAAATTTAAAAAGGAATGCTGACTTGGCTCGTGTGATACACCACTGTACCGGGGCCCTGCCCTGCACTCTCACTCCTCTTGCAGGTCTCAGCTGAGATGTCAGGTGCTCCAGGACACCCCCACGCCTCCAGCCGGCATCCCAGAGCCCTCATCAGTGCTCACAGGGCCCCCCAGGCACCCACCATCCAGGGCCATAATCGTTCCCTTCCCCAGACTGCGAGCTCCACGAGGGCACAGCCGTGGCTGTCTCACAGCTACGTCCCCACACCCAGCACAGGCCCTAGGCCCTGCCAGGGGCTCAGTAAAAGCTGCTGAAAGGAAGATCAAGTCACCACAGTCCCAGAGGCGGGAAGACAACAGCCCTGTGTCCTCCCTCCCAGCTGGGCCCAGCAGAGAACGTCACAAGGGCCTCTGGGTGACCTCCTGCCCAACACCCCACGTCTCCGGCTCTCCCAGATGCCCTTCTATACAGGTGTTGCCATCTCACAGGTGAAACTGGGCCTCCAGGAAGCCAAGGGGCCTACCTGTCAGGCTGTTCCCACACGGCAGGATGGGCCTGACCATCCCAGCAGAGCATGGGTAGTGGCTAACAGCATGAACTCTGGAGCCCAGCTGTCTGGCTTCGATCCCGGCTCTCCTTACCGGCTGTGTGGCCGTGGGCAAGTGTATAACCACCCTTGCTTATCATATAATGACCATTCCTATCTTGTAGAGCTACTGTGAGGACCCACAAGTTCATGCACATAAATGATTGCAGCAGAAGTGTTTTTTTATTATTCCACAAGCCCGAACTGGACTGCACAGGCCCCAGCCCTCACAGCCACAGAGAATTCTCTGCGGCAGGTTTGTCGACTCACTATGCAGACTGTCTCAGGGTGCAGGCCAGCAAAGGGCCAGCTGAGGCAGGGCCCAGGGAGCTCGTGGAGGCCCCCAGAGGCACCTCGGATGTGGCCATCCTGGGCCTCCCCAGCCCCTCCTACCCCCACCCACCCCTTGCTGGTGGAGATGCTCTGGAGAGCGCCTTCTCCACGAGGGCACTCTCTGGAATCCCTGGCCACGGAGAGGACACGAGGGTCTAGCTTTGGAGAAAGGCTCCATTGCCAATCAAGACACACAGAGGTGTCCTCTTTTTCCCCTGGTCAGCGCCCAGGTACATGGCACCAAGGCTGCGTAGTGACCTTGCCACCAGCCCAAGGACAAGTCAGTGGGATCAGAGAAGCGGCTCCGGAGCAGGACCTGCCTCTGGCTGCTAGGGTTTGGAGACAGAAAGTCCTGGCTGCTCCCAGCAGCTGAGGGGCTGCCGCCAGCCCCTAGAGCACCTGAGGGCCTGGGCCTAGAGCACAGACAGAGCTGGGGTGCCTGCCAGGCACCCCATCCAAAAGCAACCTCGTCGAGGACCAGAAGGGAAGCTCCTGTGTGGATCCCTACAGAAGCCAGGGACAAGACTCGGGGGCCTGTAGCTGAGCTGGCCCAGGGAGCCCTCAGCCCTCACAACCCTCCTTCCTCGGCCTACTCCCCATCCCCCAGGGATCTGGCTTGGGAAGGGTATGGCCCAGTGGGGAAGTGGCAGGTGGGGCCTCGAGCTTGGAAGTCAAAAGCTGTGTGGCTGTGTGATGCTGACCGAGTACCTTCCCTGCTCTCCGAGGAAGATTCTGGGTTTTGTTCACTGCTGTATCTTCAGTGCCCAACAGTGCCCGACACATAATATACGCTAAATACACAATGTGCTTAGGAACTAACAATCCTATTTCTTCAACCATGACAGAGACCAGAACCCTGCCCTGCACAGGCACCGTGTATTAAAAGAGGAAGCAGTGGGGCTGGGCGTGGTGGCTTATGCCTGTAATCCTAGCATTTGGGGAGGCCAAGGTGGGAGGATTGCCTGAGCCCAGGCGTTCAAGACCCCATCCTGGGCAATATACAGGGAGCCCATCTCTGCCAAATACTTTAAAAATTAGCCGAGTGTGGTGATGGTGCACCTGTGGTCCCAGCTACTTGGGAGGCTGAGTGGGGAGGATCGCTTGAACCTGGGAGGTTGAGGCTACAGTGAGCCATGACTGTGCCACTGTACTCCAGCCTGAGCAACAGCAAGACCCTGTCTCAAAATAAACGAAAATAAATAAAATTAAAATTAAGTAAAGTTAAAATTAAATTAACAAAATAAATTAATAAGAAGCAGGTGTCCATCTGTGAACTGCCCCTGGCCTTGCCTCCCCCCAACCCAAGTAAGGGGCTCAGCCCAAAGTGGGAGGCCCAGGGAAGGTGTCCCGCTCTCCAGGGCTCAGCACCTGCTCCTCCCCACACTGGGGTGAAGCTCCAGGGATCCACCCCCCAACACACAGCACCCTGCCAGCCTCTGCTGCCCGTCAGCACTCTCACCGCCGCAAGCAGGCCAGGTGAGGGTAGGCAGGTGAGGAAGCCAGGGCGGAGCCACAGGGCCTTGCCCGCTGTCACACACCAAGCTGGGGGCAGAGCCCTTACGAGTGTGGACCCAGGGCAGGATGTCTCAGAACAACACCCTGCCAGAAACAGACACACCTGGAGAGGCCACGAACCCCCAGAGCTGGGGGGAGGCCAGTGTTCTGAAGGAGAACAAACACTTCGGGCAGCACGCCTCCGTCCCTTCTCCAGGTGAGAACTGGGTGCGTCCAAGATAAACAATTATTTTTTCATTTAAAGCCAATTCCTCATGGGCCTCCGCTGCCACTGTGTTGCCAGCTTCCAACTAACTAAAGGAAAGTCAGAAAATGCAATGAACCAAAAATCAAGAAAAGACCAATTCAGGTTTCCACTATCATATGCCTATCAATCACCTGTCCCATGACTCACAGCCTAGGTCACAATAACCACTCAATGCCTTCTCGCTCTGTGCCAGACACATCTCATTGATTCCTCCATCACCAGACCCTCCTCAAATGTTCTATCTGTTATTCCCATCTTCCAAAGGGAATCTCAGGAGGCAATGTGCCTGAGGTCACTGTGGGTAAAGGACAGGGCAGGAGGCCGGGTGCAGTGGCTCACACCTGTAATCCCAGCACTTTGGGAGGCTGAGGCAGGTGGATCACTTGAGCTCAGGAGTTCGAAACCAGCCTGGACAATATGGAAAACCCCATCTCTACCAAAAATATAACATTTAGCTGGGCATAGTAGCATGTGCCTGTGGTCGCAGATACTTGGGAAGCTGAGGTGGAGGATCAATGGAGCCTGGGAAGTCAAGGCTGCAGTGAGTCATGATGGCGCCACTGCACTCCAGCCTAGGTGACAGAGACCCTGTCTCAAAAAATAAATAAAAATTTTAAAAGGATAGGGAAGGACAGGAACCCAGATCCGTGCTTCCTTGGAACCTGCGCTACTATGAGTTATTTAGTGAAGTGTAAAAAATGAGGACACTTCAGCTGGCTCTAGGAGCCAGTCTGGGCTGGGCACCCAGGCTCCCCCCACTGCCCGCCGCCATCCCTGCCCCGCCCTGTGCTGTGCTCCAGCCCCACCCCTGGTTTCCAGATCAGCGAACACAGCGTCCAGATGAAGCCGGTGGATAAGGACTGGGAATTTCTGGCGTTCTTTCTGGCTGTGCTGCCTGGCTCTGTGCCTGCGGAGCTGCCTCGGTTTCTGCCCTAGAACAAGGAAGGTTCGTTCCTGCATTTGAACCAGACAGACTGGTTTCTCCTGGTTCCTGAGCCCCCAGCCCAGTCCCCCAAGAGAGACCCTGCTCGGAACAGGGCACCCAACACAGGCCTCGCTGTGGGCATCTCTCTGGGTTAATATATTTAACAAATGTCTATGGAGAAGGGGCCAAGAAAGATCTCACTGGCAAGGTGATGATAAGCAAAGACCCAGGGAGGTGAGGGAGGGGCAGGGAGGGTGCCACGTGGGTATCTGAGAACAGAACTCTATGCCTTCACCCCTGGGCCCTGCAGGTCTCTCTTGCTTACATGTTCGTCTGTCCCCGTGTTTCTCTGGAGGTGTCTACATGAATATCTAACTGTCTCTCTCCTACACACACAGGCAAACCACATCCTCCCCTCCTTCCCAGCTCTCTGAGGTCCCTGCCATGCCTCCCCAGACAGGTCCTGCAGATAAACAAAGGGAACTGTCTGGAAATCTCAAGGGCACAGGGCCTTTTTTTTTTTTTTTTTTTTTGCTTTTCTGAAAACCTGAATAATTTGGATTAGGAACTTTTTTTTACATATGAAGACTACAGTGTCAAAAACGACCTTTGCATCTTCAAAGAATTTCCAAACAATTGGGTAACGAAGAGATGTTTTTGTTAAAACCACCTGTGGCATCAGAGAGAAGATTCGTCACAAATGCCCAACCAAGAGGCACTCCTTGCTGCAGTGAAACCCTGTTATTACAGTTTCCCCAGAAGCTGCCAACACTGACAGCCAGACAGGCCAGGTTCCTGCAGGGTGCATGCCCTTCACTGACTCTGAGGGAAGTTTTTCCTCATCTCTTATTGTGGTTTGCAATGTGTTCCCCAAAATATGTTCAAGTTCTAACCCCTAGTACCTGGGAATGTGGCCTTATTTGAAAACAGGCTCTGGCCAGGCGCAGTGGCTCATACCTGTATTCCCAGCACTTTGGGAGCCTGAGGTGCATGATCAGTTAAGGACAGGAGTTTAAGACCAGCTTGGCCAATATGGAGAAACCCATCTCCAGTAAAAATACAAAAATTAGCCGGGCATGGTGGTGGGTGTCTGTAGTCCCAGCTACTCAGGAAGCTGAGGCAGAAGAATCACTTTGAACTCAGGAGGCAGAGGTTGCAGTGAACTGAGATTGCACCACTGCACTCCAGCCTGGGGGACAGAGTGGGACTCTGTCTCAGAAACAAAACAAAACAAAACAAAACAAGGCCTGGCATGGTGGATCATACCTGTAATCCCAGCACTTTGGGAGGCTGAGGCAGGTGGATCACCTAAGGTCAGGAGTTCAAGACCAGCCTGGCCAACGTGGTGAAACCCTGCCTCTACTAAAAATACAAAAAATTAGCCAGGCATGGTGGCATGTGCCTGTAATCCCAGCTACTTGGGAGAGGCAGGAGAATCGCTTGAACCTAGGAGACAGAGGTTGCAGTGAGCCGAGATCGCACCACTGCACTCCAGCCTGGGCAACAAGAGCGAAACTCCGTCTCAAAAAAAAAAAAAAAAGAAAGAAAGAAAGAAAAGAAAAGAAAATAGTGTTTGCAGACATGCTCGAGTTAAGGGGGGTTATACTGGATTGGGGGCATCTCTAATCCAATGACTGGTGTCCTTGCAAGAGAAATGTGGACACAGAGACCACAAGGGGAGACCATCGTGTGAAGACAGAGGCAGAGACGAGAGTGATGCATTTGTAAGCCAAGGCACACCAAGGCTTGCTGGTCACCACCAGAAGCCAGGAGGGGGACATGGGACAGACTCTCCCTCAGAGCCCCAGAAGAAAGCAACCCTGCCAACACTTTGATTTCAGTAACTGAGACAATATATTTCTGCCACCCAGTTTGTGGAACTTTGTTACGGCAGCCCCAGGAAATGAATAGGTTTTTCTCAGCTGCTCTCTGAATCTGTGGATGGGTGTCATGACCTTGTTCACCTGAGTGACACTGGCATTGGTTCTGTTGGAGGGGTGGCCTATCGACTCCTTGAATTCACGCTCTGGCCCTGCCAACTTAACTAGCTGTGTGACCTCAGGCAAGTGGCTTAGCCTCTCTGTGCCCTTGTCTTCATCTTCCTTCATCTTTGAAATGTATCTACCCCCTAGGGTGGTTTTGTTTTGTTTTGTTTTTGAGACAGGGTCTCACTTTGTCACCCAGGCTGGAGTGCAATGGCACTATTGCAGCTCACTGCAGCCTCGAACTCCTGGGCTCAAGTGATCCTCCCACCTCAGCCTCCCAAGTAGCTGGGACTACAGACATGCACCACCACTCCTAGCTATTTTTAATTTTTGTAGAGGTGGGGTCTCCCCATGTTGCCCAGGCTAGTCTAGAACTCCTAGGCTTAACTGATCCTCCTGCCTGGGCCCTAGGGTAGTTTTGAGCAAGGAACTTAGACCAGCAACCAGCATAGGCTTAATATTCAACATGGCCAGGTGTCATGATCACCCTGAGGGGTTAAGAACATGGGTTTTCAAGTCAGGCCCTGGGCCTACTTTCCTGCATTCGCCACGGTGTGTGAGGCTCCTCAGGAGGGTGAGGCCTCACTGAGAGAATGACAGTATCCACATTCAAGCACCAGGCACAGCCCAGGCAGAGATAAGGACCCACGTCAGTGCCAGCCCCACCCACCTGACAGATAAGGCGGTGGTGCTCCCACAGGAGGCCCCAGAAATCCAGCCCAGCCCTCAGATCTCCCTTGGAGCTGCACTCCCTCAGCTCCTCATAGGCTGAGGGGCCTTGGGCAGACCCCTTCACCCCCTGGCACAATGGAAGCAGGGAGGTTTGGCTTGCTGTTCTCTGAGATTTCCCGCAGAGGTCAACACTCCTGAACATGGGCCTCCTCCAGGGGCCCCAAAGGGAGGGGTTTGACCAACCCTATGGACTCTGAGCTGTCATGCAAAGATGGTCACCCCAACTCTTTTCACCCTCCTCACTTCCGGGGCAGCATCAGACCTTTGTGGGCTCACTGTGTGGCCTTGGGGGAGTCACCCAACCTTTCTGGTCTGTTTCCTCATCTGGCAAGTGAGGAAATTGGGGTACAGGGACCCTAGGGGGACACCTGCTCACCTCACAGGTGTGTCATGGAGATGAAACCATGTGAAAGAAAACATTAAAAGCCATAGCAGTCGTGAGCAGTCGTGAAGGCTATGAGACAGTCCGGGGCTGGGGGAGGGAAATCCCAGAGAGGGACGCCACGAGGCAGGAAGGCAGCCGGGGCCTAGAGGACACCAGGGCTCAAGCTCAGCAGCTGCCAGGGCTGGCAGGTCACAGGAATGACTACAGTGGGCCGGGGAGTCTCTGGAGTGGCTGCTGGGAATGCAGGCCTGGGGTGACCAAAGTTTCTAATTTTTCAAGAGACACTAGAAGTCTGGATTTTATATGGAAATCAGCTATTTATTTATTTATCTGATGGAGTCTCGCTTTGTTGCCCAGGCTGGAGTGCAGTGGCGCAATCTCGGCTCACTGCAACCTCTGCCTCCTGGGTTCAAGTCATTCTCCTGCCTCAGACTCCCAAATAGCTGGGATTACAGGTGCGTGCCACCACCATGCCCGGCTAATTTTTGTATTTTTGGTATAGACAGGGTTTCACCATGTTGCCCGGGCTGGTCTCAAACTCCTGACCTCAGATGATCCACCTGCCTTGGCCTCCCACAGTGCTGGCATTACAGGCGTGAGCCACTGCACCTGGCAAAAATCAGCTTTTTAAACATGGGTGACTGAACCAAAGGTTTTTAGAAACAACGTAACGGCCAAAGGGGCCAAGGCAGCAAATCCTTCCATGGCCCCCGAGTCCAAACACAGTCCCCGAGTCTATCCACAACCCCCTTTTCCAGCCCCCAAGTCCTTTACTGGCCCCTGAGTCATTCCCCAGCCCCCGAGTCCATCCCCAGCCCCCGAGTCCATCTCCAGCCCCCGAGTCCTTCCCCAGCCCCTGAGTCCATCCACAGCCCCCAAGTCCTTCCACAGCCCCCGAGTCCTTCCCCTGCCCCCAAGTCCATCCATGGCCCCTGAGTGCTTCCCAGGTCCCCGAGTCCTTCCCCAGCTCCGGCCTCTCTATTCCCACTGCTCCATCCAGGAAAACCACGCCCAGCATGGCAAAGCAAACCCTTCCTGGGGTCCCCCTCACTGGGGACACATCTGGGCAAGCCAAGGACACTCAGAACTCAGCCTGGCCAGGCTCGGTCCCCACCCCCGCTCTGGCCCTTCTCCCTACAGTGAAAGGGACTTTATGGGGACAAAAAGCCACCCATTGTATCACACGAGACAAAGGGGCAGGGGACAGAGGCTCCGGGCGCCTAAGCTGGCCACGACACAGCCACACACCACCCCCTGACTGTGTGAGAGGGAGGGCACCTTGGAATTCCCATGCCATGCATTCCAGCATTCGAGGATCCTGGAGTCATCCCCGCTCTCCAGGAAGGCGACAGCAGACTCGGAACCCAGCCCCAGATCCACTAGACCTGGGCAGTACTGAATAGCCCTAAGCTCTCTTTTCTCGTCGGAAAAATGGGCATGTAAGTTGCCAAACGGAGTCATTCAGTCATTAAACAAACTGTGCCAGGCGCTATTCTATGCCCTGGGAACACAGTGGGGAGCTTGGCAGCGAGGGTCGCCACCCCAGGCCACAGCCACCCCACCCCCACCTCCCGCGTGGACCCTGCTTCCTGGGGCTATGGCAGGAGGACGATGCTGGAGGTGGGGGCTCAGACCTGGTCCTCCTCCAAGGCGTTCATTGTATCGCTTGTTATTCCTGAGTCCTGGGTCTCAGAGCAGAGAGCATTTCAATGCCAAACGCAGAAGAAGTTGCAGCACACCTACCCCAGTGGCTGAGCTGAGCCGCCCCTGGACCCCCAGCAAGGTCCTGCAGCCCCCACGTGTACTTGCAGCCAAGGAGCCACTACCACCTCATCCTTGCTGTGAGGAGCCACTACCACCTTATCCTTGCTGTGAGGTCCCCGCTTAGGGCTTTAGAAAAGTCTTCCCACCCGGGCACGATGGCTCACACCTGTAATTCCAGCACTTTGGGAGGTCAAGGCAGGTGGATCACCTGAGGTCAGGCGTTCCAGACCAGCTTGGCCAACATGGTGAAACCCCGCCTCTAATAAAAATACAAAAAGTTAGCTGGGCGTGGTGGTGGGCACCTGTAATCCCAGCTACTCGGGAGGCTGAGGCAAGAGAATTGCTTGAACCTGGAAGGCAGAGGTTACAGTGAGCCAAGATGGCACCATTGCACTCCAGCCTGGGCAATAAGAGCAAAACTCTGTCTCAAAAATAAAAAAAGAAAAAAAAAAGAAAAGTCTTCCCAACCTGAACTGAAACTACCCCTACTTAATCCCTCCCCGTTCCCATCCTGCCCTCTGGTCAGATCAAGCAGGTCCTCCCTCCACAGGCCGCCCCCAGGTGTGTGAAGGCGGGTAGGGGCCTCTTCAGTGACACTCCAAGGCCCTCTCTGGCTCTCAGAGCAGGTGGCAGCACTCGCAGGTGGGATCTCAGAAACTCAGAGCTCCCTGCCTGCCAGTCCCCTCCTCTGCTTCCTCCCTCCTTCCCAGGGTCTCCTAGGCCTACCCCACAAAGCCTACCCAAGCCTCCCCAGCACCCAGGCCCCTCCAACCACACAGAGCATTCCCAGGAAGGCCTTACCCTCCTTGTGAAGTCCCAGGTGGAGCCCTGCATTCATTCCCTCCAACTCCTGCCCCCGCAACTACCCTGCCAGGCCCCCGCCAGGGCTTTACCCCCAGGGCCTTCCTCCTTCTGGGCCCAACCCTCTCAAGGGAAACACTTGACCCATTCCACTGATGAGGAAAACCGAGGCTCTTGGAAGATCTGGACCTGAACCAAGGTCATGCCTGGTAAGGGTTGGGACCTGGATAGTTCTGTGGCCCAGGCTCCCCTTCCCCTGTCACCCAGGATGTGGGGACATTCCCCTGGAGACTACTTTATTTGAAGAGAGCATCACTGCTCTTGAAGCCAGAGCTGAGAGGGGGCAGTGGCAGAACTCGAACCCAAGGCAGCTGGGATAACAAGAAGCTTATAGTCTCAGCACCCCAAGGCCACCTCATCCTTCCATCGGCCCCTCCAGAGAAAGAACCAGCTGCTGTTGGAAGTATATAGAGCCTCATCAGTCCCGTGCACCCTGGCCTCGGCCTGCTGGAGGAATTGGGGTGCTAAAGTGAGTGTCTTCCTCTCTCCCTGGACTTCCGGCAACACTGGTTCTACACCCAATGCTGGCACTGATGTTCTGGGTGACCTTGAGCAAGACTTGTCTGTCTCAACTTCAAGGAGGGGCCCATTGGCAGAGCACAGTGGCTCATACCTGCAATCCCAGCACTTTGGGAGGCCAAGGTAGGAGGAACGCTTGAGCCCAGGAATTTGAGACCAGCCTGGGCAACATAAGCAAGATCCCCATCTCTACAAAAAAACAAAAACAAAATTAGCCAGGCATGGGGTGCATGCCTGTGGTCCCAGCTACTTGGGAGGCTGAGGCGGGAGGATCATGTGAGCCCAGGAGGTCAAGGCTGCAGTAAGCCATGATCACACTACTGCACTCCAGCCTGAGTGACAGAGTGAGACCCTGTCTCAAAAAAAAGTTGGGGGTGGGGGTCCAGGCGCGGTGGCTCACACCTATAATCCCAGCACTTTGGGAGGCCGGGCGGGTGGATCATGAGGTCAGGAGATCGAGACCATCCTGGCTAACATGGTGAAACCCCGTCTCTACTAAAAAAATACAAAAAATTAGCCGGGCACGGTGGCAGGTGCCTGTAATCCCAGCTACTGGGGAGGCTGAGGCAGGTGAATGGTGTGAACTCGGGAGGCGGAGCTTGCAGTGAGCCGAGATCATGCCACTGCACTCCAGCCTGGGGGACAGAGCAAGACTCCATCTCAAAAAAAAAAAAGTTGGGGGGGCAATGCTCCCATCCTGCCACCCTCACACAGAGTGGCAGATGTGAAAAAGCTCATCTGGTGTCTGACCCCAGCCCCAAATAAAAGCTAGAACATCCCAGAACAGGCCTGTGTCTGTTCCCTAGCAGCTCAGGATTTGGGCCCTGACTGACCTTTGACCTGTCTCCCTGCCTGCAACTCCCTGTGAGACCCTGGGGTACCACCCTGGCCTCTCCCCACTGGACAAACAGGAGAGACCAACCCAGCCCAACAGCAAAGGGCCTGGGCCTGGCTTTTGTCACAATCAGGGCTCAGCCCACTGGGCTGCCAAGAAAGACAGCACCCCCACCACCCAGGTTCCCAATTACCATGGAGACCTGGGCAAACAACAGCCATGGGGATCTGTCAGATAATCTCTGAATGGGAAATCAGGGTCCTAGTCCTCACCGAATTCTGCCACAAACAACTCACTGGCTGATAAGGAGTGACCAATGCCTGTCCCTGCCAGGTCAACAGCAACAGCAACAGCCTGGGAGACTTTATCCCAGTACCCTGTTCTCCTTCCACTCATAGATGGTTGGGAAAATCACCCAAGGTCCCTCAGCCATAACACTGAACTCAAGGCTATTGCTCCCTGCTGTGTGATCCTGGGGAAAGTGCCTTTCTCTCTCTGGGCCTGAGGACATTCAAGTGCCACCTTCATAGCTTTTGCCATATCCACGAACGTGTACTATTTTTTATTTTTTTGGCAATAGGGTCTCACTCTGTTGCCCAGGCTGGACTGTAGTGGCGTGATGACAGCTCACTGCAGCCTTGAACTCCTAGGCTCAAGCAATCCTCCCACCTCACCCTCCCAAGAGCTGGGACAGGCGCACACAACCATACCTGGCTAATTTTTAAATTTGTATAGAGACAAGGTCTAGCTCTGTTGCCCAGGCTGGTCTCGAACTCCTAGGCTCAAGTGATCCTCCTGCTTCAGCTTCCCAAAGTGCTGGCATTACAGGTGTGAGCCACCACACCTGGCCCTATTTTTTTCTTTACTCAATATTTTCATTTATTTCAAAGTTTTAAATGTGATTTTATCTTATCTTTGAAAGATGTAATATATATGACATGATAGGTATCCAAATAGCATATTCAGCATCCTGTCTTCCATTTGATACTCAACTTCTGGAGGCAACCAAGAGTGTGGTTTTGTTTTTGTTTTTGTTTTGAGACAGAATCTTGCTCTGTCACCCAGGCTGGAGTGCAGTTGCACAATCTTGGCTCACTGCAACCTCTGCCTCCGGGGTTCAAGCGATTCTCATGCCTCAGCCTCCCGAGTAGTTGGGACTACATGTACGCACCACCATGCCAGGCTATTTTTTGTCTTTTTAGTGGAGATGAGGTCTCACCATGTTGGCCAGGCTGGTCTCGAGCTCCTGACCTCAGGCGATCTGCCTGCCTCGGCCTCCCAAAATGCTGGGATTACAGGTGTGAGCCACTGTGCCTGGATCAAGAGTAGTTTATTGTTTATTTTTTTGAGATGGAGTCTTGCTCTGTCACCCAGGCTGGAGTGCAGTGATGCGATCTTGTCTCACTGCAAGCTCCGCCTCCCGGGTTCACACCATTCTCCTGCCTCAGCCTCCCGAGTAGCTGGGACTACAGGCGCCCGCCACCATGCCCGGCTAATTTTTTGTATTTTTAGTAGAGACGGGGTTTCACCGTGTTAGCCAGGATGGTCTCAATCTCCTGACCTCGTGATCCGCCCGCCTCGGCCTCCCAAAGTGCTGGGTTTCAGGCGTGAGCCACCACGCCCGGCCAAGAGTGGTTTCTTATGTGTGTCTCCAGGGACTTCACACACACACACACACACACACACACACACACACATGCATTTCAGATAAGTGTGTCTTGTATCTGTGTACTTCTTCCACACAAATGATAGCATGCTACAATTTTGCACCTTGCTTTTTTCACTTAAATAGGTAGCCTGGAGATTGTCCATCCTTATACACAGAGCTGTTGCATTGTCTTCTTTGAGGGGTGGGGGGATATCTTTTTACTCACTGCATCATGCACCATTGTACAGATGTATCATAATTTATCTAAACTAGTCCCCATTGATGAACTTGTATATATCACATATATAAGCTAATTTTAAAAAGGAAACTTAAATCACTAGGAAGTGGGAAACCTGTATTATCTGTCACAATAGAAGCTAACAAGGTAATTAAATACAACAAATATGTAACAATGTTAATACATTCCAGACAGATACAACTGGAGTGAAAAAGACTGAACTATGATTCAATTTCCAGAACCCAGAAAGAAAAAAGGAAGAGGAATGAAATAAAGAAATTCAGCAAAAAAAAAAAAAACACTACAACAAAATTTTGCAAGGCAAAAAAAAAAAAAAAAAAAACACCATGAGAGGGGGAAAAAAACCCAGCAAAACAAACAAATTAGGAAAGAAATATTTGCAAATAATCCAGAACTCCTAGCAGTTATTAAGGCAAAGACCAACCACACTCAGTAGAATGAGCAAAGAATACAAACAGACAAGGAAATACAAACGGCTCTTAAACATCTTTTAGATCCTGGCGCCGCGCCTTGCATTTATAATTTCAGCACTTTGGGAGGCCGAGGCAGGAGTACTGCTTGAGCCCAGGAGTTCGAGACCAGCCTGGGCAATATAGTGAGACCATGTCTCTACCAAAAATTAGCTGGGCATGGTGAGGAGCACCTGTAGTCCCAGCTACTCGGCAGGCTGAGGTGGTAGGATGGCTTGAGCCCTGGAGGCGGAGGTTGCAGTGATTCCTGATCGTGCCACTCCACTCCAGCCTGGGTGACAGAGTGAGATCCTGTCTCAAAAACCAACAAACAACCCAAACACATTTTTTAAAAGGTCAACCTCACTGATAAGAGACTGAAAATAGGCTAGGTTTGGTGGCTCATGCCTGTAATCCCAGCACTTTGGAAGGCTGAGGCAGGCAGATCATCTGAGGTCAGGAGTTCGAGGCCAGTCTGGCCGACATGGTGAAACCCTGTCTCTACTAAAAATATAAAAATTAGCTGGGCATCATGGCTCATGCCTATAATCCCAGCACTTTGGAAGGCTGAAGCAGGCAGATCACCTGAGGTCAGGAGTTCAAGACCAGCTTGGCCAACATGGCCAAACCCCGTCTCTACTAAAAATACAAAAATTAGCCGGGCTTGGTGGTGGGCGCCTGTAATCCCAGCTACTCGGGAGTCTAAGGCCAGAGAATTGCTTGAACCCAGGAGGCAGAGGTTGCAGTGAGTCAAGATCATGCCACTACACTCCAGGCTGGGTGACAGAGTGAGACTCTGTCTCAAAAAAAAAAAAAAAAGAGAGAGAGAGAAATGAAAATAACACTACATTGACCTATCATTTTGGTCTATTCGATTGGGGCACATCCAGAAGTGTGTTAAATCACCATGTTGGGAGGCTGTGGGAACAGGAACCTTCCAGGAGGCATGCTGTTGCAGGCAGGAAGGGTGTGACCTCTCCGGAAGGCATTTGGCAATCTACATCACAATCCCAAATGCATGTATCCTCCCACCCAGTAGTCCCACTCCTGGAAACATATCGTACAGATGCACTTGGTGGCATTTCTTGCAGCAGGGTGCGCAACAGCAAAGGAATAGAAAACCCGAAGTGTCTGTCAACAAAGGGACTGACCACACAGTCACACCACAGCTGCATGGTGGAATACTATAGAAGCCATAAAGAAAGAAGCAATTGCACTCCACACACTGAGACAAAAGGACCCCCAAGATTCATTTTTTAAGTGTAAAAGAAAAAGTGCAGAAGGATGTGGCTAGACTATATATCTTGGGGAGACTATATAAACTGGGAGAGAGAGGAATCTAGAGCCACATTTGCATAGGTCTCCTTAAAGAAAGTCTTAAAATGGGATATAGAAAACTGAGAGTGGGCATGAAGGAGTCAACTTTAACCAAAAGGGAACAGAGATTTTTCACTGTACTCCTTCCCTGTCTATTTTATTCTTGAGCATTGTAAATACATTACCTATTAAAGAAATTAGGGGCCGGGTGCGGTGGCTCACGCCTGTAATCCCAGCACTCTGGGAGGCCGAGGCGGGCGGATCACCTGAGGTCAGGAGTTTGAGACCAGCCTGATCAACATGGTGAAACCCTGTCTCCACTAAAAATACAAAAATTAGTCAGGCCATGGTGGTGCGTGCCTGTAATCCCAGCTACTTAAGAGGCTGAGGCAGGAGAATCACTTGAACTTGGGAGGCAGAGGTTGCAGTGAGCTGAGGTCACGTCACTGCACTCCAGCCTGGGTGACAGAGCAAGACTCTGCCTCAAACAAACAAAATAAAAATAAAGAAAAAGAAATTAGGTAATAAAGGTATGAAAAAGATGGACACAGCTTGCTGTGCACTGATACAGAATATCCCTAGGTGTATTGCCCTGGGGAAAAGCATGGCTTGGCACATGCCCAGACAGCACCTATCTGTGGTTAAGTGAGGATGTGGGTTTTATGTAGAAATATGCATCCACTCACCCTGGAATGAGACACAAGGCATGTGGTTGCCTGGGGTGAGGGCAGCTGTGGGGCGTGGTCAGTCAGGGATGAGAGAGATTACATTTTCTTGATTACCCTTTCTACTATTTGAGTGCTTTGTATTATGTCTCTGTAATTTTTTTTTCAAAGAATAAAACAATTCCATCAGTAGAGAAACAGCTAAATGAGCAGAGGCTGCCGGGACACTACGGGTTACTCCACAACAGTTTACAAGGAAGGAAGACAAGTCTCAAAACATGAAGAGTGGCCAGGCACGGTGGCTCATGCCTGTAATCCCAGCACTTTGGGAGGCAGAGACAGGCAGATCACCTGAGGTCAAGAGTTCAAGACCAGCCTGGCCAACATGGTGAAGCCCCGTCTCTACTAAAAATACAATAATGAGTTGGGTGTAGTGGCAGGCACCTGTAGTCCCAGCTATTCGGGAGGCTGAGGCAGGAGAATGGCGTGAACCCGGGAGGCGGAGGTTGCAGTGAGCTGAGATTACGCCGCTGCACTCCAGCCTGGATGACAGAGCACAAGAAGAGCTCTCAGATGCACCAAGTATGAGAAAAGCAACTTGCTGAACAAAGGATACAGAATAAAACTATCAATGTTTTCAAAAGTGCACAGGAAAAAAGACTAGAAACACCCCAAATAGTTGTCCCCTTAGGGACAGAGGTGGGTAATCCAACTACAGCTTTAGTGTAATCTGTACAGGTTTTTTTATTTTGTGAGGAGAATGTATTCATATATTCATAATGTAATTACACATTAATTCCCAAACACTCAATACTCCCCCCCTTGCAGTAAGTGGGGAGTGTGGGGGGAACTAACAATACAAGGCATTTATTGCTCTGTGCAGTGGAGCTGGGTTGGATGAAGATATTGGGCATGCGGGGCCTGGAATGCTGTACTAAAAAGACTGAACCACCCACAAATCTCAGTGCTAAGGGAAGCCCCGGGAGTCTCAGACATTGCAATCCGAGTGTGACCAAGCCCTGCTCACACCTCACTCGGACTCCAACAATCTCATCTAGGTAGCCCCTTCCTGGAGACCAGAGTTGGCTTTCAGTCCCTGCCCTGCCCTTCATCTGCAGAGGAGCTGGTCTGCCTCCTGGGGCCGGAGACAGAGCCGGTATCACCATAAGGAAGAACTTTCCAACACTCCCAAGTGCCCAAGGATGGAGCAGGCAGCCTTAAGAAGAACTGAGCTCCCTGTCTCTGGAAGCATGCAAGTTCATGTTGGAGATGCTGCAAAGGCACCTCTTATGCTTGCATAAGAACCCTCGGATCCTATAACCCTGTGAATCCAAACTGTCCTTCATTCCCACATATAGTGCTAGGCTAGCTCTTTGCAGGCATGATCTAGATCCTGCCATCACCATCTGACAGACAAGGAAGTGAGGCTCAGGGAAATTTGGGAACTCCCCCAGGATCATGCAGCCAGAAAGGGACAGAGCCAGGATTTGAACCCAAGGCTCTCAGCGTCCAGGCCTGTGTTCCCATCAGCACTCTCCATGCCACCCCATGGATCATGGAGATCTAGGGAAGGCTTCTCTTCTTCTTCTTCCTTTTTTTTTTTTTTTGTTAAGAGTAGAGGACTGGGTACAGTGGCTCACACCTGTAATCTCAGCACTTTGGGAGGCCAAGGCAGGTGGATTGCTGGAGCCCAGGAGTTCGAGACCAGTCTGGGTAACATGATGAAATCCCATCTTTACAAAAAATATAAAAACTTAGCCAGGCATTGTGGCATGTACCTGTCGTCCCAGATACTCAGGAGGCCTGAAGTGGGAGGATCGTCTGAGCCTGGGAGGTTGAGGTTGCAGTGAGCTGTGATCACACTACTATAGTCCAGCCTGGGTGACAGAGCAAGACCTTGTCTCGAGGAAAAAAAAAAAAAAGTAGGGGTCTTACTCTGTCACCCAGGCTAGAGTGCAGTGACGTGATCATGGCTTACTGCAGCCTTAAACTCCAAGGCTCAAGCAATCTTCCTACCTCAGCCTCCCAAGTAGCTGGAACTACAGGCATGTGCCACCCTGCCACCTGCCTAGCTAGGTGAGGCTTTTGATCTGTTATTCACCTGCAAAGTGGGAATTGTGTGGCCACCCCCAATCCCAGGAGGTGGGGCAAAATGGAAGGACAGAAGGTACCAAACCAAATGGCCTTACCGCCACAGGGCATTCACACAGCTTCCACATCCTGGGCCTCAAGGACGCCTACTGACTGACAGGTCTCTGTACAAGCTCTGGTCTGTCCTGATCCTCCTTCTCCCTTCCTATGCCAGGAAGCCCTCCCTGATGGCCTTGGCCCCTGATGAGTCTCCCTTCCTGCAGTCCCCCTTTTCCCCCTAGAAAGCACTCTAGAACTTCCCACCCCCAAAGTAAACAAGATGAGGAAGCATAGCTAGAGCCAGGTTTTGGATTTCCAGATCGAAGTGCAAAGCCAAGCTTGCCACTCTATCCTGTGTGACCTTGGACAAGTTCCTCACCCTCTCGGAGCCTATTTACTTATCAGTAAATCCAGATAAGATCATCCTTCTCCCCACGGCTTGGGGAGGCTTGAAAAAATGAGAGATGGGCACCTAACAGCACTACTTTATACTTATTGTAAAAAGGCTTTGGGAGCTCCCCATAAGCAAATAACCACGCCTTCTGCATTCTTCCACCTGAGCTACACAAAAATCTGTAGCACTGATGCCTTTTTTTTTTAAAACCAAAAGAGTTATCTGTAGATCAAACTTGCCTGCCTTGTGACATGAATCCATTGGCAAGAGAAAACAAAACAAAACAAAACAAAGACCTGCCTCCTTTTTTAGACGCTATCTGCATAGATTCTTCATGTTTCCCTTTTTGCCTAGGCTGCTAGGAAGTTCAACAAATAATCAACAGCCTTAAACTTGCTGCAAGTCAATTCTCCCCTCCACACCACCAGCTTTTAAAGATACATCGCTTTAACTCTTCTGTCTTATGTGGTTTAATATCATATTCCATCTGGTGTTCTTTCTGAATCTACAAGGAATAACGATAGTGATAAATCAATGAACACCACCAGACATCTGTGAAGAATACTGAGATTGGTTCTTCAGGACACATTCTGATACCGAATGAAAAGTGTATCTCCTTCTCCAGGAGCTGGGAGCCTTTCTACCCACCTCCCCTTCCTCCCACCATACCAGGAACATTCATCAAATCCTGGGAAACAGAAGGGTTTGATGGAGAATTAGCTTCCATTTTCTCATTTATTTCCTGCTCCATGCAGCCTTCTCTGATCCCTCTGGGAGAAGCACATCCTCTGGGCACCTCTCTCACTGACCAAGAGCTCCTGGAAAGCAGGCTGTGGGCCCAGGGTCCCCACCACTCCCTCCATAATGACAGATCCTGGGAAGGTAGCAGCAAAGCCACACGTGGTCATTAAGACCATAGGCCAGAAAAGTCAGAAAAATCACTCCTGTGGAGGAGGGCTGTGAGATCTTGGGCAAAGAACTGGCCTCTGAGCCTCAGTTTTCTCACCTAAAATGGGGCCGACTAAGAAGATCTAAAGGCCTTGGCAAAGGGCCTGAGCCTAGTGCTGGCCTGATAGATGGGAGCTACCATGGCTTCCCAGCAGATGGTGGTGCCTGTTGGATTAACCCCCACATATCCCATTTCAGACCCAGTGGAACTACCTGTTGCCAGAGAAACAGCTCAGGATGCAGCTTCTCCAACAAGCAGATTTTTTTTTTATTTCTTTTTTTTTTTGAGACGGAGTCTCTTTCTGTCTCCCAGGCTGGAGTGCCGTGGCGCCATCTCGGCTCACTGCAAGCTCCACCTCCCGGGTTCACGCCATTCTCCCGCCTCAGCCTCCCGAGTAGCTGGGACTGCAGGCACCCACCACCATGCCAGGCTAATTTTGTTGTATTTTTAGTAGAGATGGGGTTTCACCCTGTTAGCCGGGATGGTCTCCGTCTCCTGACCTCGTGATCTGCCCACCTCGGCCTCCCAAAGTGCTGGGATTACAGGCGTGAGCCACCACACCTGGCCCCAACAAGCAGATTTCTAAGGCACTAAAATGTGCAGGTCATTTTCAGAACTCTGATGGAAGACCCTCATCCCCTCAAAGGCACTGCAGGTAGGGAGCAAAAGGAGCCCACTTCCCTCACACCCAGTCCCTGAGAGTCAAGAGACCCAAGTGCCAAGCTCTATTACAGGACTCCTGGCAAGTCCTTCTAACTAGACCTCAATGTCTACGTCTGTGTAATGGGACCCAGATGCGCAGGGCTGGATTGCTGAGGCCACAGGGGATGCCCCCACCCATCCCAACCCCAATCAGGAACACAAGCCTGCCCTAGAGGAAGCTACCAAGACCCTTGCGGCCCACAGCAGCAACATCCTCCTCTTACTCCAATGCCTTCCATTCCCCCTATTGCCCCTATTGCTAGTCTCTTTCTTTTTTCTTTTCTTTTTTTTTTTTTGTGTGTGTGTTTGTCTGTTTGAGACAAAGTCTCATTCTGTCACCCAGGCTGGAGTGCAGTGGTGCGATCAAAGTCACTGTAGCCTCAAACTCCCAGGCACAAGGGGTCCTCCTACCTCAGCCTCCCAAGTAGCTGAGACCACAGGCGCATACCACCATGCCTGGCTATTTTTTTTTTCCTTTTTTTTGTAGAGACAGGGTCTCAATATGTTGCCCAGGCTGGTCTTGAACTTCTGGCCACAAGCAATCCTCCTGTCCATCAGGGGCCAGCCTCAGGATCCACCTCACCAGGGATGCTGAGGGATCCCTCACAGGGATCTTGCCAGTCATCATCCTCCACCCAGCAAGATCCCTCTTCTGTTCCAAAACCTCTTAAGGCCACCAACAGAACCTAGACCCTGTAGCTCGCAGAAGTTACACAAGGCCCTTGGCTTCTGTCCACACCAGAAACAAGTGCTTCAACTCCAGCACCACCAACCTGTTGGCTACTCCCTGCAAATTAATTCAACTTTCTCATCACCACATCTTGGCTCACACTGTTCCCTGCCCTTGGAACACCCTTTCCCTGCGTCTGCCTCAGATTTCAGTGAAGTCTCTGCTCAAAAACCACCTCCTCCAACAAGCCTTCCTGGTCGTGAAATTGCTCTCCTTCTCCTCTGCCCTTTCGCACCACTTCTCACACCCACCTGGCTCTCCCCTGGGCAGCCAGGCAGCTGCTCATGGCTGTGCCCCTCACAACCAGCCCAGAGCAGAGCATTCTAGCGGTGGCGGGGTCAGTGGCTCTCCCCATCTGCAGAATTAAATGATTCCAGGAACTAGACCTCTTCCCTCAGAAGACAGAATCTTCTCCCCTTCTCCCCCACCCCCCAAAAGAGAAACAAACAAAAAACTCTGGGAGAACTGTTAAAAATGAATTTCTGGCTGTACTTCCTGAGATTCAAATTCCGATTGCACATTTTTTTCCGGGGGTGGAGTCCAATAATCTAAATTTTAAACAAACCCGCCAGGAGATTCAGAGGTTGGGGAGGGGGCCCACAGAGATCTGAGAAATCCTGAAATGAGATAGCACTGACCCAGGTAGAGGTGGGCCCGCACCTGGAGAGGTCAGGGAAGGGAGACTGGACCTCAGCCCAGGGTCTGGCACCAAAGCAACCACCCTGCCCTCTAGCTTGGGCCTCGCAGCAGCGCTAGCACCCAGCAATAGGAGACAATGGGAAATGTCCACTCGCTGGATTGCTAAGAAATACAGGTCCTGGCCCAACTCCAATTCCACCTGAGTCCTCTGAAAATGTATCAGGCCCTCACCCACCCAGGGCACCCACCCAGCTTCCAGACCCTCACGAAAGGGTGGCAGAGGAAGAAGCTAACATCCGGGCCTGTGGCTGGTGTGGGAGTGGAGGATGTTCCCATGGGTCCGCCTCAGTTGGGGTCTGTACAGGGGTCTGGGAGAGAGTAGGAGTCTTGCCCCTGGCTACCCACAAACCCCTCCCTCCAGCGATATCTCGGTCCCGTGGGGCTGGCTAAACCGGCTGAAACCTGGCGGGTCACCCAGAGAAAGCTAGAAGAGCCCGGCTCCCGCGCGGGCGCCCACAGGGTAGTGCCTGAGTGTGCGTGTTGGGGAGTCGGATGTGCCCTCTAGATTAGATGAGGAATGTTCATGGGTGCGGCCACCCGGAGCCGCTGGGAGCGGGACAGAAGGTGGTCAGAGAGTGGACTTTGCCTCAGACTGGGTTCCCTAGAGGGCTGGGGGCACTGTCCGGGCAGAAAGAGGGGTGAAAAAGAGAGAGGAGGGAAGGGAGGGCTGGGAAGGGTTGGCGGGTTGTGCGCAGTGACTGTGGCTCCGGTGGGGGCTTCTGTGGCCGCTGGTAACCACCTTGGAGGGGGCACGATGGGGCACGGGCAGTGGGCACTCTGTACACGGTGCAGGGTGCTCACGCTCGCAGCGACGGCCACGGGGTAGTGTCGTGGTGAGAGGGATGCAGGGCGATCTTGGGGGCGTCCGTGCGGGAAGCGCCCTAGGGGTACGCGCAGCGCGTCGGTGACAGTGTGAGCCCGGGTGGGGAGCGCAAGGTTCGCGAAAAATGAACGCAGCGCCGGAGTCCCTCACCCATCCTGGCCGGACCGGGAGCCCCCGGCCAACCCCGTGGGCCCGCGCGTGCTCTCACCAGCTGCAGCAGCATGAGCGCCCCGAGGCGGGAGCGCACGAAGCCCAGGTCCGGGCGCAGCGCCGACACCGAGGCTTCGGCGCCCTGCGCAGGACTGCTGGTCCGCGTGCTAACTTTCGACGGGAACTCGGCCATGGCGGCTCCGCTTGCCTCCCGAGGTCGCTACGGCCGCCGTCGCCGCCCCTCCAGCGGTGGGTGCCGGCTCCCGCGCCGCTTTTCCCCCAGGCTCCGGATCCCTGTGTGGCTCCAGGCGCTGCAGGAGGCGTCGGGGCTGGGAGCCTGGGGCGCCAGGTGCGGCCGAGATCCCGGCTCCGCCCCCGCCGCCGGGGCCGCCCCCTTAACCCTTTGCTCGCCGCCGCCGCCCCAGCCGCGACCGGTTCGTGGGCAGCCGCGTCCACTCCCCGGACCAGTAAACAACCCCGGGTCCGTGAATCGGCTCCGCCAGCACCAGCCTAGACCGCTTCGCCGGCCTCCCCCGGGGCAAGCCGCCCGCTGGGAATTTCCCGGCTCTCGCCCAGGCCGTGGTAGCTTCCGCGCCTAGGGATAAACTTGTGGTAGCTCGCGGGGGACACCGCTCTCCCAGGCGCTTTCTACGCGCTGTGCACCCTCGGCCTAGGCCCCGGCGCAGCGACTCTTGAAGAGTCCCGGGAGAAGGCTGGATGCGGTGGCTCCTGCCTCTGATCGCAGCACTTTGGGAGGCTAAGGTGAAAGGATAATTTCAGGCCAAGAGTTCGAGACCAGCCTGGGTAACACAGTGAGACGCCCCCCCTCCCCCCGTCTGTATTTTATAGAAAAGAAAGTAAAGAAGAATCCTGGGAGACCCAGCGCGGGGAAGGGGAGGGTCTGGGTAAGCGGTGGGTAAGCGGTAGAAGGGGGAGGTCCTTTTCTGCCTATTAATGCTGTTTTCACTTCTGAACATATTTTATATAACTTAGATGATCGCGGAGCCTCAGTTTCCTCGTCTGTCATATAGATACGAAGGAAACCTGCCTCACAGAGCGTTGTAGGGAATAAATGAAATATTCCCCAGAAAGCTCCTGACAGCGTGAGGGAGGAGGGGTCACTCAGAAGATGGGAGGTCATATACAGTTTCATTGCCACACATGCACCCTAAAATACTTACACACACACACACACCTCTTGAGCCTAGAGGTTTGCACAGATAGGTCATCATGCATTCATCAACCAATGTTTGCTGAACACCTACTACATGCCAGGCCCTGTGGATACAGCAGGAAACGAAGTAGACAAGGCCTTCTTGGCTCCCACATTTTTTTTTTCCCAAATACCCACTTAAAAAGAGAGCCACTTAAAAAATTGTTTTTAACTGACATGTAATATTAGGTTGGTGCAAAAGTTATACGGTTTTTGCATATAAAAGTATAGCAAAAACCGCAATTACTTTTTCGGCAACCTATAATTGTACCTAAATATGGGGTACCATGTGATGTTTTGGTACCTGTGTACGTTGTGTAAAAAAATCAAATCAAGGTACTTAGCATATCCATCACCTCATACATTTATGGCTTCTTTGGGGTGAGAACATTCAAAATCCCCACTTCTAGCTACCATATTTTGAAATATACAATATTAGGGCCAGGCGCTGTGGCTCACGCCTATAATCCCAGCACTTTGGGAGGCCAAGGCAGGCAGATCACCAGAGGTCATGAGTTTGAGACCAGCCTGGTCAACATGGCAAAACCCTGTCTCTACAAAAATACAAAAAAATTAGCCAGGCATGATGGTGGGTGCCTGTAGTCCCAGCTACACAGGAGGCTGAGACAGGAGAATCACTCGAACCCAGGGAGGCAGAGGTTGCAGTGAGCTGAAATCATGCCACTGCACTCCAGCCTGGGTGACAGAGCCAGACTCCATCTAAAAACAAAAACAAAAAAAGAAAAGAAATGTACAATATTGGTATTTTTTTCTTTTTACTTTTATTTATTTTGAGGCGAGGTCCCACTCTGTCACCCAGGCTGGAGGGCAGTGGCATGATCATAGCCTACTGCAGCCTCCAACCCCTAGGCTCAAGTGATCTTCTCACCTCAGCCTCCCTAGTAGCTAGGACTACAGGTGCACGCCACCATGCCCAACTAATTTTTTTTTTTTTTTGAGATGGAGTCTTGCTGGAATTACAGGCTCGAGCCACCATGCCCAGCTAATTTTTTGTATCTGTAATAGAGACTGGGTTTCACCATGTTGGCCAGGCTGGTCTTGTGATCCGCCCACCTTGGCCTCCCAAAGGGCTGGGATTACAGGCATCAGCCACTGGGCCCAGCCCTGACTAATTTTTTTAAATTTTTTTGTAGAGATGGGGTCTCTCCATGTTGCCCAGACTGGTTTCGCACTCCTGGCCTCAAGCGATCCACCCGCCTTGGCCTTTCAAAGTGCTGGAATTACAGGTGTGAGCCACCATGCCCAGCCCTAACTGTAACTTTGTACCTGTTAACCAACCTCTTTGTATCCTCCCACTACACCCCAGCCTCCTGTAACCACTATTCTACTCTACTATGAGATCAATTTATTTATTTATTTATTTGAGATGGCGTTTTGCTCTTGTTGCCCAGTCTGGAGTGCAATGGCGCGACCTCGGCTCACTGCAACCTCCGCCTCCCAGGTTCAAGCAATTCTCTTGCCTGAGTAGCTCGGATTACAGGCGCCCGCCAGCACGCTAAGCTAATTTTTTGTAATTTTAGTAGAGACAAGGTTTCACCATGTTGGCCAGGCTGGTATCAAACTCCTGAAATCAGGTGATCCACCTGTCTTGGCCTCCCAAAGTGCTGGGATTACAGGCGTGAGCCACTGCACCTGGCCGAGATCAACTTCTTTATTTCATTCCACATATGAGAGAGACCACGTGGTGTTTGTCTTTCTATGCCTGGCTTATTTCACTCACATGATGTCCTCCAGGTTCATCTGTGTTGCCACAAATGATAGGATTTCAGTCGTTGGATCCCACTGTCTGGTGGGGATGAGAAGTAATAAACCCGGGAGGAATAATACTTTCAGATAGTGACAAACGCTGTGACTAAAGTAAAATGGGGGAATGTGACACAGAGTCACCCACAGGTGATTTCTGGGTTAAGGTGGTCAAGGAAGACCTGTGGGAAGAGGTGACATTTATGCAGAGACCCAAATCATGAGTAGGGGCTAGCCTTGGGAATTCTGGGGGAAGAATTTAATAAGTGCAGGAGCCCTGAGGCTGGACCAGTTTTGAGAACAGAAAAAGGTCCTTGGTAGGGCTAGAGCCAAGTGAGTAAGGGTGAGATTGGCAACACGGGCCAGGGCCGGATCACACAGGCTATTTAGAGGACTGTATTAGTGCCCTGTGGCTGCTCTAACTTGGTGACTTAAAACAACAGAAATTTGGCCAGGCACGGTGGCTCACGGCTGTAATCCCAGCACTTTGGCAGGTGGATCACCTGAGGTCAGGAGTTCCAGATCAGCCTGGCCAACATGGCGAAACCCTGTTTCTACTAAAAATACAAAAAAATAGCTGGGCGTGGTAGTACACGCCTGTAATCCCAGCTACTCAGGAGGCTGAGGCAGGAGAATCACTTGAACCCGGGAGGCGGAGGTTGCAGTTAGCTGAGATTGAGCCATTGCACTCTAGCTTGGGCAACAAGAGTGAAACACGGTCTCAAAAAAAAAAAAAGAAAAGAAAACCCAGAAATTTACTCTCCTGTAGTCCTGGAGGCCAGAAGTCTGAAATCAGTTTCACTGAGCCAAAATCTTCCAAAATTTGGGAAGAGCCAAAATCAGGTGTCCTGAGGGTCATGCTCCCTTTGCAGAGTCTAGAGGAGAATCCCATCCTTGTTCTTCCAACCCTGGTGGGGCCTGCTGGCATTCCTCAACTTATGACTGCATCAACCCTGTCTCTGCCTCCTACGTCACATGGCCTCCTCCTTTTCTGTATGTATAACATCTCTCTCTGCCTCTCTTATAAGGACACTTGTGATTGTGTTAGGGCCACCCAGATACTCCAGAATAGTTTTCCTCAAATAAAGAATCTTAATTTGAGGCTGGGCGCAGTGGCTCATGCCTGTAAACCTAGCACTTTGGGAGGCCAAGGCAGGAGGATGGGTTTGGCTCAGGAGTTTGAGACCAGCCTGGGCAACACAGCAAATACCCCTGTCTCTAAAAAAAAAAAAAAAATTGGCCGGGCGTGGCGGTGCACACCTGTGGTTCCAGCTACTTAGGAGGCTGAGGTGGGAGGATTGCTTAAGCCCCAGGAGGTTGAGGTTACAGTGAACCATGTTTTTGCCTCTGCACTCCAGCCTGGGTGACAGAGCAAGACCCTGTTTCAAAAGGAAAAAAAAAGAAAAAGAATCTTAATTTAGTCACTTAATCTGTAAAGACCTTTTTACTTTATAAGGTAAAATGGACAGGTTCCAAGAATTAGGATCTGTTCTGTTTGTTTGTTTGAGACAGGGTCTCACTCTGTTGCCCAGGCTGGAGTGCAGTGGTGCCATCCTGGCTCACTACAACCTCCGCCTCCAGGTTTCAAGCAATCCTCCTGCCTCAGCCTCCTGAGTAGCTGGGACCACAGGTCCTTGAGCCACCATGACTCACCAATTTTTTGTAAAGACTGGGTTTCACCATGATGCCCAGGCTGGTCTCGAACTTGAGCTCAAGCAATCCTCCTGCCTTGACCTCCCAAAGTGCATGAGCCACTGATACATCTTTTAGTGGCAATTATACAGCCTACCACAATGATGGAGAAGGGCTAACATTTTATTTTAAGGCTTGGAGTGTTTTTTTTTTTTGAGACGGAGTCTCGCTTTGTCGCCCAGGCTGGAGTGCAGTGGCGTGATCTCAGCTCACTGCAAGCTCTGCCTCCCGGGTTCACGCCATTCTCCTGCCTCAGCCTCAAAGAGTAGCTGGGACTACCGGCACCCGCCACCACGCCTGGGTAATTTTTTGTATTTTTAGTAGAGATAGAGTTTCACCGTGTTAGCCAGGATGGTCTCGATCTCCTGACCGCGTGATCTGCCTGCTTTGGCCTCCCAAAGTGCTGGGATTACAGACGTGAGCCACTGCGCCCGGCCAAGGCCTGGAGTGTTTTAAGCAGGCGAGAGACAAGCTCTGATGAACACTTTAAAAATATCACTGGTTGATGCTGACTTAACCCTTTACTCAACGGGATGTTCAACCCCCTCCCCTCAATGCACCTGAGCCCCTTCCCCTGTCCCAGCACCCCACTTGCAGTAGGTGCTCTGGAAATGAGGAGTCTTCTTGGTAGCTGCAAAATTGTTACTCAGAGACCAGCCTCTCTGCAGACAAGTCCAAGTGCAGAACAAAGCTCGGGTGAGCCCTTAATTTTATTGTGACACAGAAAACAAAAAGATGATTGTTTCTGAGGCAGAT